>NC_000019.10:45725722-46028752 GCF_000001405.40 Homo sapiens | reverse complement strand
CTCCCGGGCTCAAGCGATTCTCCTGCCTCAGCCTCCCAAGTAGCTGGGATTACAGGCGCCCGCCACCACGCCTGGCTAATTTTTGTATTTTTAGGGGAGACAGGGTTTCATCATGTTGGCCAGGCTGATCTCGAACTCCTGATCTCAAGTGATTTGCCCACCTTGGCCTTCCAAAGTGCTGGGATTACAGGTGTGAGCCACCATGCCCGGCCAAGGAGGAGTTTTTTAACTGACTTAATTGTAACAGATTAAATCAGGGCAGCTAGTGAGTCTGATATTTAAAACTTCAATTTTCTAAAACATATAGGGAATAAATCTAATTTCCCCCTATCCAAAAAAAAAAAAAGTGCACAAGTAATACAGTCTCTCAGGATTAAAGGCAACATAATAATCACTCATTGAAGTTGCAGTAAACGCTCACAAGGCATGTTTCAATTTTAGGCCAACAAGATACACAATAGGCCCAGTGCAGTGTCTCATGTCCATAATCTCACCATTTTTGGAGGCCGAGGCAGGAGGATCCCTTGAGCCCAGGAGTTCGAGTCTGCAGTGAGCTATGATGGTGCCACTGCCCTCCAGCCTGGGTGACAAAGCAAGACTCTGTCTCTAAAATGAAATTTAAAATAAAAATAAATTTAGAGAGTGAGGTGGGAGCCAGAATTTGAGGGCTGAGGAAGGAAGTCGAGGAGCCAGGCAGGCCAGGTCTTACCTCAGCTTCTTTCCTCGAGGTCACCGAGGTGCCGGGCAGAACCAGCTCACAGGGACAGGGTACACAGCTACGCACAAAACTTATGGACTATACGAGCCGCTCCATCATCCACAATGCAAAAGGCCCTGTGCCACAAGGATAGCAAGCTCACCCTGTTGGAGTCAGAGTGAGAAGCTCAGGGGCTACCCTGAACTTGACAGCTGGATCCTGGGTGTTCGGCTTGACCACCTGGTCCATGGAGATGATCTTCAACTTTATTTAAAGTGTTTGTATTGTATGTAAAAATAAGTAAGTAAATATGGCTCACACCTGTATGTAAAAATAAGTAAATATGGCTCACACCTGTATGTAAAAATAAGTAAGTAAATATGGCTCACACCTGTATGTAAAAATAAGTAAATATGGCTCACACCTGTATGTAAAAATAAGTAAGTAAATATGGCTCACACCTGTATGTAAAAATAAGTAAGTAAATATGGCTCACACCTTTAATCCCAGCATTTTGGGAGGCCGAGGCAGGCAGATCACCTGAGGTCAGGAGTTCAAGACCAGCCTGGCCAACATAGTGAAACCCCCATCTCTACTAAAAAAAAAAAAAAAAAAAATACAAAAACTAACTGAGCATGGTGGTGGGCACCTGTCATCCCAGCTACTAGGGAAGCTGAGGCAAAAGAATTGCTTGAACCCAAGAGGCGGAGGTTGTGGTGAGCCAAGATTGTGCCACTGCACTCCAGCCTGGGCAACAGAGTGAAACTGTCTCAAAAAATAAATAAGTAAATACATTTTTTTAAAGATACAGACTAAATAAAACTCTCACAATGGAAGGCTTCACTCCAGCTGGCTAATGTTTATATTCTTAGTGTCTTTAAGGGATCTGTGCCTCAAATGAAAGAACAGGCAAAAGAAAGGGAAAAAAGAAAATAAAAATTAAAAAAAGGAATGTGATGTGTAAATAGTCCTGTCTTTTTACAAAAGGCTGGCTTGGTGTTTTGTTGTCTTAAAGCTAAGGTACAAAGTTCCTGAATTCGTTCCAGGTTCCTCTATTTAAAACTTATACCTGGTGTGTCTGAAGTCCCCAAGGGAACAGGGTAGTCAAAGCATGTTCAAGGGCAGCAAGAAGGGGACAGTGGCTGCAGGAGTCAGAAAGAGGCTTTTGGGAGTAAGCAAGGTGAGGCTGGGATGGGGGCAGCCCATACTGTAGGCAGCCCATGCTGTTGGCCATGGGGAGGAGCTTGGGCCTCATTCTAGGAATCAAGAGATGCCAATGAAAAATGTGACTCATTTTTGAGGGTGACTTTAGAAAAGATCTGAGCAGAGCTTTGGCTTCACAGAGGCCAGAGTGCATCCTGGGAGGTCACTGAAGAGGCAGGGCAAAATCCAGGTGAAAGGAGGTGGTGTCTGGACCAGGGTGCAGAGAATGGAATTAGATAGAAGAGTTCTAATTCATCACAGTGGCATTCCTTGGTGGTGGGTTGCATATCCATTCAATCAAGTAGCTATTTAGTGAGCACCTACCATGTGCTGGGCATTCTTTTGGGTACTGGGTACAACAGAGGAAGGAACAGGAATTAGTCAAGGATGGTGCTCAAATGTATGGCTTTTGTAATGGGAAGATGGTGATACCATTTCCTTAGACAGGAACTCCTGTGAGAGTGCTGATGGGGAGGAGAAGGTCATGAGTCATTTTGCATTGGAGGTGCCTGTGGGACATCCAAGTGGAGGCGTCAAGTGGCCAGGTGGATACACAGATCCAGAACTCAACTGAGAGCTCCAGACTAGACATTGAAATACAGGAATCCTCTGCATTTTGACTGTGGCTGAAGCCATTATGTGGATAAGATCACTCAGCACAAAATATATGGTTTGAGGGTCCAGGAGGGAAGAATTGCTCTGAAAAAAAGAGAGAGAGAAAAAAAGACCAGCCAGAGAAGCAGAAGGAAAATCAAGGCAGTCTTACATCACAAAAGCTAAGGGAAATAAGTATTTTGAGAAGGAGGAAGTGGTCGACTGTGTCAATTGCTATCCAATTTCCCAAGATCATGTAGCTAATAAGGGGCAGAATGGAAATTTAAAACCAGGTCTACCTATATAATAAACAGAACCTGGGCAAACGGCTAGGCATCTGGAAACAAGATCAGACCCCTACCTCACACCACATGCAAGTATACATTTTAGCCGAGATAAAGATCTAAAAGTAAAACACAAAATAATCTTTTTTAAATAGAAAAAGTTTTACAATCTTAGTGTGAAAAGTCCCTCTTAAGGCAAGACAGGAAACACAGAAACCATAAAAGAAAAACCTAGATATTTTTTTAACAGATTAGAGGAAAGGGTTTACAGCACATTTGATAAGACATAGGGTTAATATCCCCCATATACAACTCAACAAGAAAATGATCAGAAGAGATGAACAGACAGTTTGAAGATGGATGCTGATAGCCATAAATATGTAAAAAGATAATCACCTCTCTAATGTTCAAGGAAATGCAAATAAAGCAATAATGAGATCTTGTTCTTTGGATTAGTAAAACATTTAAAAACTGATCATATTGTGGGAAAAATATATACTAAAATCTTTTTGGTATTGTATTTACCAATTCCTATTAAAATTTTAAGTGTAGCTCTACTTCTTAATCCAGGCACTGGATACACAGGTGGATTCACTTCGTGAACACTCATAAGCTCACTACTCTATTAAGTCTATCAACTCTATAAAAAATGTGTTTACACACTTTTTATATTACATTATTCTTTAATGCTTCTAAAAAAACTGAAATACACAAAATGTACACACCCAAGAAGTCAAAAATCCCAATTATGGGATTCTTTTGTTCATTTTGCAAATAATAACAAAAAGGCAAACAACCCAATTTTTTTTAATGGGCAATGGATATGAACAGGTAATTGACAAAAGAGCAAGCCCAAATATAGACAGCAAATACAGAAAAATACCCAGTCTCCTGAGTGGGTATAAAAATGCCAAAGGAGCTGTCACTTTATACTTATAAATTTAAGAAGTGATAACACTGGCCAGGCAAGGTGGCTCATGCCTGTAATCCCAGCACTTTGGGAGGCTGAGGTGGGTGGATCACCTGAGCTCAGGAGTTCGAGATCAGCTTGGCCAACATGGCGAAACCCCATCTCTACTACAAATACAAAAATTAGCCAGGTGTGGTGGCACATGCCTGTAATCCCAGCTACCTGGGAGGCTGAGGCAGGAGAATGGCTTGAACCCAGGAGGTGGAGGTTTACAGTGAGACAAGATCGTGCCACTGCATTCCAGCCTGAGTGACAGAGCGAGACTCTGACTCAAAAAAAAAAAAAAAAAAGTGATAACACCCACTTCTGGGGTCGGGGTGAGGAGGCTCCAAAACATTACTGGTGAAAAATATGAATTATTAATGGCTTTTTGGGGAAAATGATCTGGTAATATTAATTAAATATGTATACTCATTGACCTAATAACTCTGTGTTTATAATTTACTTATAAATGCACCAGTGCATAGGGATATATGTCTGAAAATATTTTGCGTAGTGTGGAGAAAATACTGGAAAACCTTCAAAAACTAAAAGATCCACAATGCTGAACTGATACTATAGCATATTGTGCAACTATTATAAAGAATAAATTAGAATTAGATGTACTGCCCTGGTGAGATGCCCATGAAATATTAGGTGACAAAAGGTAAATTGATGCACATGGTTTTGATTTTTTTTTTTAATGTCCTTATATAAGTTTGTAGGGAGGAGAATACGGTTTATAACTCTGCAGGCAGAAAGCCTGTAGCCAAACCCTGGCTTCATCACCTCCTGTATGTGATCATCCCCCCGGGCCTCAGTTCCGTCAACTGTAAGAGGGGTTAATAATAACATGGATCTGGCAAGCTTGTCGTTGAGTATATGATAATTTCTGAAAAGTGCTACAGATGCCTGGTGCACAATTCAGTAACAGCATGAGTACAATGTATATGAGAAGGCAGAACACAGAAGATGAAAACACACCACACAGGTCAGGCACGGTGGCTCATGCCTATAGTAATCCCAGCACTCTGGAACACTGGCAGGTGGCTCACCTGAGGTCAGGAGTTCGACACCAGCCAGGCCAACATGGCAAAACCCCGTCTCTACCAAAAATATAAAAATTAGCTGGGCGTGGTGGTGTGCACTTGTAATCCCAGCTACTCAGGAGGCTGAGGCAGGAGAATCACTTGAAGCCAGGAGGCGGAGGTTGCAGTGGCCCAAGATCGCACCATTGCACTCCAGCCTGGGTGACAAGAGCAAAACTCCATCTCAAAAAAAAAAAAAAAAAAAAAGGAAAATATTATTTATAAAATAGAAAATTAAAAAAAAAATTTTAAATACACATTTTTAAAAACCACTTGCAGGCTCTCACACACTGCATATCCAGGATTCACATGCAGGCAGCCTGGCTCTAGACGCGGGGCTCCAGTGCCTCCGGTGTCTCAGCCCGTGACTTCCCTGCTCTCAACCTCAGTTTACTCCACTGTGAAATGGACTTCCAGATACTCACCTCTTGAGTTTGCTGCAAGCGTAAATGGCATCAGGCTTGGACCTGGGGGAAGGAAGTGTTTTTAAAATGGGTAGCTTTGTTACCTCAGTCCTTGCGGGGAGAAGATGTGCCAATGCCCCGGGCCTCTGCGATGTAAGTTCCTGTTGAGTTGTTCAATGTTCCACTGAGAGGAGAGACAAGCAGGACCGGGATCCCGGCCCCGGGTCTTCCAGAAACGGCGGGGCGAAGCGCCCAGGGGCCTGTGCGTCCCTCCCTGCTGAGCGAGGGGGCCTGTCATTGCCGTGGGCGTGACCCAGACCCCAACCACAGTGCATCCCGCCCTGGCCCAGCCAGAGAAGGAAGCTGAGTCTGGGGTCTGCTGGGCCAGCAGGAAGTCCCAGCAGGGTGTGAAGCAAGACTTTCCGGGCCACTCCTGGAATCCCCCAGCAGATAAAGGCGGCCCCTCCACCGGGCGCTCCTAGCGGTCTCCCGGACCCTGCCGCCCTGCCACTATGTCCCGCCGCTCTATGCTGCTTGCCTGGGCTCTCCCCAGCCTCCTTCGACTCGGAGCGGCTCAGGAGACAGAAGACCCGGCCTGCTGCAGCCCCATAGTGCCCCGGAACGAGTGGAAGGCCCTGGCATCAGAGTGCGCCCAGCACCTGAGCCTGCCCTTACGCTATGTGGTGGTATCGCACACGGCGGGCAGCAGCTGCAACACCCCCGCCTCGTGCCAGCAGCAGGCCCGGAATGTGCAGCACTACCACATGAAGACACTGGGCTGGTGCGACGTGGGCTACAAGTGAGTGTGGCAGGGGGGCACGGGCTGGACTGGGGATCCCAGAGGCAAAGGTGTGCAAGTGCCCGCCAGCGGGACCATTTCTAGGCCTGGTGCTGAGGCCACCTGGCTGACACCCTGAGCAGCTTACTGAACCTCACAAGGTCATTTCTTCCTCGGGTCACCACGTGGGCCGGGGCAGGTGCTCACAGCACAAAGATGCGTGAGAAGGGGGGATGGGCTGAAATCCAAGCCCCGCTCCCGCTCCCGGGAAGAAGGGGCAGGCTTTGCCTAACACACACCAAGGTGTCCGCGACGCCTTATGAAGGCGCCCCTTCCTGATGCCTGGTGCCTTTGTTAGGAGGCGGAAAACCAGGCTGACTCAGTGCGGAGCTGGGTTCCAGGGTCAGCTCATCTTATTGCTGGCTGAGGCCTGGGGCGGGTCCTCCCGGCTTCAGCTTCCTCCTCGGCAAAGTCAATGGAATCGCGGCCCATCTGCTCCTTATATGAGCCAATACAGGCAAAGCACCTAGGAACTGCCTGGCACACGGGGGCCCGCAAAGCCACGGGCTATTACCATTAGGCACCTACTATGTGCCAGGCAGTGTGCCAGATGTGGCATGGAGAACGGTGCCACTCTAGCCTCCTGGGGTTGAAAGACCAGCAGGGAGAAACAAGCCAAGGCCACAGGTGAATTCAGACGGTGATAGAGGCGATGGATAAAAGGAAAGAGGTGAGGGAGGGTGACCTCAGGCTGGGACCAGACCCACACAGGCTCCTTGGAAGGGTGGGGCAAGGGAAAGCCTCCCTGAGAGTGGCTGCCTTGGCTCTGGGATGGGGGAGCAGACAGAGGCCTGCAGGTGGCAGGGGGTGCTGGGGGCAAAGCCAACGGGGTTGAGTGGGCGGGTCCTGTGGGAAGGACAGGGTGGCTGAACACAGCCGGGCGAGCGGAATGAAATGAGGAAAGGGCAGGACCAGGCAGGGCTTTGTGGACCACAGTGAGGACTGTAGCTTTTACTCCGAGATGGGAGCCATGGGAGGCTTCCCCCCGCAGAGCAGGGACCAGGGCTAGTGTAGGTACAAGAGACTCCCTCTGGCTGCTGTGGGGAGAACAGACTGTAAGGGGTGCCGGCTGAAGCAGGCTGAAGCAGGTCCGGGGCCACGCCTACCAGCTACCTCCTCCTTAGAATGGGCTGCAGTCCAGCCTGACGGTTTCCACAGGGAGGGAACTTTCAATCCTGCAGGCTCTCAGACCCAGGTAAGCATCAGAATCTCCTGCAGAGCTTATTGGAGGAACATGCAGGTCCCCAGAGACCACTTCAATAGACCCCACCCAGGGGACACATGTTCTCAGGACCTCCTAAGGCTGTGTCTCACACACACACACACACAAAACCCACCCAGAGAAGTCTAGAAGTGTCCAAAGGTATTCCCAGCCCTTCCAGTTCAAGATTTTATCAAAGACTCCAACTTCAACATTTTGTTTCCAAGACTCAGGCGCTCTGATCCTAAGTGTTCCCATGAGGTCACGAAGGCCCGAGCCTCGGGTCCACATCACCACATACAGAAGCAGCCGCTGTCTGGCCCTCAGCTTTTAGGATTCCGAATCTGGTTCTAACGTTCTGAATCCCCTTTCCATGTCACGTCACCTTCTCTCTCTGAGCCTCGTTTCTTCACCTGTAAATGGGGCTTCTGACTGTACCCGCTTGGCGATGGTGGCTGAGGTTTCAATGAGATGCATTCATGCAACAAATGACCAGGGAGAACCAACCACCCCCGACCCCAGCACCATCATGCCAGGCTCCGGGAATATGGCAGGGCCATAACCAGCCAGTCCCAGCAGCCAGCATCACCAGCAGGGCCATAACCAGCCAGTCCCAGCAGCCAGCATCACTGGGGCCAGATTCTGGGAGCTGGCTTCCTAAGCAGCAGATTCGGGACTCAAGATTCGGAAGTTCCGACATTCTGTGCGTCATTAATGACACTGTGAGCGCGGGGGCTGAGTTGGCACATACTGCAGCTCCAAGGCACTGATCTTCTAGTTCATTCCCATTTGCCAAGTCAGACACGCTCAATCAGATGTGCTGAATGAATCAGCCTTAAGGATCTGCTGCCAGGCTTGGGAACCTCAAAGAGGCAGGTGCTGGGGCTCCAGGGTCGGTATCTGGTTACGACCCCAACTTTGAGTCTGTGATCCTGTCCCCCAGTGGACCCCGAGGGCAGGAAGCAAGCTGGGGCAAAGGCAGAGTTCTGAGAGGCAGGGGGCTCTGAGTAGCTTGTACAAATTATGTCGCTTTCTGAGTCTCTGCTCTCTCTGCTTAAGATGAGGATGATAAGAGTCCCTGCCTTGGCTGGGCACGGTGACTCATGCTTGTAATCCCAGCACTTTGGGAGGCCAAAGGCGGGCAGATCACCTGAGGTCGGGAGTTCGAGACCAGCCTGGCCAACATGGTGAAACCCCATCTCTACTAATAATACAAAAATTAGCCGGGTGTGGTGGCTCATGCTTGTAATCCCAGGTACTCAGGAGGCTGAGGCACGAGAATCACTTGAACCCAGGAGGCAGAGGTTGCGGTGAGCTGAGATCACGCCACTGCACTCCAGCCTGAGCAACAAGAGTGAAACCCCGTCTTAAAAAAAAAAAAAAAAAAAAGTCTCTGCCTCAGAGGGCTGTCCTGCAAGGATTCAGTAAAACAGGACTTCCACAAATCCTCTAGGGAGGCAGGAGAGAGCAACGCACAAGATCACATGGGTGGGGACCATGGAGGCCTGGTTAAAAACCCCAGCTGTGCCCCAGACAGGCTGTGTGACCCCGGGGCAGGTGATTCTACCGCTCTGATTCTGTCTATATAAAACGGGGGTGATAGTGACTCACAGGGTTGCTGTGAGGATGGAAAAAGGTGTATGCAGAGCTGTGCTTGGCACATGGCAGGGGCCCAATAAATGACCACAGTCATTGTTACTATCGTGGGAAATTAACGGGTGAGAAGGATGCTGGGGAAGTTGTGTGCACCACGGCAGTAACGGAGGCAGGGTGAGTGGAGGAAGGAGGAGGAGTCCTCCTCGGGAAACCCTCCCTCACTCATCAAGCCCCCCCACCTCCCCATGCAGCTTCCTGATTGGAGAAGACGGGCTCGTATACGAGGGCCGTGGCTGGAACTTCACGGGTGCCCACTCAGGTCACTTATGGAACCCCATGTCCATTGGCATCAGCTTCATGGGCAACTACATGGGTGAGTGACTGTCCAGCCAGTTGGGATGGGGGCTGACACGGGGCCCTACGCTATCACTTCCCCTTCGGGGAAGCCCCTGCCTGACTCCTACCTCTGCCTCCTCCAGATCGGGTGCCCACACCCCAGGCCATCCGGGCAGCCCAGGGTCTACTGGCCTGCGGTGTGGCTCAGGGAGCCCTGAGGTCCAACTATGTGCTCAAAGGACACCGGGATGTGCAGCGTACACTCTCTCCAGGCAACCAGCTCTACCACCTCATCCAGAATTGGCCACACTACCGCTCCCCCTGAGGCCCTGCTGATCCGCACCCCATTCCTCCCCTCCCATGGCCAAAAACCCCACTGTCTCCTTCTCCAATAAAGATGTAGCTCAAAATGTGTTCCTCAGCAGGTCCCACCACACACCTCCCCTCCTTCTCTCCCTCCCACAAGACCAAAGCCCTCCCACCCCTTCCCCTCCCAGCACTCTCCTCACTGGTGCTTGGAACCCAGAGGCCCCGGCCCTGAACCAAGACCCCGGAGATCCCAGCTCGAGAGCAACATCACAGCTCAGAACCCAGAGGTCTCAGGTCAGAGCCCAGGAATCAGCACCAAGGCGGCCGGGATGTCACCAACAGTGGGTCCTGGGGGTCCTCCTGGGCAGTGAACCACGCTGCAAGACACCTCCTTCCCACCACACAGCCAAAGGCATCCTGCGCAGAAACTTTGCTTGGACTCCTTTAGGGACGGGCTGCTCACTACTCCTCCCAGGTCTGCCCTTGCACTGTTTAGAGAGTGTACAAGCTTTTCCTAGGCCTGAGTCCCAATCTGCCTCCGAGGCACAGACACACAGGTCCCAATTATACCCCCCAATTTCTCTTCCTCCACATTTCTCCCCACTCCACCCTCACCCTTTAGTCATAAGCTGAGGGGTCCCCAGGGCAAATATGTTTATTTACAAAATGCACACATCCTCCCTCCCAGCATGCACTGCCTGGGGAGAGGGCAGGGTCAGGGCCTCACACACCTGAGACCCCAGGGGCAGCAGGAGGGACGGGGCCAGGGCAGGGACTGGGCAGGGCTGGAGGCCACCCTGGCCCCACCCCCCACACCATACCCAGCAAGTGGGTGGGGGATGGAGGGGTAGTACCCCTTCTCCACGTTATGACCGCATGTCCAGTCGGTTCATGTACTCCTGCAAGGCCTTCAGGCGTGCGTCTATTTCGGCCATGTCAGCCGCCTGGTGCTCCGAGCTGTACTCTGTGAGAGCAGGTGTGGGTATGGGGGCTGTGAGGGGCCTGAAGCCCCAGGGAGTTCCTGGGCCCAATATACCACTGCCCGCACTACCATTCCAACGGGTCCTGGGGCTGGGAGAGGGGATGTGGAGTCCCAGGCTCACCTTTGATGGGGACCCAGCCCCCGGAGTTGGCCAGAGATTTCTGATGGTGGCTGCGTTCCACGGGGGGAGACTTCTGGTGATGGGGAAGGTAGGAAAGGGGGTCACCCACCGTCCCTCTATTTCTGTCCCCCTAAATCCCACTGGAAATCCTGAGCCTAAGGACCTTGGGGAAAAATAAGGCCTGACACCTACTGGCCATTCATTATCTGCAAAATAACCTCCTAATGTCCTCACAGAGCCCTCACCTCACATGTGAGGTGATGCCATTACCAACCCTGGTTAACTGATAAACAAAAACTAAGGTACAGAGAGGCTAAAGAACTGCCTTGAACCATACAGCTGGGAAGAGGAGGAGACAGGTTTCAAGACCTGACAGTCAGAAGCCAAAGCCCTAAAGAGCATCACGTGCCCCTCATTATTCCTTCTCCAATCTAATGCTCTCAAAACGTGCTGTTCCCAGGCCAGGTGCGCTGGCCCAGCCTGTAACTCCAGCGCTGTAGGAGGCTGAGGATGGCTTGAGGCCAGGAGTTCCAGACCAGCCTGGGCAACATAAAGAGACAATACCACCCCCTTATCCTGTCTCAACCCCACCCTGCCCCCCCAAAAAAGCCTAGTCCCAGCTACTCCATAGGCCGAGGTGGGAGGGTCTCTTGAGTCCAGGAGTTGAAAGCTGCCGTGAGCTACAATTGCCCCACTGCACCCCAGCCTGAAAGAGCGAGACGCACTCTTAAAAAAGCCCTATTGCCAAAGGCATTCAGAGTCGCCTCTGCACCTGATCCCCAGGAAGGAATCACAGGAAATGGGGGCAGCTGTGTTCCAGTGGTTTATGTTGCCCCTTCTACTCACCATATTGGACCCACTCCAGGGCGTTGGGCTGGGAGGCTTCCCACGGCGGCGGTGACCCCTGAGAAAAAGGAGTAACCAAGGACCAGTGGTGGGGAGGCTCTGGTACTTCCCACCTCCCCGACCTTTGTGGTTTCAAGGCCCCCAGGCTCCATCACCCAATTTCCCTGCAAAAGACTGTTTCTAGTCTCCCCAGAAACCCTTTGGAGGCGATCCTTTTCCCAAGTTCAAGTTTTACCCTCTGGAGAGCGACTCAGAGAAATCCTCCAAATCGCTGCAGGAGCTGGCAGACGAGCAGCGGCTGCGGAAACTGTCCACTAGAGGGAGACGGAGGGCGTGACCGCTGGCCCTCGCTGGCCCCGCCCAGTGCTTCCCAGGCCCTCCCAGCCCGCCCGCCCTGCCCAGTGCCTCCCAGCCCGCCCAGCCCCGCCCAGTCCCGCCTAGCCCGGCAGCCCCCAGCTCCAGGCCAGTTACCTGAGGAGCTGCGGTTTCGGGAGCGGTTAGGGGCGTCCCCTCGGCCAGTCAAGGCAGCAGGGGGCTGGGTCTGGCGAGACCAGGAGACGGACGGACCGTCCCCGCTTCCCCCACTGCCTAAGCGGTTCCGCTGCTGCTGCCTGGGAAAAAAGAAAGGAGACGCCGGTCTGTACGCCCAACTCCTGCAGGCAAGGGGGTCACTGCGCCCCTAAAGGTCACAGCCACGCCAGCGAAAGCCTGAGGTGACAGGCCTACGAGCGGAAAGCACGCAGAAACACAGACGAGGAGGTAGGACGGACGGAAGGGAGAGCAGGCGGGGTATCCGGCGAGAAGCGAGCAGGTGGCAGGGGATGGAGACTGATGGTGGCGTGGAGAGATGAGAGCCCGGGAGCGGGCACGGGCCAGGGACAGGGGCAGGTGAGGGAGGAAGGGGCACTGACTTCATCTGGATCTCTCTCTGCTTCCTTTCCTTGGCTTTCACAAAGGCCGTGGGGTCGAAGCGGAGCGCGCGACCACCTAGGACGGCGTGGGAGAGGAGGCGGCTAGGTCCGGAGACGGGCCTTGGCAGCGCCAGTGCGTCCCCTCCCTACCGCAGGGCAGGGGCACAGACCTGTGGGCGAGGGCGAGGGGCGCGCAGGGCGGCCCCGACCCCGGCTCCCGCGGCCGCTCTCCCGGGATGAGGAGCGCGCGGCGCCGCGGCCTCGCGACGCGGAGCGCTCCCGGGACGATGAGGCCCGGTCCTCCCGCGTCGGGGGCGGCTGCACCGGCGGAGTCCGCCTCCTGAGACCACAGAGGCAGCTGTCAGCTTCCCGCCCGCCCCGACAAACTCAATCGCGAGACTCCTCCCCGACCGCACCTTCTCCGAACCCTCAGGCCTACCCCATCAACTCCTAGACGTGCACTCCTGGGCCCATGACCCTCTCGATATCTTCCCCCCCAGACCTCACCCAATTGGACCCCTAAAACACCCCTCTGTCATTCCCCTACATCCTTTCAACACACCGCCTTCAACAGACCCTTCTTTCCGGAGTCTTCCACAACTCCCCGGAAACTCTTTCCAATTTTCCACCACCCACCCCATAAATGCCAGCGGACCTCACCCTGATCCCACCTGCTGCGCCGCACCCTTTCGCACCAGGAGACCCTAGGGCACGATCCCTTTCCCAGTCCCTCCTGAACGCCGCCCCAAGCCTGCGCATCTCCGCACAGCCCGGGTCCACCTCCTAACCACTGCACCCAAATCCTGTCTGGACTCCAGACGGGGTCCGCTAAGCCCCGCCTCCCCTTCAGCCCCGCCCCCTCCACCCTACCTGGCCCCGCCCCGCCCCCTTAGGCTCCGCCTCATCAGCCTCCACACCCTCAGGGCCCGCCCATCCGCCCAGGCGCCTGGCAGGCCTCGCTCTCACCCCCTCTTGTACAATGCCAGCTCGCTGGTCAGCGTCTTCAGCCGGGCGCGCAGGCTCCGCTCCGATGCCTTCGCCTCCTCGAGCTGCCGGGAGGGGAGAGGGGCGCGGAGGTCCAGGCTGAGGCCGAGGTCCGCGCCTCGCTGGCCGCCCCGGGCCCCCGCTGCTCACCTCCTTGGCCAGACGGCGGCAGTCCTGGCCGCGACGGCCGGCCACCCTGTGCCCGAGGCCGCGCTCCTGCCGCAGCTCCAGCTCCAGCCCGCGCACCAGCCCGCGCAGCGCCTCGGCCTCCTGGCGTGCCGCGCGCCCGGCCAGCGCCTCCTCGCGCGATCGGCCCAGCTGCGCCTCCAGCTCCCGCTTCTCGGACGCCAGGCGCGACACCCTGGGGAAGACGCGGAGAGAGCGCTGGAGAGAGAGGCATGGCCCCATTCCCACTACTCCATGGGGGTGGGACGCCTCATCATTTCACCTCCCCGGAAGGGGGTACACGGCTCATCAGTCTCAACTGACCCCATGGGGAGGGGCAGGGTCCTATCATATCCCCTGCGACGTGTGAGGAGGGATGTGGTCACATCACCCCCATGCACCTCACGAAGAGGACATGACCCCACCACGCACAGGACACACACACACACTCCTCCCCCTGGTGCGGGTGAAGGAGTGGGAACACAGCCATGTGAGTTCCAATTCTAAACGATTTCATCAATCTGTACACACCCTGAAAGCCTAGCACTGCCTCCCTCCTCCTCCCACCTCGCCAGGCCAGTCTCCCAGTCACGAAATCCTCTACAATACAAATTTGATCAGGTAACTACCATGCTCAAAACCCTTCCTTGAGAAAATGTATACACAAGGCTATTCATTGCAGCACAATCTGTAATAGCAAAAGAGTGGAAATAACCAAAATGTATGTTAAAAGAGAACTAATTGAATTTCTAATACATCTACTCAATTGAGTCCCACAAAACTATAAAGAGGAAAGTAGAGTATCTCTGTGTCCTGTCACCGAGTGACTGCTGTGACACAGTGCGGTGCAGACAGTATGTTCAGAATGTCCCTTTTCATAAAAGAAATGAGAATTATAAATTATATGTTTATATTTTCAAAATTACAGAATAAACCAAAATCTATGGGGGAAAAAAGGATTATTTATGGGGAAGGGGAAAATGAACAGAAATTGGACTTCTCTGGCTGGACAAAGTGGCTCATGCCTGTAATCTCAGCACTTTGGGAGGCCGAGGCAGGTGGATCACATCTCAAAAAAATAAGAAAACCAGAAGTAAAAATAATTTTTTAAAAAATGTAAGAAATTGGACCTCTCTGAATGTACCCTCTTTTTCAGTTTTGGAACTATAAAAATATTTTATACAAATTAATTAATTAAATTTTAACAAATGCCATCACAAAAATTTTAAAAGAAACTGGCCCAAACAGACCTAACTCTATATCAAAGTTGGTGGCACATTGGAGAATTATAGGAGGTGACTAAAACACATCGTTTGAGCAAGCGGGATATAGCCTAAGGCCAAAAAGAACTGCAAAGAAATCTTTTTTTTTTTTTTTCTGAGACGGAGTCTTGCTCTGTCACCCAGGCTGGAGTGCAGTGGCACGATCTTGGCTCACTGCAACCTCTGCCTCCCGGGTTGAAGCGATTCTCCTGCCTCAGCCCCCAAGTAGCTAGGATTACAGGCGCCCACCACCAACCCTGGCTAATTTTTGTATGTTTAGTAGAGACGGGGTTTCACCATGTTGGCCAAGATGGTCTCAAACTCCTGACCTCATGATCTGCCCGCCTCAGCCTCCCAATGTGCTGGGATTACAGGCGTGAGCCACCGCACCCGGCCCTGGAAATGTTAAACTTCATTCAAAATTCAATTATTAGTAATTACACTGGTATTGTTTAAGATAAAGCAAATAAATATGTTATTATCCCTAGAAACTAAGATTTTCATCACAAGAAAAGACATATAAGTAGGTCAAGTGTGGTGGCTCACACTTGTAATCCCAGCACTTTGGGAGGCCAAGGCGGACAGATACCTTGAGCCCAAGAGTTTGAGACATGCCTGGGCAACAAGGTAAATCCCCATCTCTACAAAAATTAGCTTGCAGCCAGGTACAGTGGCTCATGCCTGTCATCCCAGCACTTTGGGAGGCCAAGGCAGGCAGATCACCTGAGGTCATGAGTTCAAGACCAGCCTGGCCAATATGGTGAAACCCCCTCTCTACTAAAAATTCAAAAAAAAAATTAGCCAGGTCTGGTGGGGGGCACCTGTAATCCCAGCTACTCAGGAGGCTGAGGCAGGAGAATCGCTTGAGCCCAGGAGGCAGAAGGCAGAGATTGCAGTGAGCTGACATTGCACCACTGCACTCCAGCTTGGGGGACAGAACAAGACTTTGTCTCAAAAAAAAAAAATAGCTTGGCATGGTGCCATGTGCCTGTAGTCCCAGCTACTGGGAAGGCTGAGGCAGGAAGGTTGTCTGAACCCAGGAGTCTGAGTTGACAGTGAGCCATGACTGCACTACTGCACTCTAGCCTGGGTGACAGGGCAAGACTCTGTCTCTTAAAAAAAAAAAAAAAATTAAATTAAGTGCAAAAAGAGATACAACTAAACTATATTGTTTAGGGATGCATAGTTCAGCTGGCAAAACCATAAGCAAATCAAGTGAGTGAGATCTGGTGCATTTGGGAGCATGGTTGGGGCAGGAGGGTCTCTCCCGGAAAAAGACATACGGAGGCTATGGGGAAATGACTACTTTTGATTTTTTTCTCCTTTTTTTTTTTTCCACATAGAGTCTCCCTCTGTCACCCAGGCTGGAGTGCAGTGGCGTGATCTCGGCTCACTGCAACCTCTGCCTCCTGGGTTCAAGTGATTCTCCTGTCTCAGCCTCCCGAGTAGCTGGGGCTACAGGCATGCGCCACCCTGCCCAGCTAAATTTTTGTATTTTTAGTAGAGACAGGGTTTCATCATGTTGGCCAGGCTGGTCTTGAACTCCTGACCTCAGGTGTTCCACCCGCCTCGGCCTCCCAAAGTGCTGGGATTATAGGCGTGAGCCACTGAGCCCAGCCTCAATTTTTTAACCTGGGTAGTTGTTACATGTACGCTGGCTTTATGATAATTTGTGAAACCGTACATTTATATTTTATACTCTTTGGAGTATATTATTTTTCACAACAAGAAAGTTAAGTAGTGGAAGCAGTGGGACTCTTGGGCAGGAGGGACGGGTCCCATCCCAGAGATTCAGGTGTAAGTGGTGTGTCTGGAGGAGTCAGGGCCTGCCCTGGAACTCCTCACTGCTCACAAAATTTTTAAAAAAAGAAAAATAGGCCAGGCACGGTGGCTTACACCTGTAATTCCAACACTCTGGGAGTCTGAGACAGGTGGATCACTTGAGACAGGTCGAGAGTTCGAGATCAGCCTGGCCAACACGGTGAAACCCCGTCTCTACTAAAAATGCAAAAATCAGCCGGGTGTGGTGGCACACACCTGTAATCCCAGCTGCTCAGGAGGCTGAGGCAGGAGAATCGCTTGAACCCAGGAGGCAGAGGTTGCAGTGAGCAGAGATCACGCCATTGCACTCCAGCCTGGGTGACAGTGCGAGACTCGGTCTCAAAAAAAGAAAAAGAAATGGTGAATGTACAGGGCAGCCAGGGCACTGAGATTTTTCAAAGCTCCCGGGCAATTTGAGTGCATATCCAGAGTGAACCACTGCATTGGTTGAAAGGCCGAAGAGAACTTTATAAAAGAGGGAGCCAGCTCTCAACAGCTGAAATCATCAGTCTCAACACCACCAAAGGAGGCATCTTGCCAAAACCTACCCCACATGTGATTAAACCTATATAGGGTTAGCCACCACTTCACTGCAAGTACAGGGGACAGAGAAGGACATTAAACACACCATGGCGATATAATCAGCAAAATCTATTTTTCATTTTTCCATCTGAGTATGCTTGCTAGGGAAAAATTCAGCAAAATCTAGACTGCAAAACTCTACAGGACAAATAACCTGATTTCTTCCACAAATAAGTAGCATGAAAAGTGGAGAGGGGGATATAAATTAAAAGAGATTTAAGAAATACATCAGCCAAGCTCAGTGGCTCGTGCCTGTAATCTCAGCACTTTGGGGGGCCAAGGCAGGTGGATGGCTTGAATTCAGAAGTTCAAGATCAGCCTGGGCAACACAGGCAAACCCTGTCTCTATAAAAAAATATGAAAATTAGCTGGGCATGATGGCATGTGCCTGTAGTCCCAGCTACTCAGGAAGCTGAGGTGGGAGAATCGCTTGAGCCCAGGAGGTAAGGACACAGCGAGCCAAGATCGTACCACCACACTCCAGCCTGGGCAACAGAGCAAGACTGAAAAAAAAAAAAAGAAAGAAAGAAAAGAAAAGAAAGACCTCGACAAACTGCAATGTGCAGCCGTATTTAGATACAGGACGAATTCAAACCACTTGCAAAAAAGACATTTGAGAGGTGATCAGAGAAGTGTAAGTGTGAACGCATACGCAGTGGGTTTCAGATGACATCCTGGAATTTTTGTGAATTTTGTTGGATGTGATGGCAGCACTTATATCCTTATGTGTTAAAGATACACACTGATGCTTTTACAGAGGAGACACGAAGACTGGGATTTGCTACAGGGCAGGGGGTGGCAGTACATCAAACAAGATGGGCAAACGTGGGTAACTGTTGAAGCTGGGGGACAAGTACGTGCAAATTATACTACTGTTTACTTTTGTGGTGCTGGAATTTTTCCTAATAAATCCTTCTTAAAATCCGTGGTTCCCCACACTCTCTAACAAGGAGCTTTCCTTTCTATTCAGCCCCTGCCCATCTGACTTCTCCCCTCCTCTCCTCCTGCCTCCCTCTCCCACAGGCTCCAGCCAGATGCAGTTCTCACCTCCCAGAACCTTCTCTCCCTCTTCTCCTGGCAAGAACGACTCCACTCATCCGGGAAGCCTACCTGCCCCTGACGTTCTCCGCTCTCCCAGCCCTCTATACCTTTCCTTCCTAGCACCAGCCCTGGCAGACCTGGCATGTAGAGGAGTGTCCGTTTCCCATGTGGATCCCACCTTTCTGGGGGCAGAGCCTCCACCTGTCTGGTTCACTGCACAGGACCCCAGGCTGCGTGGCCGGGCGCCCTGCATTCAACTCTATTCCACTTGTTAACAAGCTGGGTGGCCCTGGGCAGTTTCACTTCACATCTCTGAGCCTCAGGCCATCTTTTCTCATCTGTGAAGAGGGACGATAATAAGAATGCCCGCCTGTTAGGCTGTAAGAATCTATCCACAGTGCTTAGACCATGTCTAGCATAATAAACATTAACTAGCGTCAGGCAGTGTGCCTGGCACAGTATGAACTCCATAAATGTTGGCTCAATGAATGAATAAATCTCAGAACCTTCCCAAACTCCCTAATTCCTGGCTGGGAAGAGGAAGATAAGAAGCCACTGAGCAGCGGTGGGATCTCAAGGCTCCTGTGGTTGGTTCCAAAGGGTGGAGGGCGCCCCCTTGTGGCCATCTTGGGAAACACACACCCAGAAACACAAACCTAGAAACACACACACACAGCCTGAGACAGAGCAAACGCGCGCGCACACACACACACACACACACATACACACACACACAGCCTGAGAGCAGATCCTGAGGATAAATTTTGGCCTCCCCACTGCGGCCTTCCTCGGCCCAGCCGTACACAGGCGAGCTCCTCCAAAGACCGGCGGGGTTCCCCAGCCCCATGAGCTCCCATAAGGACTGGTCCTCCGGGTCAGCACTTAGCGCTCTGTCCTGGGCTTGCAGCCACCAACAGTGCAAACAGCTGGGGAAACAACAGAGGCTCGGCGCTGGCTGCCTGGATCTAAGGTCCAGCCTAGCCATATTACCCACTGTGTGACCTGCGCCAAGTTCCCTAACTTCTCTGGGCCTCTGTCAAACGGTGATAATAGCAGTGCCTACCTTGTAGGGTGGCTGTGAGGATAAAATGAATTTAATCATAAAGCACAGAGCAGCCCTGGCATACAGTTAAATGTTCAATAAACATTAGTTACTGGTAACATTATTACTAAAAATATTATTAGTCCTCCCCAACGAGCCAGGCCTCTTCCCGGTAGCGATCAAGCCCCAGATTCGTCTCCCCAACAGAACCAAGCACAAGGCAGGCATGAATATATATGCCAAAGGCCTTTGCTTCTTTCACTTCATTCATTCCCTTGTTCTCACCGCATTCCCACCTAACACAAGGACTTTGCCCAGGCTGTTCCCTCTGCCTACAACACTTCCCCAGCCCCTGGGCCTGACCCACCCTACACCCCAGTGGAGTCCTGTGACAGCCTCCCACAGCACAGGCTCCCTTTCCTGCCCTACTCATCTCCATCTGTAATGATATACTCAAGTGGTTATATACTTAGCACCCATCTCCCCCAGGGCTGGGCACTACGTGAGTGGCAGGGAGGGGCTAGCACAAAAGGTGCACCCCATGAAGGTGGATTCGCCTACATAGAGCTCGACCTCCCCCCAACCTTTGCACATGCTGCTCCCTTTGCCAAGAACACCCCTCCCGTACCAGGCAGGGTCAGGTACCCCACCCAGAGCCTTCACTGTCTGCAAACACATCTGCCTCCCTCCCTGGACTCAGAGTCCCAGGAGGGCAGTGCCAAGATAGTCTTGGTCACCACTATGTCCCCAGCACCACCCAGCACAAAGGTACAGAAGAGGGGCTCAGAGGCCGGGCGCAGTGGCTCATGCCTGTAATCCCAGCACTTTGGGAGGCCAACGCGGGCAGATCACTTGAGGCCAGGAGTTTGAGATCAGCCTGGCCAACATGGCAAAACCCCTTCTCTACTAAAAATACAAAAATTAGCCGGACATGGTGGCGCGTGCCTGTAATCCCAGCTACTTGGGAGGCTGAGACAGGAGAATCGCTTGAACCCGGGAGAAGGAAGCTGCAGTGAGCCAAGATCGCACCACTGCACTCCAGCCTGGGCAACAGAGTGAGACTCTTGTCTCAAAAAAAAAAGAATACGTGGTGGGCGAAGGACAGTCATCCTCCCCACAGGACCGAGCATGGGCCCCGCGGTGCATGATGGGAGGGCCCCCACCCGCCCCAGCTGCCCACCCCTCCAAGACTCACTGCTCCCGCAGATGCCAGATCTCATTCTCCCGGGTGTCCCGAGTGTTCTGGCCATCCAGCCCTTGCAGGCGGCCCAGTTCCTCCTTCAGTGACCGGATGATGCCCTGCAGAACCACGGGGTCTGGCTTGCCCTGGTACGGGAGGGGCAGCGGGTAGTGAATCCTGAGGAGGGAGGATTAAAACCGTGGCATCTCAGAGGCCAAGAATGCACCTGAGGGTAAACAGCAGCCTCTGAGAGCCACAGAGTACGAAAACACACAATTCCAAAAACTGCACTGTCCTAGAGGCTTATGAGCACATCCTCAAGGCCCCTCCCTGTACCCGGACCCCTTGTTCCAGTCACCACCTGTGAAAGCCTCTTATATAACAATTTGGGGACCACTGGGATTGGCAGCCCTGGTGTAGTCTGGGGGAACTTCCTTGTCACCCACTGCTGATGAAGGGAATGCTGGTATCATGTTACTTGCAGCCAAACGCAATCCTAATTCAGATGCCACAGCGGGGCATTCTGGTTGGCCTGGCCTGGGTGACCCTGGCTTGGCTGGGGAAAGGTGAGCCATTGTGATTAACGGCCCCATGAGATGCTATTCACAGAGGATTGGTAACTTTCCACTAAGAAATCCAGTGGCTACTAACACATGGGACAGACACGGTCACCTAGCTACACAACTGCCATTCCCAACTCTCTTGCTACCCTCCCCCTATAAAGGCTAGAAAGCCAGATATTCATTTTCCCAGCATCCCTTGCATGTGACCACCTCTGGCCACATATTACAGGAAATCTGTTGGGAGTCTTCTGGGAACACTTTTTTTTTTCCTGATAAAAACAGCAAAGGCAATTAACAAACTCAGCCCTGTCCCTCTTCTTCCTGCCTTGATATAGATGCAATGTCTGGAGGATCCAGCAGCTATTTTGTGGCCATGAAGAGATAAAGATGAAGTCAAAAGGCCAAGCCGGGCGTGGTGGCTCATGCCTGTAATCCCAGTACTTTTGAGAGGCTGAGGCAGGAGGATCACTTGAGGCCAGGAGTTCAAGACCAGCCTGGGCAACATGACAAAACCCCGTCTCTACTAAAAATACAAAAATTAGCCAGGCGTGGTTGTGGGTGCCTGTAGTCCCAGCTACTCTGGAGGCTGAGGCACAAGAATTGCTTGAACCTGGGAGGGAGAGGTTGCGGTGAGCCAAGATCACACCACTGCACTCCAGCCTGGATGAGACAGTGAGACTCCATCTCAAAAAAAAAAAAAGCCAACACATTAACGACAGTAAAAGGAAAAAAATAAAAAAGAAAGAGCTTGAGTCCCTAGTGGAACTGTTAAACAGGTGGCAGACACCTACCTAGACATCTTGTTACGTGACGTATTATTTGTTTGATGTATTGTTTGTTTAGGGCACTGGTGATGGTTATTCTGCTACTTGTAGCCAAACACAATACTAAATGATACAAACCCCAACAGGGAAGATTCCCAAGGCAAGGCTTAACCAATATCACCTTGCCTGGGTGCCAGGGGTTCCTAAGGCCTACCCACATCCTCTCCCACCCCGCCCACCAGCCTGGCCCTGGAGCCAGACCCTTCTCCCCACCTGTCAAACTCCACGGAGTAGATGAGGATCAGGTAGCGCTTGGAGTTGAGCTGGGCCGACCTGGGGGCCAAGGAGCCTGGGCGGCCCCCCATCTTGCGGTTCCGCAGGGACTCCAGGTCTGTGTAGGTCAGCAGGTCCAGGGTGACTGACTCACTACTCTGTCAGGAGAGGAGAGGAGGAGCTGCCACAGCACCCGCCACTGCCACACGGAGGGCACCTAGCACACACCTGGGCCACAGCCCTTCCCGTTCTCTAGGCGGGCTAGGCTTTCCTACGCGAAGGCTGGCAATCAACATGGCCCTGTCCTAGGGCAGACACAAGGACTTCATCGAAGGAAGAAACCAGAAAGAACCTAAATGCTCAACCAGAGAGAACAGCTTAGACCTGTGACTCTCTGAGTGCTGTCTCCAGATCCCTGGGGGGTCCACGAGACCCTTTCAGGGATCTCCACTGAGGTCAAAGCTACTTTCATAATAATACAAAGACGTCATTTGTCTTTTTCACTGTGTTGACATGTGCGCGAATGGTACAAAAGCAATGGTGGGAAAAACTGCTGGTGCCTTAGGAGAAATCAAGCCCCTGGCACCGAATGGTACTGGAGGTTATTGTATCTCCCCAGTCTCAGTGGGGGGCTGGGGAAGAGAAATAAACAAACAAGTAAATAAGCAAATCAACCATAAAACACAGGAAATGAAACATCGGAATGTTCTTGATGAAGCAGTAAAAATTATTAATTTTATTGAATTCAGCCCCTAGAGCACACATCTCTTTATTATGTTGAGCAAGAAAATGGGAAGTACACATCAAGTACTTCTGTGCACGCCAAAGTATGACGATGGTCTCGGGAAAAAGCACTTCTGTATCTGAGTTTTGAGCTAAATTAGCCACTTTTCATAGAACACTATTTTTACTTGAAAAAAAAAAACGACTGACAGACAAAACTATGGTTATTTAGACTCGGGCTATCTGGCAGAAATTTTCTCAAAAACGAACAAAGTGAGCCTGTCACTTCAAGAAAAACAGCTAACAGGATGTCTTGCCAATAACAAAATTCAAGCTTTGCACTTGAAATTAGAATTTTGGAAAACTTGTATCTTCCACTGGGTGTCTGATAGCTTCTCGGTGTTCACAGACTTTCCTGGGGAAATCGGTGAGGATATTAACAAATGTGACTTCTGGATATTATATAAGGAAATGTGTCAACATTTGGAAAATCTGCACAACTTAGTGAACCAATATTTTCCAAATGACCAATGCATGATGTTACAAGATCATCCACAGGTAAAAAAATATCCATACAAAATGCAAGATAAGTCAGTGGAATTTAATGTAACAATACAAAAAGTTCACTGATGAGGATGCAGATTCCACATTGCAACTAACCTTTAAGAAACTATCGCTTGTCCAGGCCAGGCGCGGTGGCTCACACCTGTAATCCCAGCACTTTGGGAGGCCGAGGCAGGTGGATCACTTGAGGCCAGGAATTCAAGACCAGCCTGGCCAAGATGGCAAAACCCCGTCTCTACTAAAAATACAAAATTAGCCGGGCATGATGGCGCATGCCTGTAATTCCAGCTACTCGGGAGGCTGAAATAGGAGAATTGCTTGAAATCGGGAGGCGGAGGTTGCAGTGAGCCAATATCATGCCACTGCACTCCAGCCTGGGCTACACAGATAGTATCTCAAAAAAAATAAATAAATAAATACAAAAATTAGCTGGGCATGGTGGGCAGGCCTGTAGTCCCAGCTACTTGGGAGGCTGAGGCATGAGAATCACTTGAACCCGAGACGCGGAGGTTGCAGTGAGCTGAGACTGTGCCACTAAGCCTGGGCAACCGAGCAAAACTCTTGTCTCAAAAAAAAAAAAAAAAAAAAAAAAAAGATATCTAAATACCACCCATCCCTGTCACTCTAAGTTCTAACCTGCTTCTTCCCCCTGATTATTACTTTTAGGCTGGGCACGGTGGCTCACGCTTGTAATTGCAACACTTTGGGAAGCCAAGGCAGGAGGATTACTTGAGATCAGGTATTCAAGACCAGCCTGGCCAATACAGTGAAACCCCATCTCTACTAAAAATACAAAAATTAGCCGGGTGTGGCGGCACACGCCTGTAGTCCCAGCTACTCGGGAGGCTGAGGCAGGAGAATTGCTTGAACCCAGGAGGCAGAGATTGCAGTGAGTTGAGATCACGCCACTGCACTCCAGCCTGGGAGACAGAGTGAGATTCCATCTCAAACAAACAAACAAAAACTTTTAAATACCTGACATTATGTATTTTTTCATTTGTCTGTCTCTCCAAAATGTCAGCCTCATGAGGACAGGGGTTTTGTCTGTTGTTCACTGCTGTATCGCCAGTGTCCCCCACAATGACTGACACACTGTCAATGCTCAGCAAATGAAATGAATGAATGGCTATATTCACTGATGTGACTACATTTTTATGAGATATTGCTGAATCCTTTAAAAGCAAGTTGCAGGCTGGGCGCAGTGGTTCACGTCTGTAATCCCAGCACTCTGGGAGGCAGAGGCGGGTGGATCACCTGATGTCCGGAGCTCCACACCAGCCTAGTCAACATGATGAAACCCCGTCTCTACTAAAAATACAAAAAATTAGCCGGGCATGGTGGCGTGCGCCTGTAATCCCAGCTACTCAGGAGGCTGAGGCAGGAGAATCGCTTGAACCTGGGAGGCGGAGGTTGCAGTGAGCTGAGATGGTGCCACTGCACTCCAGCCTGGGCGACAGAGCGAGACTCCATCTCAAAAAAAAAATAAACAAACAAACCAAAAAAAGCAGGTTGCAGAATACCTTGGAAATTATATAAACTATATATAATTACAGATCTGCAAATGCATACACACACACACACACACACACACACACACACACACACACACGTATTTGGAAACAAACAGAGACATGGAGAAAGGACTGGAGTGATTTTCACCAAAATATTAACAGAAGCGAGTATTAGGGCTGGAGTGATTTTTACTTTCTTCTTTATATTTCTCTGTGACCTAAATTTTCTACATGAGAATAACTATCATTAAGTTCAAAATGAAGCATTTACACTTGGCAAAAGAAGAAAATGATCGCCCTCTTCCCACAATGAAAGAGAAGGTAGAGGGTCTTACATACATCAGATGGGCATCAACCCCCCTGGAACCTGGAAGACAGAACCCCCCTCCCACCCCAACCCGCCAACCCGGGCCCTACCTGAGTGAGGGCTGACTCCAGCATATGACAGAAGATGTTGAACTGTTTGAAGTTCCCTGTCTTGTGAGTCAAATCTTCAATGACTGGGTGGGGAGAAAAGTCTCTCCTGAGGTCTGACCGCTTGCCCAGCCCCAGGGCAATGCACCTAAGCTCTGCAATTCTACCCGACTCCAGTGTCTCTGGCTTGAGCAACAAGACCTACACCCCTCCCCACACTGGAGAGTTTCTGGTGACAAAGAAGAGGCAGGTGGGCAGGATTCAGGGTGGCCTGATATTCTGGGAGAAGCTGATCCCAGGAGAGGAAAGGTGAGCCCACCCCAGGCAGGCACACTCACAGCCAGCATCGAACTCGCCCCGCCACTGGTCAGCCGTCATCCGGTCCTCCACCTCCAGCTCCAGCACCTGCCCAGAAACCATCACCCGCACGGCATGCTCCACACCCCGGAAGACGTAGTCCACCTGCAGGCCAGCCGGCTGGTCCATGGCCAAGGTTGCTGGAGAAGGAGATGAGAGAGAAACCTAGAGGAGCTCAGAGCCCAGGCTCATGAGTTGGAAGGCCAGGCCTCATATCCTGGCTCCATCATTTACCAGCTGTGGCATCCTGGGAAAGCGAATTCACCTCTCTGTGCCTTAGTTTCCTCATCTGGAAAATGGGTATAATAATGGCACCAACCTCGTGGACTTGTTGTGAGGATTACATTGGGCAATATGTATAAAAGTACTTGGTACTGTGACCTGGAGGCTGTGTCCAATATGTGCTGGATACTAGAAATTCATGATTGCCAAGCCGGGCGCGGTGGCTGACAACTGTTATCCCAGCACTTTGGGAGGCTGAGGCAGGAGGATCACTTGAGCTCAAGAGTTCAAGACCAGCCTGGGCAATGTGGTGAAACCCCACCTCTACTAAAAATACAAAAAAATTGCCAGGTGTGGTGGTGCATGCCTGTGGTCCCAGCTACTCGGGAGGCTGGAGGCAGAGCTTGCAGTGAGCTGTGATCTTGCCACTGCACTCCAGTCTGGGTGACAGAGTGAGACCCTGACTCAGTTAAAAAAAAAAAAGAAAGAAAAGAAATACATGATGGCCAAAAAAAGAATCATGATTAATATTAGTATTAATTTATTAAGTCTTATACTCATTATATATTTATTATTATTCATTCATTCATTCAGCAAACATTTGTGGAGAAAAGTCAAGCTGGAAAGAGGGACGGGGGTATTGGAGTAGGATGAGCCAAGCTTTTAAAAGGGGGTCAGAGCAGGCCAGGTGCGGTGGCTCATGCCTGTAATCCCAGCACTTTGGGAGGCGAGGCAGGTGGATCATGAGGTCAGGAGTTCCAGACCAGCCTGGCCAACAATGGTGAAACCCCATCTCTACTAAAAATACAAAAAAATTAGCCAGGTGTGGTGCCCCGTGCCTGTAATCCCAGCTACTCCGGAGGCTGAGGCAGGAGAATCGCTTGAAGCCAGGAGGCAGAGGTTGCAGTGAGCTGAGATGGTGCCACTGCACTCCAGCCTGGCGACAGGGGGAGACTCCATCTCAAAAAATAAAATAAAATCTAATATCAGAAAATACAATATTGTGAGGCAAAAAAGATGATCCTTGAAACTCCAGGTAAGGGATTTTTAACCTTTTTAGAGTCCTTGAGCCTTTGAGAATCTAATGAAATTTCTGAGCCTTCTGCAGATAAATGAATAGTCCCAAAACCTTTTGCAAGTTCATTTCAGTGGCTCCCAAATTACCACCCCCCAGGCCCATCCACAGATCTCTTTTCTCAGAGGCCCAAGGGCAATGGCGTAGGCCCTAGACCTCCTGACAGACACCTCTCTCTAGATCACAGCTCTTAACTTCATTTGGGAGAAGAGTGCTTTGGAAGGGCTGATGAATTCGGGGACCCCCTTCCCCTGGAAAATTCACATTCTGGCAATTGTGCTTTCATTCTCTGATGGTTCATAAGTCCAGGTTAATAATCTCGATCTCGTCCGTGTGCGTTGGCTCACGCCTGTAATCCCAGCACTTTGGGAGGCCGAGGAGGGTGGATCATTTGAGGTCAGCTCGAGACCGGCCTCGCCAACATGGTGAAACCTCGTCTCTACTAAAAATACAAAAATTAGCTGGGCGTGGTGGCAGGTGCCTGTAATCCCAGCTACTCGGGAGGCTGAGACAGGAGAATCGCTTGAACCCGGGAGGCAGAGGTTGCTGTGAGCCAAGATCATGCCATTGCACTCCAGCCTGGGTAACAGAGCAAGATTCTGTCTCAGAAAAAACAAATAAATAAAAAATAATAATCTCGATCTTGCTGCAAACAAATTGCCGCATATCCCACATCCCCTGACCCCAATGCAGTGCGTGGCAGCACTGGCCCCGCCCCACTGGGTGTTCTAAACCCCGCCCATCAACCCCACCCCCTCCGGCTCCCAGAACCTATCAGCGGCGACACCGTCCGGGTTACCAAGGCGTAGGAGGCACCCACGGAACTGAACACCTGAGGAGCCGCACAGCATCACCGCCCCCACTCGTGGTCCCCAACTCCCGGGAGGAGACCGCACAGAGGAAGGGGGCCCGCCACACCGCATCCCCGCCGCCAACTCCCCTTTCCCCACTGCTCGGCAGAAACCCCCCATACCCACCCCGCGAAGAGCAGCCCCTTTCGGCATCCCATTGCCTTGTCCTTAGCCCCCACCCCGCCCTGATCCCAGACACTGAGCCACCGAATACTCTGCCTAAACTCAATTCCCCTTGCACACTTACACCTCTCTCACCTCCACAAACTTCACCCGCTGCCCGGCCCCTTCCCCTCCTCTAGGCATGTCCTAAGTGCTCAGTAACTGCTGATGGAATAAATCCCACACCCGTGCCAGCTCCACACGGCCTCCCTGACCCCAGCTGCCCGTCACTTGTCCCCCAGATGGCCACGGAATTCTGGACTCCCCTTCCCCTCCTCTCTGCAGAACCTCCCACTCCACATATTCCAGCCCAACCCTCATGCTACATTCCCCGGAAACCAGCCCCCTCTCTCCCGTCCAAAGCCCCTTCATTCCATCCTGCTCTCCCAGATTTGGGGGCAGGGAGGCAGCCGCACTCTCCTCCCTACACCAGCCACCCACGGTCTCCTAGGGCTCCCGCATATTCAACTTCAATGCACCCCGTTATTCCAACTGCATTCTTCCCGCATATTTGCTCAAGGTTCTGCTCCACACATCCCACTTTCAGCCTGTATTCCATCACTCCCATATTTCACCTGGATTCTGTTCCCTCCCAAATTGCTTGTAACCCCACCCCCAACCCCCACTCCACCCGCACACATATTTTCCACCTCTCTTCCCTTTAGAGAGCCCTCTCTGAACAACCCCTCCTCTCCACTGACCCCACCACCACCGCCACTTCTAGGATTCCCCGGACCCTGAGCCCCCTCTCCCCTCCCGCCGCTGACCCTGTCCCTCTACCTGCATCCTCCATCCTTGCTTCGGAATGACCAGTGGCTCATCCTGGTGGCTGATTTCATTCCAGTCCTGAGCCTCTCCCAGTTCCTCTTCTCAGCCTCTGCCTCCTTCCTGACCTCACGCATCCCAGCGGTGCCTTCGAGGCCCCGCCCTCACCAACCCATGACGTCACCACCCCATCCCTGCGAGCACTGTGCGGCTGCCCTCCAGGCCCCATCCTGGCCCACACACCTGACCCACTTCTCGGGCCTCATGACATCATGGCGCTGGCACACTTACACCCAGTGTTTCAGCCCCCAGCTCTCTCCCTCTCATCATTCACTAGGATGACCCCTTTCCTTTCCAGCGTTACATCACCACCCCTGGCTCCACCTTCCAAATGGCTCTCCCCAGATAGCTCACAGATTTCACAGCTCTTACCCCGGGGCCGGAGCTGAAAACTCTCCACGCTGGGCTCACCAAAGACAAATCTACATCACTACCTCCCATACCAGACACGGGCAAATCACTGCCCTTGGCAGCCCACACCTGATGGCTGTTTCCCCACACTCTGCAGCTCCCCACCACCGCCAACACATATTCCAGCCCAGCCATACCCTAGATGGGCTCTCTCCTGCAGCAGCCCTCCGCCCCACATTCACACGCGTGGCCTGGCCTGGATGACCCCCTTCCCGACCCCATTCTGACCTCACCTCCCCACCACGTGGGTGAATTGAGGCTGGATAGAACCCCCCCTTCACTGCCCCAGAATACAGACCAAAGCCTTCCACATTGTCCCCATAGACTGTAGAGACAGAGAAGCCCTCTGGGGAACCAAGCAATGAAATCTCTACGGTGCACACTGCGGCACCCCAGTTCCCCCTGGGGCATCAACTCCCTCTCCCACTGTCTCTCAAAGGCAAACTTTTGCCTTAGATAAGGACCATGCACACTTATTAACCCAATGAATGACTCACCCTAAATTCTGCTCTCTGGTGGGTATTATAACCATCCCCATTATACAGAGGATGAAACTGAGGCTTGTCTAGGATCCCACCATGAAAGACAGAAACATTCGTCTTCCTTCCCCTTACCCAGCTGACCTTCCCTGACCACCTCCTGTTTCCTCCCAGAACTAACCCAAATGCGGCCTCACACCTTAAGCATGGCACATGCTGCAGGCTGGGTACTTCTGGGTTCAGATTCCAGCTGCCTTTCTCCTTGGTGTGTCCTTGGGCAAAGTACTTGCCCTCTCTGGGCCTTCCCCCATCAGTAAAGCGGGATAATAAGAGCTCCTACCTTATAGGGTTGTTGTTGAACTAAATTATTTAGTGTATATAAGGTGCTTCAAACAGTGGCTGGCACTCCCTGTTACCATCTGTGTGATCTGTTGATTATTTGACAGACCAGGAGCCCGTGAGGGCAGAGCCATTTTAATCAATCTTGTATCTTCAGGGACTGCTTGTGAATTTAACGGGAGATGCCAGGGAATGGGGTTCTAGACACTGGGGATACAGCCAAGGTTTTCTCCCCTCGGCTCATTCCCTGTCATCCTCCAGGTCTCAGCTCCAATCCCCTCTCCTGCAGGAAGCCCTCCCTGACTCCCAGGCTGGGTCAGGAGCTGTCTCAATCACCACAGTGGCCCCAGCAAACTCTGAACCAGCCTAACAGTGTTTCTCACAGTGATGGCCAAGGAACATAATCCTTACCACAAGTGCTTATGAAAATGCAGCTTCCTAGGTCGGGTCCCAACTATACACAAGCAGAAACTCTGGGGGTGGGCCCAGAAATCTGCATTTCCTCCAAGTTCCTTCAGACACTAAAGGTTCCTTCTGCCCTTGGGCGCCACAATCTGCCCAGTTTATTCCCCCACCTCCGACCCTACCACCCCACACATGACCCTCCTAGTTCAGCAACCCTGCCCCATACCACAGGGAGACCCCAAAGGGTGGTGAGGACAGTATAGGAGAAGCAACACTTTTTAAACACCATGTGCTCTTCTAGGTGCTGGGTTCCATATTCACATGGAGTCAAACACTCTAGTGGGGAGGTCCAAGAAGCCCAGTGGATATAAACCAACAGTAATTGATGTGAGGACCGGGCACAGTGACTCACGCCTGTAATCTCAGCACTTTGGGAGGCTGAGGTGGGCAGATCACTTGAGGTCAGGAGTTCGAAACCAGCCTGGCCAAGATGGTGAAACCCCATCTCTGCTAAAATTACAAAAATTAGCCAGGCGTGGTGGCATATGCCTGTAGTTCCAGCTACTTGGGAGGCTGAAACAGGAGAATCACTTGAACTTGGGAGGCGTAGGTTGTAGTGAGCTGAGATGAGGCCACTGCACTCCAGCCTGGGTGACAGAGAGAGACTCTATCTCAAAAAATAATAATAGGCCCAGCGCAGTGGCTCACGCCTGTAATCTCAGCACTTTGGGAGGCTGAGGTGGGTGGATCACCTGAGGTCAGGAGTTTGAGACCACCCTGGCCAACATGGCAAAACCCCGTCTCTACTAAAAATGTAAAAATTAGCTGGGCATGCTGGCATACACCTGTAATCCCAGCTAGTTGGGAGGCTGAGGCAGGAGAATCACTTGAACCCAGGAGGTGGAGGCTACCGTGAGCCGAGATCGCGCCACTGCACTCCAGCCTGGGTGACCCGCAAGAGTCCATCTCAAAAAAAATAATAATAATAATCTATATCAGGTAGTGGTGTTATGAAGAAAAATAAAGCCAAGTGAAGGGCCATACAGTGACAGGAGTTATTTTAGCTTGAGTAGTACTTTAGCAAATGCCTGGTTGTGAAGCTGACGTCTGAGCGGAGACCTGAAAGAGGTGTGGAAGAAGCCACACAGACACCTGAAAAGACCTGATCCAGAAGGACAGGACAGCGAGTACAAAGGCCCTGAGGTGGCAGTGCGTTCAGGGACAGCGAGTACAAAGGCCCTGAGATGGCAATGTGTTCGCTATGTTCAAATGACAGCGGGGAGGCCAGGGTGGCTGCAGCAGAGTGAGCCAGGGGAATGAGAGAAGTGATGGGAGTTGAGGGGAGGGAGGAGGAGGAACCCAATAGGTTGGGGCCTCGTGGATATGGTGAAGACTTTTGCAGTGTAATGTGGGAGCCAGGAGAGGGTTTGAAAGGAGAAACAACCTGACCTGACTTCTGTTCTACTAGTATCCCCCTAACAGTGAGAGGCAGAGAGCCCACCTGGAAGGCCACTGCAACAAACCAGGTAAGAGCAGGAGACAAACTGAGGCCAGAGTGGTAGCAAAGGAGCTGGTGAGGCATGGTTGGATTCTGGATGTGTTTTGAAGACAGAGCTAATGCGATCTGCTAGACCATATATAAGTAAGACAAAAGGGAGAAGTGAAGAAGACTCCAAGCTAGCCAGGCACGGTGGCTCACGCCTGTAATCCCAACACTTTGGGAGGCTGAGGCGGGTGGATCACCTGAGGTCACGAGTTCAAGACCAACCTGGCCAACATAGTGAAACCCCTTCTCTACTAAAAATACAAACAATTAGCTGGGTGTGGTGGCGGGCGCCTGTAATTCCCTTGAATCTGGGAAGTGGAGGTTTCAGTGAGCCAAGATCGCGCCATTGCACTCCAGCCTGGGCTACAAGAGCGAAACTCTGTCTCAAAAAAAAAAAAAAAAGAACACTCCAAGCTTCTTGATCTTAGTACCTGGCAGGATGAATGTCCCATCAACTGGGTTTGGAGGTTGAAAGGAAGAAATCGCAAGATTGGTTTGGGACAAGTTTATGTCTGAATGTCAGATGAACTTCCAAAGAGAGAAGAGTCGGCCATGATATGAGTCTGGAGTTCAGGGCAGAGATCCAGGCTGGAAATACACACGTGGGAGTTCTCATTAGATAAAGAGGGTGAAGCTAGCCAATGGTATAGACAGAGATGATGTCATTCTACTGATGATGAAGCTGAGGCACAGAAGGGTTAAACAACTGGCCCAAAGCCACAGTAATGATCAGTGGCAGAGCCAGGATTCAAATTCGGGATTCAACCCGACGCCAGAGCCCACATTCTTAACCATCAGTAGAGTAAGTTTAAGAGTTAATTCACCTAAAACACTTGGCAGGTGCACAGCACATAGCAAACGCCACAGGCATAATAGGGCTTCACATCTCTTTAAAGTACATGCTCATCCCTGGAGGTCTCCTTCCCTCCCTTCCTCAATATTGCTTCTTCCCACGACTTTCACCCAAATCAAAGCTTGTAAAGCATAGTGCGCTGTAATAACCCTCTGCCTTAAAACCTCCTACTAAATCGCCACGCTGCATTCCAAGGACGTCTCTATATTTTACCATCTGCTGTCTCCTGCTTTACAACTTTCCCCATTGAAGACCCTCCTGCGATATACAGATCACCCCCAACTCACATGCTGCGCTCAGCCTCACAACCCCTCAATCAAGCGCCTACCCTTGTTAAAGGGCACCCTCCCTCCCGATTCCTACAAGGCCAGGTCAGCTGCCCACCGCAGCCCACTCTCCCCCGAGAGAAGCCCCTTCCCCTCCACCTAAGACCTCCACCACGGCCCGCGCAACCGCCACTCCCGCGGCCTCTCACCTTCTCCACTAGCAACCCTCCTCGCGAGCGGTTCAACTGACGAAGCTCCAGCCCCGCCCCAGGATCCGGCGTTCTCGCTTCTGATTGGTCACAGCTTACCAGCAGCCAAGTTTCCATTAGCCAAAAGAGACGCCCATCACTCTGTCCCTCCCCCAGAGGAGAACCCGCCCTCCAAAACTTCCAATTGGCTAACTAAGAAGAGGCTGTCCCAAATGGGTTGGGGGAGGCACCTAACGTCGGGCTCTTCTCTAATCACTACTGGCTAATAATGCTGCCAGTCATACAAAAAGGTTGTTCCCCAGAGTGGAAGGGAAAGAATCCCGGAAGTAGCCCCTTGACTCCACCTATTACCCCCTGCGGGAGGGTAGGCCGCGCCCACGTGGTGGGGAGGGCCTGGAAGGGAGAGCCGGGTGTGCATGCGCATGGGGAGATAGTGGCCGCGGCTCCGGAAACTGGGGAGTGGTCTCAGCATAAAGACAGGTTGAGATTTGTCATCGCTTGGTGCATTCCAAACCTGCACTAAGCATTTTGCAGGACTTGGCTTATTTAAACTTTATAACAGCCCTGCAAAGTTATTATGATTTCCATTTTACCACTAAGAAAACAGTCTCAGAGAGGTATAGCCACTAGCCCGGGTTCACACGGCTTTTGAACGACCCATATTTTAAACCGATCAGTCATGAACTGGAAGGATCCAGCTAAAGGAATTGAGCGCGGGGATGGGGGAGGAGGGACCTCTTTAAGAAAGGAAAATAAAGTTTAAAGAAAAAAAAAAACTGACATGAAAGTTTACTTAGAATATGAAATAATAACAAATTACATATTTAAAAGAGCCAAATACCACAAACATTGCAAAATCCCAAAGGATAACGTAATGTTTTTATTAATTTTCTGCCTGACACACCTCTGTGATGTTTCCTACTTTTTCAGCTGCATGTTTCACAATATCCTTGTCTACAAAGAGAAAAGTAAGTTATCTTTCCTCTAGCGTGGTTGATGGAACTTTTTAAAAATTCATTATAATTTAGAACAAGTTTCAGCTTCACAAATCAGTATTGGTGATGTTATTGAAGTCTTTTGGAAATCTAGAAAAACTTCTGGCCAGGCGCGGTGGCTCACACCTGTAATCCCAGCACTTTGGGAATCACGAGGTCAGGAGTTCGAGACCAGCCTGAACCACCTGGTGAAACCCTGTCTCTACTAAAAATATAAAAAATTAGCTGGGCGCAGTAGCGGACGCCTGTAATCCCAGCTACTCAGGAGGCTGAGGCAGGAGAATCACTTGAACTCGGGAGGCGGAGGTTGCAGTGAGCCAAGATCGTGCCACTGCACGCCAGCCTGGGCAACAGAGTGAGATGCCACCTCCAAAAAAAAAAAAAGAAAAACTTTCATAAAGTTTCATTCACATGTTAACTATGTTTTGGAAAATGTTTCCACAGACTAACTTCTGGCTCAATACTTTCAATTTTTTGTTTGTTGGTTTCTTTGTTTGCTGAGACAGGGTCTCGCTTCATCGCTGGGCTGGAGTGCAGTGGCATGTTCATGGCTCACTGCAGCCTTGAACTCCTGAGCTGAAGTGATCCTCCTGCCTTACCCTCCCAGGTAGCTGGTACTACAGGCACACGCCATCACATCTGGCTAATTTTTTTTTAATTTATTTTTAGTACACATGGGGTTTCACTATGTTGCCCAGGCTGGTCTCGAACTCCTGAGTTCAAGCAGTCCTCCCACCTCAGCCTCCCAAAATGCTGGGATTACAGGTGTGAGCCACCGCGCAGGCTTCCTTTCAATTCCTGACATTTCTGTTACACAGATGCTTCTGGAATGAGCCGCTAAAAGATACATTCATGCCATTTAGTAGGCTGTGGCCTCGCATCTAGTGAGTTAGTAACTTACACAACAGAAGCATTCCGGGAAGCCATTTCTACGCCATGACAACTAATTAGGTGGTTTAAGTATCCGAGAAGTATCTATGAACCACATAAAAATATCCCTGTAAACCCAATCTAAATGTATTCTCACTTCACCTTCCCCTCAGCTAAATCCCATAAATGCCTGCACTCCAGCTTGAGTGACAGAGCAAGACTCTGTCTCTAAGAAAATAATTAATAAATAAATAACAATTAAAAAAAAAGGAAACATGGATTAGAATCTGAAGGCTTTCCCTTGCCAGCTGTGAGACCTCCCACAAGTCATGCCTCTTCTGGGAACTTCACTTTCTTCATCTGTAAGTGGAGTTCAATTCATTGCTTCACTTATTTCTTCACTCACTTGTCAGGCCATTTATTGAGCACCTGCTATGTTCCAGGCACTTTTCTGGGTGCTGGAGGTAGAAACATCTGGTAACAAACAGGAAAAGCTCATACCCTAGTGAAAGGAAGGCAAATAATAACATATAGTAAAGAAATAGGCCAGGCGCGGTGGCTCACGCCTGTAATCCCAGCACTTTGGGAGGCCAAGGCAGGCGGATCACCTGAGGTCAGGAGTTCAAGACCAGCCTGGCCAACATGGCAAAATTCTGTCTCTACTAAAACTACAAAACTTAGTTGGGCATGGCGGTGCATGCCCGTAATCCCAGCTGCTTGGGAGGCTGAGGCAGGAGAATCGCTTGAACCCGGAAGGCAGAGGTTGCAGTGAGCTGAGATCAGGCCACTACACTCCAGACTGGGCCACAGAGCGAGACTCCATCTCAAAAAAAAGAAAAAAAAAAAAAAGAAAGAAAGAAATGTCCAGGTCCGGGGTGATAAGTGCTACAGAGAAAATAAAGCAGAGTGAAGTGGATGGAACTGGGGGTTAGAGGGGTGGGAAGATGTCTCAGAAAAGCTGATTTAGAGCAGAGACCTGAAGCAAGTGACTGAGCCAGGAATTTATTTATTCATTTATTTATTTTGGAGAGAGAGCCTCACTCTGTCGCCCAGGCTGGAGTGCAGTGGCGCCTGACTCACTGCACCCTCCACCTCCCAAAGTCAAGCAATTCTCCTGCCTCAGCCTCCTGAGTAGCTGGGATTACAGGTGCCTGCCACCAGGCCTGGCTAATTTTTTTGTATTTTTAGTAGAGATGGGGTTTCACCGTGTTGGCCAGGCTGGTCTTGAACTCCTGACCTCAAGTGATCCACCTATCTCAGCCTCCCAAAGTGCTGGAATTACAGGTGTGAGCCACCACACCCAGCCTATTTATTTTTTTTATTTTTATTTTTATTTATTTATTTATTTATTTTTGAGATGGAGTCTCGCTCTGTGGCCCAGACTGGAGGTGCAATGGCGTGATCTCAGCTTACTGCAACCTCCACCTCCTGGGTTCAAGCAATTCTCCTGCCTCAGCCTCCCAAGTAGCTGGGATTACAGGCACATGCCACCATGCCTGGCTAATTTTTGTATTTTCAGTAGAGATGGGGTTTCACCATGTTGGCCAGGCTGCTCTCGAACTCCTGAGCTCATGTGATCCACCCGCCTCGGGCTCCCAAAGTGATGGGATTACAGGCGTGAGCCACCGCTCCTGGCCAAGCCAGCCTTGAGGGTACCAAGGTGGACCATTGCAAGAAGATGAGACAGTGAGTACAAAGGCCCTGTAGTGGGAACATGCCTGGTGTTTCTAAGAAACAGCAAAGACATCAATATTGAGTGTGTGGAGTGTGACAGAAGATGATGTCTGGGAGGATGCCTGAGACCAGGTTATATAAGGCCTTGTCGGCCCTTGTGAGGCCTTTTGTTTTACTCTGAGTGAGGTGGGAGCCATCGAAGGTATTAGGCAGAGAGGACATAATTTTACTCATGTCTTTTTTTGTTTTTTTTTTGAATCAGGGTCTCACTTTGTCACCCAGGCTGGAGTGCAGTGGCTCCATCTCGGCTTACTGAAACCTCAGCCTCCCTGTTTCAAGCAATCCTCCTGCCTCAACCCCGCGAGTAGCAGGATTACAGGCATGCACCACCACACCTGGCTAACTTTTGTATTGTTAGTAGAGACGAGGTTTCGCCATGTTACCCAGGCTGGTCTGGAACGCCTGAGTTCAAGCAATCCACCCGCCTCAGCCTCCCAAAGTACTAGGATTACAGGGGTGAGCCCCACCGCCTGGCCTACTCATTCATGTCTTCAATGATCATTATGGTGGCTGCATTAAGAATAGGCTGTTAGCTACTCGGGAGGTTGAGGCAGGTGGATTGTTTGAGGACAGGAGTTCGACACTGCACTCCAGCCTGTGAGAACCGATCTCTAAAAATAAAAATTTAAATTAAAAAACTTAGGCTGTTAAAATAATGTGGACATGGAAAACAGCCAGTTTCTCAGAAAGTTAAACAGAATTAACACATGACCCAGCAATTACACTCCTAGGTGTATACCTGGGAATTAAAAACTGGTATTCAAATACTTGTACATGGATGTTCATAACAGCATTATTCACAATAGCTAAAAGGTGGAAACAACCCAAATGTCCATAAATCTATGAGCAGATAAGGCCAGGTGCAGTGGCATGCCTGTAATCTCAGCACTTTGGGAGGCCGGGGCAGGCGGATCACCTGAGGTCAGACGTTCGAGACCAGCGTGGCCAACATGGCAAAACCATATTAGTCTCTACTAAAAATACAAAATTAGCCAGGCATGGAGGCGCATGCCTGTAATCCCAGCTACTCAGGAGGCTGAGGCAGGAGAATTGCTTGAACCCGGGAGGCGGAGGTTGCGGCAAGCCAATATCGCGCTACTGCACTCGAGCCTGGGCAACAGAGCAAGACTCCATCTCAAAAACAAAAGAAAAAGAGAAAAGAAATGAAGTGCTGATAGATGCTACAACATGGATAATAAACCTTGAAAACATGATGCTAAGTGAAAGAAGACAAACACAAAAGGTCACATAGTGTATGATTCCATTTATATGAAGTGTCCAGAAGAGGCAAGTCCACAGAGACAGAAAATAGTGTTGTGGTGCCAGAGGCTGGGGGAAGGAGCGAATGGGTAATCACTGTTTAATGGGTGTGAGGTCTCCTTTGGGGGGTGATGAAATGTTTTGGAACTAGATGGAGGTGATGATTGCACAACATTATGAACGTACTAAATGCCACTGAATTGCTCACTTTAAAATGGTTAATTTTCTGTTAATGTGAATTTCACCTCAATAAAAAAAGAATTTAAGCAACAGATTAAAAAATCATTAGAATGAGAGGTGATGGTGGCTTCCACGAGGGTGGTGATGGCGGAGGTGGTGAGAAGTGGTTAGAATCTATTCTGAAGGTAGAGCTGACAGAATCTGCTGATGGATTGAGTGTCGGGAGGAAGAGAAAGAGAGGAGTCAAAAATGATTCTAAGGGTCCTGGAGTGCAGTGGCGCGACCTCGGCTCACTGCAACCTCCGCCTCCCGGGTTCAAGCGATTCTCCTGCCTCTGCCTCCCGAGTAGCTGGGATTACAGGTACCCGCCACCACGCCTGGCTAATTTTTTGCATTTTTAGTAGAAATAGGGTTTCACCATGTTGGCCAGGCTGGTCTTGAACTCCTGACCATAGGTGTTCCACCCGCCTCAGCCTCCCAAAGTGCTGGAATTATAGGCGTGAGCCACCGCGCCCGGCCAACTCTAAGGTTTTTGATCTGAAAAGATGCCAAGATGAGGTTTCCACGTATTGAGATTAGGTGAATTGCAGGTATAGGGAGACAGGAGGAGAATGTGAATCAGAAATTTGGTTTTGGAAGTGTTGAGGTACCCAGTAGACTTCCCAGTGGAAATATTGAGAGGACAGGTGAATATGAGTCTGAGTTCAGGGATAAGATCCAACCTAGACTGATTGATGTGGGAGTCCATCACCAAAAGAGTGAGTGAAGAGAGAAAGGAGAAGAGAATCCAGAACTGAGCCCTACAGCCCTCCAATGTTTAAAGACTCCAAGGACGGGCAAGACTGCAGAGGAGCCAATGGGCCAGAAGGGAAGTCTTGAGAGTGGAGTGTCCTGGAACCTGAGGGAGAAAATAAACCAAGGAGGAAGGCATGACTGTCAACAAGGAGGGAGCTCAAGTAATATGAGGACAGGCCACTGGACAACGGGACTGAGCCACATAGGGGTCATTGGTAACATCACCAAGAGCTGATTTGGAGCTGGGCACAGTGGCTTGCACCTGCCATTCCAGCTATTTGGGAGGCTGAGGAGGGAGGATCACTTGAGCCTAGGAGTTCGAGACCAGCCTGGGAAACATAGGGAGACTCTGTCTCTACAAAACATTTTAAAAATAGCCAGACATGGTAGCACATGCCTGTAGTCTCGGCTACTCACGAGGCTGAGGCAGGAGGATCAGTTGGCCCCAGGAGTTCAGGACCAGCCTGAGAAAAAAAAAAAAAAAAAACAGCTGATTTGGCAAAGTCACAGATTTGGGAGGAAAAGGAATCAGAGACACAAGATGAGTACAAATACCTCTGAGGATTGTGTTGTTTTATTTTATTTTATTATGTTATTTTTTGAGACAGAGTCTCACTTGGTTGCCCAGGCTGGAGTGCAGTGGCACGATCTCGGTTCACTGCAACCTCCACCACCCGGGTTCAAGCAATCCTCCTGCCTCAGCCTCCCGAGTAGTTGGGATTACAGGTGCCGGCCACCACGCCCAGCTAATCTTTGTATTTTTAGTAGAGATGGGGTTTTGCCCATGTTGGCCAGGCTGGTCTTGAACTCCTGGCCTCAAGTGATGTACCCGTCTTGGCTTCCCAAAGTGCTGAAATTACAGGCATGAGCCACCATGCCCAGTCTCTGAGGATTGTATTATAAAGAGCAGCAGAACATTGAAGCTAGAGTCAGACACGGAGTTTAAAAAGCAGAGGCCCAGCGTGGTGGCTCACGCCTGTAATCCTAGCACTTTGGGAGGCTGAGGCAGGCAGATCACAAAGTCAGGAGTTCGAGACCAGCCTGGCCAACATAGTGAAACCCCGTCTCTACTAAAAATACAAATAGAAATACTACTACTACTACTAATAATAATAATAATAATAAAATTAGCCAGGCATGGTGGTGTGTGTCTGTAATCCTAGCTACTCGGGAGGCTGAGGCAGGAGAATCGCATGAACCCAGGAGGTGGAGGTTTCAGTAAGCTGAGATCGCACCACTGCATTCCAGCCCAGGCAACAGTACAAGATTCCATCTCAAAGAAAAAAAGAAAGAAAGAAAGAGAGAGAGAAAGAGAGAAAGAAAGAAAGAAAGAAAGAAAGAAAGAAAGAAAGAAAGAAAGAAAGAAAGAAAGTAAGAAAGAAAGAAAGAAAGAAAGAAAGAAAGAAAGAAAGAAAGAAAAAGAAAAAGCAGGTTTGTATTAGAATGTGCTTTGATGCCAATGAGAATGCTCGAGGAGATACCGGAGAATTGATGGTGCAGGAGAGAAAGCAGAGGCTTGCTTGACTGATGTCCCTGAGTAGGCGAGAGAGAAGGGGACCAAGTGTACACATGTAGAAGTTGGCCTTGGCTGAGAGTGTTTCTGCAGTTAACAGGAGAGAGGAAAACAATAGTCACAGGTAGGTGGGTAGATGTGTTGAAAACCTGCGTAAGGGCCGGGTGCGGTGCTCATGCCTGTAATCCCAGCACTTTGGGAGGCCGAGGTTGGTGGATCAAAGGTCAGGAGATCAAGACCATCCTGATCAACATGGTAAAACCCCGTCTCTACTAAAAAAAAAAAAAAAAAAAAAAAATACAAGAATTAGCTGGGTGTGGTGGCATGCACTTGTAGTCCCAGCTACTTAGCAGGCCAAGGCAGGAGAATCACTTGAAGCCGGGAGGCGGAGGTTGCAGTAAGCCGAGATTGCACCACTGCACTCCAGCCTGGGAGATAAAGCAAGACTCCATTAAAAACAAAAAACAAAAAACAAAACAAAACCAAAAAAAAAACAAGAAAATCTGAGGAAGTTTCCTGATGGCTTCTCTTCTCTCCAGGAACTAAGAACAGGGTCAAGGGTGAGGGTGAGGATGGAGAGGAGGTGGGCAAGGTTGGAGGAGGGAACCACAGGTAGGAAATAGATTCCCAGGAGGGTGGGAGAGTGAATAGACAGGACTGAGGTTGGCAGGCAGTCCCCAGCCCCCAGGTGAGTAATCGTGAAATTGTGGTGAGCTCAGTCTCACCACTGTATTATGTGTTTTTCTCCGGCCACGTTCAGCAGATGCAGGTGCAGAGTAGGAAAGAGCTGGGTGACAGCCGTGTACCCTGCAGAAGTGCTGCTCTTGGGGATTCTCATAAAAACCTGCCTGTTGGCCGGGCATGGTGGCTCATGCCTTTAATCCCAACACTTTGGGAGGACCACTTGAGGTCAGGAGTTTGAGTCCAGCCTGGCCAATATTGCAAAACCCTGTCTCTACTGAAAATACAAAAATTAGATGGACATGGTGGTGCACACCTGTAGTCCCAGCTACTTGGGAGGCTGAAGCAGGAGCATCGCTGGAACCCTGGAGGCAGAGGTTGCAGCGAGCCAAGATTGCACCACTGTACTATAGCCTGGGCGACAGAGCAAAACGCTGTCTCAAAATAAATAAATAAATAAAGAATCTGGCTGTGATGATTATGGTTATAAATGCTTTGATGTGGTAAACAGAGGGGCTCTGGAAAGGAGAGGGACCATGAGTCTTACCCGAACCTTTTACAGATGCGGTAACAACCCACTGAGGTCCCTTTCAGGTTTTATACGCTCTAAAATGATGTTTTTCTCCCAAATGCAACATGCAATTATTATTATGCTCGGAAAATGTCCCAATAGCTCAACCCATTATGAAATTTGTGGAGGAGGTGCAGTGGTTCATGCCTGTAATTCCAGCACTTTGAGAGGCTGAGGCAGTCAGATCACTTGAGCCCAGGAGTTCAAGACCAGCCTGGGCAACATAGTGAGACCCTATCTCTACTAAAAATAAAAAAAATTAGCTGGGTGTGGTGGTGTGTGCCTGTAGTCCCAGCTACTCAGGAGGCTGCTGCAAGAGGATGTTTTGAACCGGGGAGGTTGAGGCTGCAGTGAGCTATGATTATGCGTGCCACACTGCACTCCAGCCTGGGCAACAGAGCAAGCCCTCGTCTCGAAAAAAGAAATTTGCAGAGGCAATCAGCAAACGTTCCCCAAGCCCTTCTGGACTGCCCTGCCTGAGTATCACAGGTGGGATGATACAGAATATTTGTGAAGCCCTGTGTGTTTTTCCTGCATAGGCTCATTGAGAGGCAGTGAGATGGTCAGTTAGCCTGTCTGCCTGGATTTCAATTCCAGCTCTGCTTCTTGCAGTCAACTTCTTCATGTGTCAGTTTTCTCCTCTATAAAATGGGGGCGATAGCAGCAGCAGGGACCTCCCAGAGCTTTTAGAGGAAATAAGTGAGTAAATGTATACAGAGTTTAGCACAGCACACGCCGTGTAGTAAACACATAATAAACCGTGGCTATTATCATTCACTGAATCGTCATAACAGTTTAGAAGGGATGTGCTATTATGATTCCTTTTCTACTGTGACAGCAATTAAAATATTAAAGTGTTTGGCCCAGGCATGGTGGCTCAGGCCTGTAATCCCAACACTTTGGGAGGCCAAGGTAGGTGCATTGCATGAGCTCAGGAGTTTGAGACCAGCCTGGGCAACATGACGAAACCCCGACTCTACAAAAAATACAAAAATTAGACAAGTGTGGTGGCCCATGCCTGTGGTCCCAGCTACTCAGGAGGCTGAGTTGAGAGGATTACTTGAGCCAAGGAGGTTGAGGCTGCCGTGAGCTGAGATTGCACCACTGCACTCCAGCCTCGGCAACAGAGCGAGACCCTGTCTCCAAACTATTATATATATATATATGTGTGTGTATATATACATATGTGTGTGTGTGTATGTGGATATATATATAATGTACATATATAATATTGAAGGGTTCATATTGAAAGCCTTATATACACACACACATTAGTTTGTGGTAACTCTGGGTAGAGATGAAGACCGAGGAAACCTGAAGAAGCTAAGCTGATCTACATAAGAAAGTATCAAGGCCGGGCGCTGTGGCTCAGGCCTGTAATCCCAGCACTTCAGGAGGCCGAGGCGCATGGATCACTTGAGGTCAGGAGATCGAGATCAGCCTGGCCAACCTGGTGAAGCCCCATCTCTACTAAAAATACAAAAACATTAGCTAGGCGTGGCTACCCCAGCTACCTGGGAGGCTGAGGTAGGAGAATCACATGAACCCAGGAAGCAGAGATTGCAGTGAGCTGAGAGCACACCACTGCACTCCAGCCAGGGTGACAGAGCGAGACTCCGTCTTAAAAAAAAGAAAGGGCTGGGCGCGGTGGCTCACGCCTGTAATCCCAGCATTTTGGGAGGCCAAGGCGGGCGGATCATGAGGTCAGGAGATCGAGATCATCCTGGCTAACACGGTGAAACCCCGTCTCTACTAAAACTACAAAAAATTAGCCGGGCACGGTGGCGGGCGCCTGTAGTCCCAGCTACTCGGGAGGCTGAGGCAGGAGAATGGCGTGAAACCGGGAGGCAGAGTTTGCAGTGAGCCGAGATCCCACCACTGCACTCCAGCCAGGGCAATAGAGTGAGACTCCGTCTCAAAAAAAAAAAAAAAAAAAGGAAAAAAAGTATCAAAGCAATACATTCATTCTCTGACATCCAACAGATTGGCAAAAATTAGACAGTCTAAGAACATCAAGTTCTGGAGGAATATATGCAAGAATGGATCATTTGCCATGGATGGTAGGAGGCCAAAGAGGTGCATCCCTTCTGGCGAACAATCCAGCAATACTTTAAGAAATTAAATGTGAGGATGCCTGATGACCCAATTATCACACTGTCCAACAGGCCCTTAAATGAGATTTGTATGAGGATGTCCATTGGAGTGCAATTTAGGCAGCAAGGAGTTGGAAAGAAGTAGATGTCCATCATTAGGGTTGGAGAAGTAGAATATGGAATACACAGTGGAATACTACACAGCAATGTAAAAGAGGGAGAAACTAACATCAGTGTATTGCTCAGTAAATGCCCAATGCTGAATGCTTTAAGATATCAGCTTGGGCTGGGAGCGGTGACTGATGCCTGTAATCCCAGCACTTTGGGAGACCGAGGTGGTTGGATCACGAGGTCAGGAGTTCAAGACCAGCCTGGCCAACATGGTGAAACCCCGTCTCTACTAAAAATACAAAAATTAGCGGGGCGTGGTGGCGCATGCCTGTAATCCCAGCTCCTTGGAAGGCTGAGGCAGGATAATTGCTTGAACCCAGGAAGCAGAGGTTGCAGTCAGCCGAGATCGTGCCACTGCACTCCAGCCTGGGCGACAGAGCAAGACTCCATCTCAGAAAAAAAAAAAAAAAGGATATCAGCTTGCACTTTAGCAAGTCAAGCCAGGAGGATCGCTGGAGCCCAGGACCTTCCAGCATAAGGAGTTACCCTCTACTCAATTCCTTGTTCCTGCCTTTGCAAAACTCACTGTTCTACTGTTTCCCAGTGGGTTTCAAGACCAAATAAGTACCAGAGTTTGAAGCTGCAGTGAGCTATGATGGCACCACTGCATTCCAACCTGGGTGACAGAGCAATATTCCATCTCTAAAAAACAAACAAAAAACCAGCTTGCAACAATCCTATGAGAAAGTGACCATTATTTAACAACTTTCATCTTACAAATGGAGAAACTGAAGCCCAGAGAGGTTAAGTAACTTGCCCAAGGTCATTCATCCAATAAGCAGTGAGGATGGAACTTGAACCGGGGCAGACTCTGGCACTCATCTCCAGCTAGAAATAAGCATAGCCACCCAGAGAGCTCTCAAAAAGAAGAAAGAAAGAAAGAGAATGAGGTTTGTAGCTTAACAACGACTCTACAAATTTAAAACACACATACAGCGCCGGGCACGGTGGCTCACGCCTGTAATCCCAGCACTTTGGGGGGCCGAGGAGGGTGGATCATGAGGTCAGAAGATCGAGACCATCCTGTAAATGGTGAAACCCCATCTCTACTAAAAATACAAAAAATTAGCTGGGCGTGGTGGCGGGCGCCTGTCGTCCCAGCTACTAGGGAGCCTGAGGCGGGAGGATGGCATGAACCCAGGAGGTGGAGCTTGCAGTGAGCCAAGATCGCGCCACTGCACTCCAGCCTGGGCGACAGAGCGAGACTCCATCTCAAAAAAAAAAAAAAAAAAAAACACCACACACACCCACATACAGCAAAACTAACTGCAAGGATACACAGGGATCTTGATAAAAGAATAGAAAGATTGGAAGGCCAAAAATTAAGCACATAAGAGTGGGTGCCTGTGGGGGGACAGATGAAGGGGAGAAATTACTAAAATTAAATGTAACTGAAGATGATTGCATAGAATCAGCATAAGTCTACGCACTTGCAGTTCTAAATCAGGGAAGCATCGAGATCCCCAGGGAGGGAGAGGACCATGGGGTGGGGAGGCGTTGCAGCTGAGGGAGGGGGACATGTGAGAAAGAGAGGCAGCTGGTGAAGCAGTTAAAAGAATGGCCCCTGTAGCCAGGCTGCCAGGGTTCAAAGCCCAGCTCTCTCACAGTTCCACTGGGGTTTTTTGTTTGTTTGTTTGTTTTGTTTTGTTTTCTTTTTTAAGATGGAGTCTCGCTCTGTCGCCTAGGCTGGAGTGCAGTGGCACGATCTCGACTCACTGCAACATCCACCTCCTGGGTTCAAGTGATTCTCTTGCCTCAGCCTCCCGAGTAGCTGGGACTACAGGCGCGTGCCACCATGCCCAGTTAATTTTTGTATTTTTTAGTAGAAACGGGGTTTCACCATGTTGGCCAGGCTGGCCTCGAACTCCTGACCTTGTGATCCACCCGCCTTGGCCTCCCAAAGTGCTGGGATTACAGGTGTGAGCCACCACAGCCGACCCATTCGTACTATTTGTAGTCATAAGAGACACACAGAAAGTGCCTTCGTCTTCCACAACCTAAGCCAAGAAATAGAGCAATACAGATTGTTCCTCAAGGTTCTTACAGAAATCACCCACACGCACACTTTTTTTTGAGACAGGCTCTTGTTCTGTCACCCAGGCTGCAGTGCGAGTGGTGTCATCAAGGCTCACTGCAGCCTTGAATTCCTGGGTTCAAATGATCCTCCCATCTCAGCCTGCCAAGTAGCTGGGACTACAGGTGGAAGATACTGTGTGTGGCTGAATTTTTTTTTTTAGAGATGGGCTTTCACTGTGTTGCCCAGGCTGGTCTTGAACTCCTGACCTCACACGATCCTCCTGCCTTGGCCTCCCAAAGTGCTGGGATTACAGGCATGAGCCACTGTGCCTGGCCAGAAACCCCATTTTTATTTCTTTTAGATAAAGCGCAGTGCGTGATCTGACTCACCTTTGAAAAGGATGACTCTGGGCCGGGCACGGTGGCTCACGCCTGTAATCCCAGCACTTTGGGAGGCCAAGGCGGGTAGATCATTTGAGGTCAGGAGTTTGAGACCAGCCTGGCCAACATGGTGAAACCCCGTCTCTACTAAACATACAAAAATTAGCCAGGTGTGGTGGCACGTGCCCGTAATCCCAGCTTCTCGGGAGGCTGAGGCAGGAGAATAGCTTGAATCCAGGAGGTGGAGGCTGCAGTGAGCTGAGATTGAGCCACAGCACTCTGGCCTTGGCGAGAGAGCGAGACTCGGTCTCAAAAAAAAAGGATGACTCTGGTTGCTGGTGGGAAAGGGTGGGCCAGTGTGGAAGTGGGGTCTGAGGGAGGAGGCTCCTGGGAGAGTCCAGGTGGGAGCTAATGGACCCCCATTCGGTGGTGCCGCTGGAGGTAGGGAGATGGGGTGAGATTTGGAACTCAAGGTAGAGCAGAAAGGGTTTGCTGATGGAGTGGATGTGGGTGTGAGGAAGAAAGGGATGTCAAGGGCAACTGCAAGGTTTTGGCCTGAGCAACCGGGAGAGTTTGGAATTTCTCCCAGAGGCAGCAGGGACTCATAGGAAGATGTTGAGGCTGGAGCGGGGGAGGGGACTCAGTCAGTTGCCAAAATCACCAAGGTGGCAGCCAGGACCTGGAACACAGGCCTGAGAAAACAGGAGGCAGGGATAGATTTCTAGCCCTGGCTCAGCCCCCAACTCACTGTGGGCTTCTGGGCAAGCTAGCACCCCTCACTGGACTTCAATACTCCCTACTACAGACAGGCTGTTAGGAAGAGAAAGCCCTGACTCAGATATCCCCAGGATCAGATAAACACACAATCAGCACACAAGATTAAATCTCTTCTCCTTATCCTCCTCCCCAAAGCCCACCTGTGCACCACTGGGCAGGGTACAGAAGTGCCCTGATCCAGGAGCCTTGAGGATAAAATTAGTGACAATGGCAGGCGGCACTTGTGCCAGGGGCTATTCACGCTCAGTGAAATGAAGACTACGCAGGAGCCCTCTGAGGTGGGAGCTTTATTATCATCCTCATCTGTAAATCGGGAAACAGACTCTGAAATGACTTGCCCAAAGTCACAGGGGAGAACTGGGATTCCAAGACATCTCCTCACCAGCACTGCTGTCTCACATCCTGGTCCAACCACCAGCACCTCTCACCTGGTTGGTCAAAGTCACCTCCTATTGGGCTCCTTACTTCTGCCCCATCCCTGCTACCATGTTCTTCATACACAGCCAGAAGGATTCCCCCCAGTATTTTTTTTTTTTTTTTTTTTTTTTTTTTGAGACAGAGTCTTACTCTGTCGCCCAGACTGGAGTGCAGTGGCGCAATCTTGGCTCACTGCAACCTCCACCTTCCGGGTTCAAGTGATTCTCCTGCCTCAGCTTCCCGAGTAGCTGGGATTACAGGCGCCCACCACCACACCTTGCTAATATTTACATTTTTAGTAGAGATGAGGTTTTGCCATGTTGGCCAGTCTGGTCTCAAACTCCTGACCTCAGATGATCTGCCTGCTTCGGCCTCCCAAACTGCTGGGATTACAGGCATGACCCAGCGTGCCTGGCCTCCCCAACTTTTTTTTTTTTTTTGAGACAGGGTCTCACTCTGTCACCCAGACTGGAGTGCAGTGGTGCGATCTCAGCTCACTGCAGCCTCAACCTCCTGGCTTCAGGCAACCCGCCCACCCTGGCCTCCCAAAGTGTTGGGATTACAGGCATGAGCCACTGTATCCAACCCAGAAGGATCATGTGATAAAATTTAAGTCTGCTCAAGTTCTTCCTCTGTTCACAACCACCCCCCCACCCCCATGGCTCCCACTTAAATCAGAGTCAAATCTAAGTCTTTTAACAAAAAATTGATTTAGAGTCAGGGTCTCGCTGTGTCACCAAGGCTGTCGCAATGGCGTGATCTTGGCTCACTGCAGCCTTGACCTCCTGGGCTCAAGCGATCCTCAGCTTCCAGAGTAGCTGGAACTACGGGTATATGCCACCACATCTGGTAATTTATTTTAATTTCTTGTAGAGACAGAGTCTCACTATGTTGTCCAGGCTAATCTCGAACTCCTGGCCTCAAACGATCCTCCTGCCTTGGCCTCCCAAAGTGTTGGGATTACAGGCATACAAATTGAAGTCTTTATGGTGGTCCTCAAGGCCCCCTGCACAGTTGGCTCCCTGACTGGCTCTTTAGCCTTATTCCTCCCACTATTCCCCTCCCCTACTGTCGTCCAGCTTCCCTAGGCTCCTTGCTCTTCCTCCAACATACTAGACATGCTCTTGCTTCAGGGCCTTTGCACCTGCTGCTCCCCCTACAGACCCATGCGGCCCACTCCCTCACCTCCTTCAGGTCTCTGCTCAAATGTCATTCCTCAGCGAGGCCTTCTCTCTCTATGTCAACCCTATTTAAAATTGCAGGCCAGGTGTGGTGGCTCATGCCTATAATTTCAGCACTTTGGGAGGCCGAGGTGGGTGGATCACTTAAGGTCAGGAGTTCATGACCAGCCTGGCCAACATGGTGAAACCCTATCTCTACTGAAAATACAAAAATTAACCGGGCATGATGGCGCGGGCCTGTAATCCCAGCTACTTGGGAGGCTGAGGCAGGAGAATCGCTTGAACCTGGGAGGCAGAGGTTGCAGAGAGCTGAGATCCCACCACCGCACTCCAGCCTGGGCGACAGAGTGAGACTCCATCAGTAAATAAATAAATAAATAAATAAATAAATAAATAAATAAAATTGCAGCCATCCCCCCTGCCCCCATACCCTATGCCTCTTCCTCCTCCCCTGCTGCATTTTCCCCACGGTAGTTAGCCTCATCTGTCACACTCTATGTATTACTTTTTTACTTGATTATCTGTCTCCCTGGAACGTGAGCTCATGAGGTCAGGAATTTGTATCTGTTTTGTTCACTGCTGTATTCCCAGCACCTAGAACAGTGCCCAACACATAGTAGGTGCTCAGTAAATATTTGCCAAGCAGATGAGTGTCTGGGGTTCATGCTCCTCCCCACTATACCTTTTTATGCAAAGCGCTGAGATAGCTGCTTTCTGGTGTTGGTATATGACCACACCTCTCCATCTCACAGCTCACTGCAGCCTTGAATTCCCAAGCTCAAACGATCTCCATCTCCGCTGCTTCTGCCAGGGGGTAAAGGCAAAGGATCCCTCCTTCTTAGAGTCCATTCTGGCTTCATCCCAGCCCCCATCTAGCCCCCTCCCCTTCATCGTCCCTATGATGCCCATGTCACTTCCTTGCTTAAAATCCTCCAGGGACTCAAGGATTCCACATTGTAATCGCCACACCAGGGTGTTCTGTACTGTCGGTCACAACTGCTTAGCAGGCTGTAAAATCAACCAGTAGTTTTTTCAATAGCATAGAATAAATCAGAGTCAGCCGGGCATAGTGGCTCACACCTGTAATCCCAGCACTTTGGGAAGCTAAGGCAGATGGCTCACCTCAGGTCAGGAGTTCCAGACCGGCCTGACCAACATGGTGAAACCCCATCTCTACAAAAATTAGCCGGGCATGATGGCGGCTCCTTGTAATCCCAGCTACTCGGGAGGCTGATGTGGGAGGATCACTTGAACCCAGGAGGTGGAGGTTGCAGTGAGCCGAGATCGCACCATTGCACTCCAGCCTGGGTAACTGAGCAAGACTCCGTCTCAAAAAAAAAAAGAAAAAAAAGAATAGATCAGAGTCTACGCACATAGTGTCAACATAATGTAGACTAAGGTGGAGATGAAGCGTGGTTTCATGAAACTTTCATTTCAGTTGTATTAGGTTGGTGCAAATGTAACTGCGGTTTTTGCCATTGCTTTTGATGATAAAAATCGCAATGAATTTTGCACCAACCTAATATATGCATTGCATCATGATGTGTGTTTCTCACTGTGAGTCAACAAAGTTTGCAAAAACCCTGCAAAAAAAGTTTGCAGTCCTGCCTCTCCTAAATCCTGTGCGCTGAGTAGATGGATGATATTAATAGCAGCTCAGATTTATCTCTTTGTTGAGATCCGTGCCAAGTGGTTTTGCCTGCTTTGGCTCATGGACTCCTTGTCACACCCCGAGTATGGTCATGATTCCCATTTGACAGATGGTAAGACTGAGGCTTAGGCTGGAGACATCTCATGCCTAAGATCACCAGGCTGGGAAAGCTGAGGCTTGAGCCCCAGTGAGTTTCTCTCCTGAGCCTGCACAGGTAATCCTTGCCCATTTGCCCACTCGCCCAGCCTCTCCTGATCTGCTCCACACCTGCAAGAGCACTCAGGGGTGCCAGCCTGTCCTCAGAGCCCAACAGGTACAAACTGCCTTATCGATCCTCCTGACACTCCAGCCAGCAGTATCATTTCAACCTCCATTCTGTAGGCTGAAAGACTGAGGCCTTTCATTTCATCCCAGAAAACAAAGCTAGAAAGCCTTTCCAAGGATGCACCATTCTGTCACCCTTCTCCAAACTGCCCTCTTTGAGAGGCAGGAGAGAGAAATGGCTAAAGATGTGTCTTTGACTGCCCAGGCTCAAATCCCATCCCATTCATTCTTCTCCTTCTTCTTCTTTTTTTTTTTTTTTTTTTTGAGACAGAGTCTCTCTCTGTCACCTAGGCTGGAGTGCAGTGGCACGATCTCAGCTCACTGCAACCTCTGCCTCCTGGGTTCATGCGATTCCTGTGCATCAACCTCCCAAGTAGCTGGAAATACAGGTGTGCACAACCACCCGTGGCTAATTTTTGTATTTTTTAGTAGAGATGGGGTTTCACCATGTTGTCCAGGCTGGTCCTGAACTCCTGGACTCAAGTGATCTTCCCATCTCGCCCTCCCAAAGTGCTGGGATTACAGACGTGAGGCACTGCACCCGGCCCAAATCCCATCCTTCTAAACTTTGTAGCTATGTGACACCAGGCAAGCTCTCTGGATCTCAGTTTCCTTTTCCGCAAGATGGGTATAAGAATAGTAATCCACCCATAAGACCATGTTTAAGACTGATAAGTTAGAATACATGCAAAGTTCTTAGGACAGTTGCCATACCCCTTTGCTAGGGAATCTTCCCAGCAGCCCTATGTAATTGGACTATTTACCCCTGAGACTTGTCATAGAGAGGAGAAGGCCCTTGCCTGAGTTCACATGGCTAAGAAGTGGGAAAGCCAGAATCTGGATGTAGATCTGTCTGGGCTTTTAACCACCAAATCATAACAGTCATTTAAAGGGGATATTGGCCAGACACGGTGGCTCACGCCTGTAATCCTAACACTTTGGGAGGTCGAGGCGGGCAGATCACCTGAGGTCAAGAGTTCAAGACCCACCTGGTCAACGTGGTGAAACCTTGTCTCTACTAAAAATACCAAAAAATTAAAAAATAAAAAATAAAATAAAAATAAAGGGGGTATTAACAGCAGCAGCAACATTTTCCAAATTAAAGAATGAGAGACTCAGAAAGGGTAAGGGCATGCCCAAGTCACACAGCATGTAAATGGCAGGGCCAGAACTCAAACCCAGGCTTCTGTAAGCTGACCTTCACTCCAACGAGCCCCTCCATATAGCTCTGCCAGGTTGGAAGGAAAAGGCAGGTTCGGGGATCCCCTGCCCCAGCTTGGTGGGGGTCTCTGATGTCCCTGACTCTGGCCCCTGCCCAGACTAGGGTGACTGCTCCCCTGAAAGCTCTGGGGTGGGGGCACAAGGGTGGCATGGATGATGGCAAAGGGTGCAGCAGCCCCCTCCGCCAGCCTCTGATTGGGGCCCTGCAGTCCCCCAGGATTTGGTGCTTGGAAAGCTGACGTTGGGTTGCTATGGTGATGGGTTTGGGGCGGTTGCCATGGCAGCAGAACTAGCCCGGGTTTAAAAATATCTAGCAGGAGGTTTGTGTTTGTGTGTGAGTGTGAGTGCGTGACCGACCGTGCTGTTGTGTGTGTCCAAACGGGAGGGCTCGATGGGGGGAGCGCAGGGTTGGGGCTGCAGGCATGCCTCGGGGGTGGGGGCTGAGCGGCACACAGCTTTCCATGTGTGTTGTGCGTGTCACTGAGTGGCCCGTGAAGTCCAGTTATTGTGTGCGTTAGCCTATGTGGGCCGTGTATCTAAATGTGTGTGTTGTGTGTGTTTACCCAATTTGTGTGCAAGGAAAGACTTAGTCTGTTCGTCAGTCTATACATCACATGTCGCTGATATGTCTTATGTAACATAGGCCATGGATGTCCTGTGGCTTTGATCATGGATTTGTAACTTTTCCGAGTGTGTGGGGCCAAGTGTGGAGCTGTCGTGGCTCTGAATGTGTGTACCTGGGACATACCTGCATATTAGATGTGTGTCTGTCTATTTGTGTATGAGAGCCTGTGTTGTGGCCTTGCGTCTGCATGACTGAATGTGCATTACAGATGAGTGTGTATGTGTGTGTACGTGTGCCTATCCCCTATAAGTGTGTCTGTGTGACTGTGTTGAGACCGTGCACCTGCAGCAGGGCCAGTGTGACTCTGTGTGTGTCACACAGAGGGGGAAACTTCACAGCTAATTTCATGGATGTTGGGATATGTACCTGTGTGGTGTGAGGCTATTTGACTCAAAGGGTCTAAGGTGTGGTACTCAGCCTGACCCCCGTATCTCCCTATATCCGTCTTGCCTCTTCCCCATCTCCATGGCAACCAGCTCCTCAGCTCCCTCCAGGAAGATGGAGGGGGAGGATCCAGACTGCAGTGGACCACAGCCCCCTCCCATCCCCCTTGGCTCTGGGGACAATGGGGGGGAGGGGACAGATGGGTAGCCACCCCATCCACCCCAGGCCATCTGCTACCCTCCCCCATCCTGGGGACCTGAGAGCATGGCAAGGGAGGAGCAGGGGGGGGTTGGAGCCGATCCCCCTGCCGCAGATCACGCAGTGGCCACAATTACCTGCATCCAGACCCCTTCTGAGCCTAATCTTGCCTCTGACCAACCCAGGAAGGAAAGATTCCTTGGAGGTTAAGAACCCAGGGAGAAGGAAATTCTTGCATCAAGGAACACAGAATAATAGCAATGATCCATTCCAAAGAAAGGCACCCTAGTTCCAATGACTTTGGGCTCTGAAATTGGACTTGTCCTGCGTTCTCATCCCAGTTTCTCTCTCTCAAGCTGTGTGCCCTTGAAGAAGCCACCCTCAATGTTCCCAGGCCTCCACTTTGTCATCTGAAAACAAATTTTTCTTAATGACATGAGTAGTAATACTGTACAAGGGCCAAGGCTGTTTTGTTCTCTATTGTATCGCAGCATCAGGGACAGTGCCTGGCACTTAGTAGGTAGGCCCTGAGTGCTGTTGTTTGAATGGAGAGCCAGTTGTGCCCCAGGGCAGGTGCTGCAGGCTGCAACTCCAGCTCAGTGAATTCAATCCTCTGAGCCCTTTCAGCATCACGGTGTTGATTCTTCAAAGGATGGATGAAAGATTTGAAGGGGAATTTCCCAGCTGAAAGGATTGAAAAAGAGTGAAGTGAAATTTCTTTCTCTTTCTTTCTTTCTTTTTTTTTTTTTTTTTTGAGACAAGGTTTTGCTCTGTCTCCCAGGCTCGAATCTAGTTGCTTGATCATGGCTGACTGCAGCCTCAAACTCCTGTGCTCAAGAGATCCTCCCACCTCAGACTCCAGAGTACCTGGGGCTACAAGCATGTGCTACCACGCCTGGCTAATTAAAAAAAAAATTTTTTTTTTGTAGAGATGGGGTCTCACAATATTGTTGCCCAGCTCGTCTCAAACTCCTGGGCTCAAGTGATTCTTCCGCCTCGGCCTCCCAAAGTGCTGGGATGACAGGCATGAACCACCGCGCCTAGTCGAAATTTCTTGTCTTGACCAAGTGAAGTCAAAGTAAGCTCCTAAGGCTGTTTCCTCATCTGTAAAATAGGGATAATAAGCGTAACTCACAGAGCTGGTCGCTCTGGGGAGTAAATGCGATAACGTCTGTGACGTGCTTGCTTGGAACCGGACCTGGCACACAGTAAGTGCTCAATAAACGTTCATTCAAGGTGAGGAGTGGGGACGGCTTGGAGGAGCCCGGGGTCCTCCCAGCAGCCTGGGGGAGTCGGGTCCAGCTCTCTGCCGCCGGGAGGGGCGTGGCCAACCCAGAGGGACGTGGTCCAGGCTTCAAGGCTGGACCAATGGGGGCGCCGAAGGGCGTGGCCCTACCCGGCATGGGCGTGACCTCGTTGGGTGGGAGGGGCCAGGCGCTGTGGGAGCCTCCGGGAAGAAGATGCTCGGGCCAGCAGCCACCGCCAGCCCCGTCGCCGCCGCCGCCCGCGCCCGCCGCCCCCCGGGCCCCCACTAGCGGCCGCCTCCGCCTCCCACTCCGGCCACGCTCCTCCGGCCCCCCACCCCGAGCAGGGTCTGGGGGGCTCGGCCCTCTTGCCCCAGGGAGCCAAGAAGAAGCGGGGAGTCCCGTCCCCCCAGTGGCGCGTCCAGTCCCCAGCCTCTGTGGTCCCAGGAGAGACCCCACCTCTCAGTTCTTTCCCGGCCCTATCGGAGACCCCCCTCGGCCCTGCCATCCTGCTCACGGCCGCTCTCCAGGCTCTGTCAGCCCCCCGAGAACCGGCTCCCCCCTACCCCCGCCTTCCCTCTCCGGGGCTCCCCCTCCCCCATCCCTCCACCGCCCCCTCCCCCTCCCACCTCCCCTCCCCTCCCCCTCCCCCGCCCCCCGCCCCCCGCCCCCCCCCACCATGAGGATGATGGCCGCCGGCGCGGTGCACGGCCTCTTCACGGCCTCCGCGGCCCCGCAGCCGCCGCCGCCCCCGCCGCCGCCGCCGCCGCAACCCCAGCCTCCCCAGCAGCCGTCGCCGCCGCCACAGCAGCCGCCGCCGCCGCCGCCGCAGCCGCCGCAGCAGCAGCAGCCGCCGCCCCAGGCCCCCCCCATGGAGCCCGAGGCCCCGGATTCCCGCAAGAGGCCCCTCGAAACGCCCCCCGAGGTGGTCTGCACCAAGCGCAGCAACACGGGAGGTGAGAAAGGGCTGCGGCTCGGGGCGGGGGAGCGGGCAGGGGGCCTCGCCTTTCTCCATCCTTTCCCCCCCTCCCGTGGCAGGTGCAAGGGCTCTGGGGAGGGGAGAGACACCCCTCCCCGAGGCGGGGGACAGAGCGGGGAGTTGAGGAGGGGGCTGGACCCCCTCCTCCTCTCGCTGAGGCCCGGGGCTGGGAGCTTTGTCTGCGAGGAGAGGGGTGGGGGGGAGGGGGTGATAAGTGTCCTTGGGGGGCGCAGAAGATGGGGGGCGTGGGAGCCTCAGGGCAGGTGTCTGTGTGTCCTTGAGGGGTGTGTGATGTGACCCTTTCGGAGCAGGGGTGTTCCCCGAGCTCGCGTGTCCTGGCTGGGGGAGGGGAAGGAGTAGAGGCCTGTGGACCGGGAGCTTCCCAGCCTCCCTCCCTGGGGATGTCCTGAACAAGGGTTGTCCCAGATGGAGGCTTGTGTGGCCCTGGCCGGATCGTGCGTGGGGACAGGCTGGGTAGGTGTGTGGGGTGAAATGGAGGAAATGGTGGGTGTGTAAAGCTAGGTGGGAGAATGTGAGGCTAGGACAGGTGTGTATGTGTGTGCGTGTGTGTGTATGTGTGCCCTCTACAGCCTGGATGTGTGACATTAGGGATCAGGAATATGACAGCATAGGGGGGTGTATGAGAAAGACAGGGGACAGGGGCTGGGCTCCATGTTTGAGACCCTCCAGCGGGTACGTGTGACAAGGAAAGGTGTGTGCTTGTCACCCCCAAGGGGGCTGTGGCAGAGTGTGACACATGAGAGGGTGTGTGTGACATGCAAGGAGGTGTGTGGGGGACACCGAATGGGCTGGCTCTGGGTGTCAGCCAGAAGAGGCCGTGTAGATCAGAGGAAAGGGGTCCAGTGTGTGTGACACAGGCGTGGCTGGTGAGGGGATGTGACAAGAAAAGGGTGTGGGTGTGACTCCAGAGAGGCTGTGGCTGGGTGTGACACATGGAGGTGTGCAACAGTGACATCAGAGGGGGTGTGTGCAACAGGGAAGGTGGGTGTATGACGAGGGAGAGGCTGGGGCTTGTGGGTGAAACGCACGAGGGTGTGTAAAAAGGAGAAGGAAGGATGGGTCCCCATGTGACAGGGCACGTGTGCATATGACACCCAGCTGTGTGTATGGGTGTAACAAGGAGAGGTGTGTGTGTGAAATGGCTGAGTGTGTGACACCAGAGATATGGGGATGATTCTGCATGTGTTTGACAAGGGAGGCTGTGTGTGTGTCCGTGTGTATTGGAGATTGCCGAATGTTTGACACCACGGAAGGCAGTGTGAGGGAAGAGAGGGGCTCTCCCTGGGTGTGTGACCCAAGGAGGTGTGTGTACCAGAGAAGAAAAGCCGAGCTGGGAACTCTAGGTGCATGCCCTGCCGTGGGGGGCTCAGGGAAGAGGTGGGGTTTTTTGGGGTCCTCAGAGCCCTGTCCTCTAGCTCCCTGGTAGGAGGGAGACCCCGCAGCGGACAAGCCCCTCCCCGCGGTCACCTTGCCAAAATCTCCACTTCCTCTGGCCTTTTCCTCCGGATGGGAGAGGGATGGCTTCAGGCAGAGTGCACCCTTTCCTCTCCGCCAGGCCTGGCAGTGGGTGGGGTGGGGGCCTCCTACCTCCTCCCTACAGATGAATACAAGCCGACTTTCTTCCTCCCATCCTAGCCCTCCCCCACCTCCATCCAGGTGGGACAGGAATCAGGGACCCCCTGGATGCCTGTGAGGGTGTCCAGCAGAAATTGGAGGAAAGGGAAGTTGGGGGAGGGGATGGGAGGGAGTTTCCTGTCCTTCTTCCTGCTCCCCCACCCCCAGCACACACATGAATATGTCCCCGACTTCCTTCCCTCCTTCCTGCCCCACTGCTGTTCCCAGTCCTGGAGAGGTCAGGGACCCAGGAGGTCCCTGAGCCCAGCCAGACTGTCTAGCCCTCCACCACCGTCCTCCAGAGGGTAGGGGGTTCCCACCTTTCTCTACAGGGACTGAGATGCTTAGAATCTGATCACTTCTCAGCACAACTTAACACTGATGCCACTGCTGCTAATAACAGTCACATCTGCCTACTTGGCACCTACTACTCTGAGACATGGGTTAATATCTCAGTACAACCCCTGGGAGACATGATTTGAGCATCTTTACAGATGAGGAAAACTGAGGCTCAGCAAAATGAAACCGCTTGCCCAAGGTCACACGGTTTCTAAGTGATGGAGCTAGAATTTACCCAACCCTAGGCTGCCTGGTTCCGGAGCTCCTGGACGTAACCTCTGTGCTATCCTGCCTCCCTCCACAGCGGGGAAACTAGGATGAGCCTTTAGGGACCATCTCCTCCAGACTGTCTCCCACCCCGCTTCTGTTTACTCATGGGGAAACTGAGGCCGGGAGATGCAGAGGGACAGGCCTCCATTGACAGAAACACACTCAGGGGCAGGGCTGGGCAAGGGTCCAGGACTTTGATCCCAAAATTGAGGGCTTCTTTCAATAATATACATTCATAGCTGGGGGATGCTGGGCCAACCCATCCCCTTTTCTGAGCCTCAGTGTCCTCATCTGCCAAGTGGGCACATAAAAATGACCATAAGGGGCTGGGCACAGTAGCTCATGCCTGTAATCCCAGCACTTTGATAGGCTGAGGCGGGTGGATCATTTGAGGTCAGGAGTTCAAGAACAGCTTGGCCAACATGGTGAGACCCCATCTCTACTAAAAATACACAAATTATCGGGGCATGGTGGTGGGCGCCTATAGTCCGAGCTACTCAGGAGGTTGAGGCAGGAGAATCGCTTGAATCCAGGAGGTGGAGGTTTTAGTGAGCCGAGATCGCACCACCACACTCCAGCCTGGGCAACAGAGCGAAACGCCATCTCAAAAAAAAAAAAACCAACAAAAAACACAAGGATAATACTAACAATAGCTACCTATATTATTGTTTAATGTCTTACGTGCAATTTCATATCACTCTCCCAACATGCTATGATGGAATAATAATAATCAGTTATAATAATGGCTAGACTTACGATACTGCAGTATGCCAGGAACTATCATGGGAAGTGCTTGACATGGATCAATTCCTTAATCCTTACAACAATTCTATCATGTTAACCCATGTTACAGATGAAAAACTGAGGCACAGAGAGGTTAAGTCACTTGCCCAACGTCACTCAGCTGATAAGCAGCAGAACCATGATGTGAACTTAGGCGGCTGGCTCCATTGTGTGGGGAGACACTAGAATGGACCCTATTTTTAGATGGGGAAACTGAGGCTCAGAGGGCTTTTCCTGGGTGTCCCAGCAAGCAGTGGCCTACTGGACAGATGAGATTCTTGCCCCACTCCTGCCCGCTTCTGGGAGCAGATGGGAGAAGTGGAGGAGATGGTGGCAGTTCACACTTGCTTCTGGGCACTGTGAGTGGCTGGCAGATGCCGCTGGGAGGAAAACAAGGCACTAAGGGCAGGAAGACTTGGGTGAAGAGGTTGGACGGAAACTCTAGTCAGGGACTCCTTGCAGAAATAAATGACCCCAGTCTGGCAGGACAATAACAAACAGTGGCCCCCTTGATACAGATCGTAACTCTTAAGCTGCAACAATAATGACCCCTGTACTCCTGACTATATTCCCACCTCTGTCAACCCCCCCAAAATAAAAACCCATATACAGACATACATACATATCTCACACCCTCAACGTAGCTTACACCAGCCAGATCTTGCTCCTAACATCCCTCTTTTTTTTTTTTTTTTTTTTTTTTTTTTCTGAGACAGGGTCTCACTCTGTCACCCAGGCTTGGAGTGTAGTGGTGCAGTCATGGCTCACTGCAACCTTGACCTCTCAGGATCAGGTGATGCTCCCATCTCAGTTTCCCCAGTAGCTGGAACTACAGGTGTGCACCACCAAGCCTGACTAATTCTTTGAATTTTTTTGTAGAGACAGGGTCTTGCTATGTTGCCCAGGCTGGTCTCAAATTCTTGATCTCAGGTGATCCACCCACTTCATCCTCTCAAGGTGCTGGGATTACAGGTGTGAGCCACCATTCCCAGCCACATCCCTCATTCTTTGTTTTTTGTTGTTGTTGTTTATTTTGTTTTGTTTTGTTCTGTTTTTCTGAGACAGAGTCTCGCTGTATCGCCCGGGCTGGAGTGCAGTGGTGCCATCTCAGCTCACTGCAACCTCCACCTCCTGAGTTCAAGCAATTCTCGTACCTCAGCCTCCCAAGTAGCTGGGATTACAGGCATGTGCCACCACGCCTGGCTAACTTCTGTATTTTTAGTAGAGATGGGGTTTCATCATGTTGACCAGGCTGATCTCGAACCCCTGACCTCAGGTGATCTACCCACCTAGGCCTCCTAAAGTGCTGGGATTACAGGCGTGAGCCAGCACGCCCGGCCACATTCTTTATCACGAAGTCAACATCACCAGGTTAAGAGCCCCTCCTAGAATGAGCTCTTTCAGGATTCATATCTTGCCACCGTCATGTGCTTGGTGTGGAATCCTCAGGCGAGTTATTTCACTACTCTGAGCCTCAGCCTGCTTGTCTGAAACATGGAGGCAGGAAGATCTACCTCTCTGGGTTTTGTGCATTAGATGAGATTGCATATGTGAAGCACATAGCGTAAGGCTGGTAGATGGTAAGTGCTCAGTAAACAGTCGCTATCATCATCATCATCATCATTATTATTATATAAGTGTATGTCATTTTCCCTTTTCACCATCCACCATCCAATGGTGATTCACTCCAAGAAAACCGTGGCCCATCTGCCTTTCTTTCACTTAGAGACCGTCACAACTCAAGGCAGCATCACACCTTTCAGCATCTCATCCCTACATAAGCACACTCTAGTTGTATTGCATTTCACACCAAATAGGCAACACCGCCATTCACAGAAACACATCACATGCCTGAAGTCCCACCCCTCCTCGGCAGTACTGCTCCCACCCCACACCCTCTCTGCCAGCAGCATCCCCACAGGCTCCCGATGACAACACCGATGTCAAACCCCAGCCTCCTCGTACCCTCATAGAACATGCCAGCTCTCCCTTCCCCAGCCCCCAAACAAAACCATGAGGTGCCATGAGGACAACACCCAACATTGATGTTGCATCTGGACACACTAACACCAAAAACAACACCTCAACAACCCACACCCCTTCAGCTTTACCTTTGTCATTCATGACCCCCAAGATCAAAGCCACCTTAGAGGGTGAACTCTCTGACACTAAAATAGGCCACTCTTACTACAACACCCCAAATCTCTTGGGTAGGCAATTGTTATTTATGGAAGGGGGAAGGGAGTATTGGCTGATTTTTTTTTTTTCTTTTTTGAGATGGAGCCCTGCTGTGTGACCCCGGCTGGAGTGCAGTGGCGCAATCTCGGCTCATTGCAACCTCCGCCTCCCAGGTTCAAGTGATTCTCCTGCCTCAGCCTCCCAAGTAGCTGAGATTAAAGGCGTGCCACAACCATGCCCGGCTAACTTTTGTATTTTTAGTAGAGACAGGGTTTCACCTTGTCGGCCAGGCTGGTCTCAAACTCCTAACCTCAGGTGACCTGCCCACCTCGGCCTCCCAAAGTGCTGGGATTTTTGAAAGCCGTCAGAAGCATCCCTGAGGGGGTGGATACAAAAGGAGCAAGAGCAGAGACTCAGTGACTAGAAGGGGAAAGACGGCACCTTTCCAAGGTGGAAATGTTTGAAATTGCAGCAGGAAATTAGTCAGGAGACCTGAACTTGCTATCTTCAGTTCTTCAGACTCTTACATCGGGTAGAGGGAGCTGCCTGGACTCAAGGGAAGAGTGAAGAGTGGGATGGGAATGGGTGGGTGCGGAGTTCTGGCATGTAGATTCTGCCTCACTACAAGGGAGAACTTTCTCACAAGCAGTGCCTTGGTTGTTCAAACAGGGTGGGCGTGCGTAATGGCTGAGGGCTCCGAGTTCAGCTGAGGTCACGTGTCTGCCCTTGCTGTGAGGAAGGCTGGTCAATAGAGACCTGGTTTCTTTCTGGGGAGGTAGGACTCACATGGTGGGAAACTTCCCCAAACAGAAAAGATGTGCATAAAATTCTGGGAAGGACCAGCACAGACTGATGCTCACAACGGGGACTCCTGGGAATTCAAGTGCTGAGTCTCTACAGGTGGGAGGTCTTAGCCAATCACTGTTCATAGGAGACTCACTAGAAGAGGGGGCTCCAGGCGTCAGATTTGCACTAGTCTGATACAGGGACCATCAAGCCACCCACAAGATGATTTAAGGTGGTCCATGGACAAACTTTTTTTTCATTTTTGAACATTGTATGTTTATATTAATGTATGTTAGGGAGAACAAAAACAACCAGCCCTTCAAGCTCCAATTGTTAGCAACGATTTTTAAATTTCTTCTTAATTTTTTTTTATTTGAGACGGAGTTTCGCTCTTGTTGCCCAGGCTGGAGTGCAGTGGCACCATCTCAGCTCACTGCAACCTCCGCCTCCCGGGTTCAAGCAATTCTTCTGCTTCAGCCTCCCAAGTAGCTGGGATTACAGGCATGTGCCTCCACGTCTGGCTAATTTTTTGTATTTAGTAGAGACGGGGTTTTACCATGTTGGTCAGGCTGGTCTCGAACTTCTGACCTCAGGTGATCCATCTGCTTCGGCCTCCCAAAGTGCTAGAATTACAGGTGTGAGCCACCACACCCGGCCTAATTTCTTCTTTAAATGGATGCATTTAGGCCAGGCGCGGTGGCTCATGCCTGTAATCCCAGAACTTTGGAAGGCTAAGGTGAGCAGATCCCTTGAGCCCAGGAGTTCAAGACCAGCCTGGGCAACATGGTGAAACCCCGTCTCTACTAAAAATACAATAAATAAATAAGTAAATAAATGCATTTAAAATTTAAAAGGAATTTAAAGGAAAGGGACCTTGTCTGTTCCCTGCTGCATCCCCAGCACCTGAACCAAGGACTGGAAGGTCATGGGTGCTCAGGAAGGATTTGTTGGAGGAAGGGAAGGAAGAAGGAGAGAAAAAGAGAAGAAAGAACAATTCCAGTACAGAAGGACATAAAAGGGGCAAAATTCTAGAAGGTGGCATGAGAAAGACAGGAATTAGAGAGAGGCTGAGTGCAGAGAATGGAGACAAGGTCTGGCTTGTATCAGTGAGAGGACATTCCTCCTCCAAGAAGGAGGGAAAAGTTTGGGACAGCCCCCTAGGGAAATGGGTGATTAACAAAGTAGGATCACCCCTCCTCCTACCTCTCAACCCAACCCCCAAACCCCACGTATAGGGTGCTTGCTCTGTGTCTGATGCTGTGATAAGCACTGAACTTGTGTTCATGGTGTAGGCAATGCTGATAATGATGATATCTAACATTTCTCAAATCTTCTATGTGCCTGGGACCATCCGAAGTACCTTTCCTTACATTTCCTCATTTCATTAATCACAGTAACCCCATGAAGTAGCACTATCATGATTCCCATTGTATAGATGAGGAAAGCTGAGGCCCAAAGAGGTGAGGAGACTTGCCCAAGGGCATAGAGCCCATCAGTGGCAAAATGCACTTTTTTTTTTTTTTGAGACACAGTCTCACTCTGTCACCCAGGCTGGAGTGCAGTGACGCGATCTCAGCTCACTGCAACCTCTGCCTCCTGGGTTCAAACGACTCTCCTGCCCCAGCCTCCCGAGTAGCTGGGAGTACAGGAATGTGCCACTAGGCCTGACTAATTTTTGTAGTTTTAGTGGAGACGGGAGTTTCACCATGTTGGCCAGGCTGGTCTCGAACTCATGACCTTAAGTGATCCACCCGCCTTGGCCTCCCAAAACACTAGGATTACAGGCGTGAGCCACTGCGCTCGACCATAAACGTCACTCTTAGTCTAGAGTTGCTTCTGCTGTTTCATACAAAAATTCTCAGGGACAGTTTAAAGAAGTACAAGAGAGAGGGGGCAGAAGATGGGGAAGAGGGTGACCCCAGTTTTCTTCAGAGAAAATGAATACCTTCCACCCTCAGAGGGAAGCAGGGAAGATGCTCTGGCTGGGAGAGAAGATGGGGAGTGAAATTGAAGAAGCAGAGAGAGGACGGAGTCCTAGGGATTAGTGAGAATTCCCTCCCCATCTTTCTGAGCCTTCTGGAGATAAAGGACCCCTTATCTGTGACAAGTTTAGGGTGAGGGTGGGGAAGAGGACATATCCGTGAGTCCATGGAAGAGAATGAATTCAGTAGGGGTCAGGATGATTGGTAGGAAGGCACCAGAGAGGGGTTAATTACCTAATAGGCTTAATGGTCTGATTAAGCAAGTTTAAGAGGATTGCCTTGGTGTCAGGAAACTCCTTAATTCTGGACCCTTCCCCATGCCTGCAAAGCCACATCTAGCCCCTCTTACCACACCCCCATCTTACACACATAAGGGAACACAGAACTTTCATCTTAAGAGGCCAGGCAGAGGCCAGGCATGGTGACTCACGCCTGTAATCCCAACACTTTTGGAGGCCCAGGCAGTTGGATCCCTTGAGCTCAGGAGTTCGAGACCAGCCTGAGCAACATGGCAAAACTCCATCTCTACAAAAAATTTTAAAATTACCTAGGAGTGGTGGCATGTGCCTGTAGTCCCAGCTACTTGGGAGGCCGAGGCAGGAGGATCACTTGAGCCCAGGAGGTCGAGGCAGCAGTGAGCTGTGATGGCACCACTGTATTCCAGCCTGGGCAACAGAGAAAGAGAAAGAGAGAGAGAGAGAGAGAGAGATCAGAGAGTGTTAGAGCAGTTTCTCTTTTATCTGTTCTGTATGTTGAGGTTTTACGTGAGACATTGAAAATAGGCTTCCTGGCTGGGCTCTGTGGCTCACCCCTGTAATCTCAGCACATGTTAGCCTGGCTAACATGGTGAAACCCCATCTCTACTAAAAATACACACACACACACACACACACACACACACACACACACACACACACACACAAATTAGCCGGGCATGGTTGTGGGCACCTGTAATCCCAGCTACTCCGCAGGCTGAGGCAGAAGAATCGCTTGAACCCGGGAGGCGGAGGTTGCAGTGAGCCGAGATCGCGCCATTGCACTGCAGCCTGGGTGACAAGAGCGAGATTGTCTCAAAAAAAAAAAAAAAAAAAGAAAAAGAAAAAGAAAAAAAGAAAATAGGCTTCCTTTGCTTAAAAGTTGAAAAACCATTGGGGGATGGTTTAAGACCTTAAAATTTGGAAGCAGGATGGCCTAACTCCTCCCTTTCTTTTCCCAGTGCTTATTGCAAACCTAGTATGTGCTGTTCAAGTTTTGGGGACACTGTTCAAGTCCCTAGGACATGGGTGAGCTCTATGGATGTGATCCACAGTGGACCTCTGTGATCAGTTACTCTGAAGGCATGAAACGGGGATTCATCCTATCTTTGGGGTTCAAGGAAAGCTTCCAAGAAGAAGAAACATTTGAGTGAGAACCTAAAGGACAAAAGATATTGACTGAGGGGGCCCGGGCGCGGTGGCTCACGCTTGTAATCCCAGCACTTTGGGAGGCCGAGGAGGGCAGATCACGAGGCCAGGTGACCCAGACCATCCTGGCCAAAATGGTGAAACCCCGTCTCTACTAAAAATACAAAAATTAGCTGGGCGTGGTGGTGGGCACCTGTAGTCCCAGCTACTCGGGAGGCTGAGGCAGGAGAATGGCGTGAATCGGAGAGGCGGAGCGTGCAGTGAGCCGAGATCGCGCCACTGCACTCCAGCCTGGGCGACAGAGCGAGACTCTGTCTCAAAAGAAAAAAAAAAAGAAACTGACTGAGGGGAAGAGAAGCTGCCAGGCACAGAGCATGCACAAAAGCCCTAAGGTGGGAAGGAGCAGGGCACGTTTAAGGAACAAAATATGCACTGAGCCTGAGGCTCACGGAGGAAGATGAGGAAGTGAAGCTGGAAAGGTGGGTGGGGCCAAGTCACAAAGGGTCGCCAGGCTGGAGTGGAGTGCAGTGGCGCGATCTCGGCTCACTGCAAGTTCTGCCTCCTGGGTTCAAGCGATTCTCCTGCCTCAGCCTCCCGAGTAGCTGGGACTACAGGCACGCGCCACCACACCCGGCGAATTTTTGTACTTTTAGTAGAGACGGAGTTTCACTATGTTGGCCAGGATGGTATCCGTCTCTTGACCTCGTGATCTGCCCGCCTCCGCCTCCGCCTTCCACAGTGCTGGGATTACAGGCGTGAGCTACCGCTCCCGGCCGCAAAGGGTCTTCTTATACTGAGAAGTGTCCAGAATTTCCATCCTGGAGGCACGTAGGGGCAACGGGCAGGGGAGGCTAGATGCTTGCCTTGAGACTACATTAACAAAATGCTTTTCACATGGTCAAAAAAACTGGTTTATAATAAGCAAGGTGCGGTGGCTCACGCCTGTAATCCCAGCACTTTGGGAGGCCGAGGTGGGCGGATCACTTGAAATCAGGAGTTTGAGACCAGCCTGACCAACATGGCGAAACCCCGTCTCTACGAAAAATACAAAAAATTAGCCACGTGTGGTGGCGGGCGCCTGTAGTCCCAGCTACTCGGAAGTCTGAGGCAGGGGAACCCCTTACACCCGGGAGGTGGAGGTTGCAGTGAACCGAGACTGCACCACTGCACTCCAGCCTGGGCAATAGAGCAAGGCCGTATCTCAGGAAAAACAAAAAAAGAAAAAGAAAGAAAGAAAAGGAAAAGAAAAATTGGCCTATAACAAAGAATGGCCAAAACTCCACAAGCTGCCGCTGGCACTGCATCTAGGTCTTCGAGGCTGTCCTTCATCGTGTTGGTCCCCCCAGGAGTGGAGGGTGTTAAGCAATGATGGGAGGAGACTGAATCAGAATTGGATTTGAATCTGAGCCCAGTAGCTGTGTTCGTGTCCTTGGGCTGGTGATGACCGTGGGCTGGTACCTTCACTTCTCTGTGCCCCTCTGTGCCTCAGTTTCCTCTTGTGTAAAAATGGAGCTCATTCCACCCGCCTCACCGGGAGGTTGTGAGGAACGGACGAGATCAAGCTCACAAAGCACTCAGCACAGCGCCTGATCAAAAGTGAGTGTTCGGAGCATCCCCAGCGTCCGGCCTTCCTCTGCCTCCCCGCTCACCGCTTCCACCTGTCAGACCGCCGTCACCTCCTGCCTGGACCATTGCAGTCGCCACCTCACTGGGCCCCCACCTCTCCCACCGTTGCTTCTCACGGTCTGCTCCCCTCATGGGCATCAGAGGAATCCTCCTAAAACCTAAGTCAGGCCACATCCCTCCCATGGCTCCATCTCACTTGGGGTAAAAGTTAAGGACCTCACTGTGGCCTGCGAGCCCCATCACCCCTCACCACCAGCACCCCTCTCTGTCCTCATCTCCTCCCATTCTTCCCCTCTCTCATTCAGCCCCAGGCACAGGGGCCTCCTTAGTCCCTCTGGAAGAGCACAGGCACAGTCCCACTTCAGGGCCTTTGCACTCACTCGTCCTTCACATAGCCATGTGGTTCCGTTCCTTCCTCCATATCCTGATGATCATAATAGTTCAGAGCATGGACTCCAAATCTCAGCTCTGCCACCTACAAGTGTCCTTGGGTGATTTCTTCACCTTTGTTTCCTCATCTGTATGATGGGTTCCTTCATAGGATAAGTGTGAAAATTCAAAGGACTGGTATTTGGAAAGTACTTAGAACAGTATAGCACCTATCAGGTGCTGCAAAAGTGTGTGATGATGAATAAAGCCTGCCACATTCTTAGGAAGAGCTTCCCTGGCCTCCCTCTCTGACACTGCAGCCTCCCACCCTCCCTGACCCCCTTTTCCTGCCTTTTTTGTGTCATCAGGAGTCCCACCATCTGACATGAAATATACTGTCTGTCTTCCCCACCTAGAAGAATGTAGCTAGCTGTGCGAGCTCTTGGCTGAATCACTAAAACTCTTTCGGCCTTATTTGCCTCATTTGCCCACAAATCGGGGAGCTTTGTCTATTTTCTTCTTGGCTGTTTCCCTAGACCAGTGCCAGGCACGTAGCAGGTGCTCAATAACTATTTGTTGAATGAATGAGTGAATGAAGATCATTATTTGTATTATTCTCCATACTGCTACTGTGACCCCTGGGGTTTCCTCTGCTCACCCCCTCCAAAGGTGAAGACCCCTCCCCCGCTGACTCCCCTCCACCCTGTGTGCCCCCGCAGAGGAAGGCGAATACTTCCTGAAGGTGCTGATCCCCAGCTACGCGGCGGGCTCCATCATTGGCAAGGGCGGGCAGACCATCGTGCAGCTGCAGAAGGAGACCGGAGCCACCATCAAGCTCTCCAAGTCCAAAGACTTCTACCCCGGTGAGCCCCGGCCCAGGTCTCTGCCCTAGGCCCCCCGCCCTTCCTCCCTTTCTCCCTCCCACCTGGGCCCTAGATGAGGGGGAAGGTCTGCCCTAAGGACAGTGACAGTGGTGGGGAGGGGGCCTCCCCTTCCCCTAAGGGGACAGAGCTGCCCCCAGCCCGAGGGGCCTGGCCGAGCAGATGGGGGTGGGGGCAGGGCAAGACAACGGGCCTGCTGCATATTCATGAGCTCATTTGCATGATGCGCTGGCAGATGTGTCTTTTCCCACACACCTGCCCCCTCTGGTCAGTTGGAGGAGCGAGGGTGGGGAGGGAGGCAGGTGTCAGGGCGTCCCTCCGGGCTTGGGGGCCAGCCAGCCATGTTCCACACACTTGCTCCCCCCTTTGGAATTCTGTCACCCCCTCTTGCCCAGTCTCACTGGTTTTCTCTGTCTCGGTGTCATTCTTTATGTGTCTCCCTCTCATTCTGTTTCTGACTTCTCGTCTCTTGCTCCCCTCTGCCTCCCTCTGTCTCTTGCCCCTCTGTCTGCCTCTCTGTCCATCTCTCTGGTTCTGTTTGGATACCCCCCATCTCTTGTCCTCTTCATCTGTCCTCTGCTTTCCCTGTCCCTCCCCTCATCTTTCCTTCTCCTTTTGTCTTCCTGTCTCTCTCCCCATCCTTTCCTTCCCTCCACCTCTCATAGTCTCACGTTTTTCCTTTCCTCCTCTCTCTCTCTGAACTCTGTTCAATCATCCATTCAACCAGTATCTACTAGCCCCCTCTCACTGAGGTCCTCCTCTGCGGGCGTCACACATTTCTTTCTGCCTCTCCCTTCCTGTGTCTCTTTTTTCCTAAGTCTCAGCTCCCTCCTGGTTTTTTCTTCCCTTCCTCCAAACCCAGTCCCTTTTCTGCCTCTCCCCCTGCTCCATCCTTCTCCCCCAACCATACATTTTCCAAGGCCCCTCCACTCTCTCTATTCCCTCCAAAGTCTCTCACCTCTCCCTATCTCCCTCCCAAGACCAATGCCCGACAAGCATCGACATCTAGGACTCCAGGGAAGGCCTCCTGAATTGCATCTTTGGTCCAGTGCTGGTTCTAGTTCATCCTTAATCCCCTTGGATTTTTTAGGTCAAACACCAGAGCTGGAGCCCAGGGTCAGTACGCACTCATTTTCTCTCTCTCTCTTTCTCTCTCTCTCTCTCTCTCTCCCTCTCTGTCTCTCTCTCTCTCCCCACCCCGTCTCTCCTCTCTCCTATCTTTCCCTCTCTCCTCCCTCTTTCTCTCTCATTCTCTCTCTGCTCTATCTTCTCTCCTCTTCTCTCTCTCTCTCTCTCCACCATCCACCCCGCCCCCAGCCTCCCATCTCACTAAGCAGCTTTGGCAAGAGGTTTAGAGAAAAATCGAGTGAACCAGGCACACCTCCTCCTTTTCTCTTCCACCCTGGCCCAGTTTTCCCCACTCCCCTGTAGCCCACAAGATATGGATAAGACCTCTGTTCGGAATGTTCCTCCGAGGACACTTGGTTCCTTGCTCCTGGATCACATTCTGTGCCACGAGACATGTCGTCCCCTCCCAGCCCATTGACACACCCCACAGGCCAGGCAGCTGGGAAACCCAGAAGGCGGGACAGACATTGGTCCTACCAGGTCAAACAGTATTCAGACAAGCAACAGGAGCCAGCGTCTCTCCTCAGCCCCTGGACATGTGGTCAGCCCCCATCCCCACTCCTGGCGTGCAACTTCCAGATCATACAGCATGAGCCGGCTGCTGACTCAGAGAAGCAGGACACAGCCCCCTACATCCTAGTCCTACATCCCACAGGAATGTAGGAAAATGGAAAAGCTACTGCAGGAGACAAAAAACACTTCCCTCCACTCCTGGCGTGACACCCTGTCATTCATTCATTCACTCATTCATTCAACACACATTCTCTGAGCACTTCCTCTATGCCAGCCCGGTGCCAGACAGAAATGGGGACAATAGCAGTGGCTGAAATGTCCCAGCCTTGCTTCCTTGGTTCTCACATCCCAGTCAGGGAAGCAGACGTCACACCAGTGATGACCCAGAGTGGTCAGGGCTGGGACAGGAAGTCCAGAGGTTGGTAGTTGGAGCCCAAGTGGCACAAAGGACCCAGCCCAGGGAGGTCAGGAAGAGCTTCCTGGAAGAGACGACCAGAGCAGTAGGGAAGGATGAGCGAGGTAAAGTGCAGGGAAGTGTGCCCAGGAAGACAAAATGGCATACTCGGAGGCTGCTGAGCAGTTTGGTCAATGTAGCCAAAGCAGACAGAACATGTGAGAAATGACAGTGGAGAAACTGAAAGGGCACTCTGGGCCTAGTAGGTTAGCATGCACACACACTCACACTCTCACATGCACACTCACACACAGTCTCACACGCTCACACTCACACACGCTGACACGCACACTGTCATGCTCACACACACTCATTCACACTCACACCCTCACACCCACACACACGCTTACACACAGTCACACACACTGTCACACATTGTCACACATGCTTACACACACTCACACTCATTCACACACATCCCACTCACACACACGCTTACACACACATTGTCACACGTGCTCTCACACTCATTCACACTCACACACACCCCACTCACACACATGCTCCCACACACACACACTCTCACACACACACACACACACAGCACTTGGGTGTCTACTACATGAAATAAAAACCTACCTGGCACTTAACTCCAAGAGAAGGGCAGAACACACAACCTCCCCTCCTTTGTGGTGGATCCCAAAGCCCTAGATTCAATCCATCCAGGTCATACATGGAGCAACTGAAATGCAGAAAAAGGCAAGCACCTGCGCAAGGGCCACACAGACTCCCTTGCGTCAGCCCAGATCCACCCTGAGGATTCTATTTTTTTTTTTTTTTTTTTTTGAGACGGAGTCTTGCTCTGTCACCAGGCTGGAGTGCAGTGGCGTGATCTCGGCTCACTGCAACCCCTGCCTCCTGGGTCCAAGCGAGTCCCCTGCCTCAGCCTCCCGAGTAGCTGGGACTACAGGCATGTGCCACTATGCCCAACTAATTTTTTTATTTTTATGTTTTTGTATTTTAGTAGAGACAGGGTTTCACCATATTGGCCAGGATGGTCTTGATCTCCTGACCTCGCGATCCACCCGCCTCGGCCTCCCAAAGTGCTAGGCTTGAGCCACCGCGACCGGCCACCCTAGGGATTCTAAAACACCGTCTGATGTTGAACATCTGCTTGAAGCTTTATACCCTAACTGCTGAAGAAAAGCACAGACACACACACACTTTTTATTTTGTATTTATTTATTTATATTGAGGCAGGGTCTTCCTCTGTTACCCAGGCTGGAGTGCAGTGGCACGATCGTGGCTCGCTGCAACCTCAACCTCCTGGGCTCAGGTGATTCTCCCACCTCAGCCTCCTGAGTAACTGGAACTACAGGTGTGCACCACCAGGCCCAGCTACTTTTTTTTTTTTTTTTAGACAGAGATTCGCTGTTGTTGCCCAGGCTGGAGTGCAGTGGTGAGATCTCGGCTCACTGCAACCTCCGCCTCCCAGGTTCAAGCGATTCTCCTGTCTCAGCCTCCCGAGTAGCTGGGATCACAGGCGTCCATTACCATGCCCAGCTAATTTTTTGTATTTTCAGTAGAGACAGGGTTTCACCATGTTAGCAGGCTGGTCTCGGACTCCAGACCTCAGGTGATCCACCCGCCTCGGCCTCCCAAAGTGCTGGGATTACAGGCGTGAGCCACTGCACCTGGCCTGTATATTTTTTTTTGTAGAGATGGGGTCTCGCTATATTGCCCAGGCTGAACTCCTGAGCTCAAGCCCTCCATCCACCTTGGCCTCCTAAAGTGATGGGATTGCAGGCATGAGCCACTGTGTCCCACCACACACACTTCAAAAAACATTTTTATAGTTTTATAACATACCTCTATCAACGTGCATACTCTTGAATGACTACTTAATACATTCATATTCTTTTTAATATCAAAAATACAAAAATAAAACTGTCATCATTTTATGCCTCCCTCCAAGATACACACATAGAGCTGATCACTCCATGCACCCCAAATTTAGCAGAATGCACAGACTCTGAAGCCAGACACCTGGGTTCAAATCTCTGAACATCCACTACCATCTAAGAGAACTTGAACACATCTTGAGCCCTCTCTGTGCCTCGGCGTCCTTAGCAGGGAATCAGGGACAATAATAATATTGCCTACTTCATATATTAAGTGAACACGTATGTATAAAGTGCTTTGGTCAGGTGCGATGGCTCACATCTGTAATCCCAGCACTTTGGGAGACCAAGGCGGGTGGATCACTTGAGGCCAGACTGGCCAGCATGGTGAAATCCCATCTCTACAAAAAATGCAAAACTTAGACGGGCGTGGTGGCACACGCCTGTAATCCCAGCTACTCAGGAGGCTTAGGCATGAGAATCACTTGAACTGGGAGGCAGAGGTTGCCGTGATCTGAGATCGCACCGCTGCACTCCAGCCTGGGCGACAGAATGAGACTCTTGTCTCAGGGAAAAAAAAAAAAAGTGCTTAGAATGGTGCCTGAGGCTTGGGTTGTATAAGGGTCAGCTATTATTAGACACTCTTGTGGGGCTTAACCAACCTCCCCAAAAGCCCCTGTGGGCCCCCTTGTAAAAACTACAAGGGGATGGAAGGTCAAAGACTTCCTGAGTTGGAAGGAAGCTTCACAGAGAGGCAAACCCTCGGCCAGCTCTTCCTGGGGCATCCACCTCCCCCTACCCCGCCCCCCAGTTCCCACCCCAACCCACACCCTTTCCTATTTACACCAGACGGAGGCAGACTGCAGGCTGACTCACCCTTGGCTCAGACCAAGCCATTGTTCTGGGGTGGGGAAGGGGGGGTAGTAAGAGTGAGGAACATGGCCCAAAGCGGGTGGGGGATGTCAGCTACACAAGTGACCCACAGACAGTGACGCCCAGACACATGGCGAGGCTGGCCTGCCAGACTGGGAAATGGCAATTGAGGAGTCAGGGTCGTGTCACCAGCGTGCTGCACTGAAGTGCTTGCTGGACACTGACACACACCCCAGGTATCCCAGACACACAGGTACACAGCCACACGGTGCCTGGTGCACACTCAAGACACTTTTTGTTTTTTTTCTTTTTTTTGTTTTTTTTTTGAGACGGAGTCCCGCTCTGCCGCCAGGCTGGAGTGCAGTAGCATGATCTCGGCTCACTGCAACCTCCGCCTCCCAGGTTCAAGCGATTCTCCTGTCTCAGCCTCCCGTGTAGCTGGGACTACAGGTGCGTGCCACCACGCCCAGCTAATTCTTGTATTTTTAGTAGAAACAGGGTTTCACCATGTTGCCCAGGATGGTCTCGATCTCTTGACCTCATGATCTGCCCACCTCGGCCTCCCAAAGTGCTGGGGTTTCAAGCGTGAGCCACCGCACCCGGCCACACTCAAGACCTTTTACATTCTCAGGGGCAGAATCCCCTTCAAAGAGAGAGAGACACACTCACACTCCACGCATCACACACATCCCGGCTCACCCAGGCACGCACATTCTCACACTGACCAGTCAAGTTTTCTTTGTCTCGCTGTAATTCACATGTTCAGACACACACATACACAAACACACCAGTCATCCAAAAAGTCCTACAAACTGACACCTGAGTCTACCTGTCTGTCTCTCCTTCTCAGGTTCACACACACTGGTCATAGGGTCTTTCCTGTCTCCTGTACATATGTGTATATTCACACTGGTCATCCAAATAGTCTCAGAAACATCCAGAAGTGTGTCTCTCTTTCACTTTCACAAACACACGTACACACACAAATGCAGACACATACACTGCCATCCAGTCTCAAAGTGGTATATATTCATTGTGTAGCCTCTATCCCACTTTGTGAGATTCTTTTGTTTCTTTCTCTCAAACTCTCACATACACTCAGCTCTGTCTCACAAAGAGTCTACATAACCTTCATCATCAAAGCGACACCAAAGTCTGTCCCACACACAAGGGCACGCACGAACATCTTCACCGGAATCACTGTGTCACATAGTCTGTTCATAAGGCAGTCTCTGCACTTTATCTTCTACAAACACAGATTAGGATCATCTAGCTAGTCCTGCTCAAGTACACACACACACACACACACACACACACACACACACACCACTCACCAGCCTCGCAGACACACACACTGGTCACAGTGTCACCCAGAATCTCTTTCACACACATATCCCAATACCCCCCAGTTTCTCTCTCCCCCGTGCCCCCACTCCCTAACACTCTCATGCAGAAATGAGAAGGATGCCCAGGACAGAGCCACAGCCAGTATCTGGAGAATCTCCAGGAAAGACCCTCCCTCCCCAGTTCCTTGGTCCTCACTCCTCCATGAGCAGTCTTTGACCCACCCTGCTCTCCCCTGTCCACACCCCTGCCCTCCCCCACCCCTCAGCCCTCCATCTGGTGGGTTCAGACAGGCACTCAGGCCTCTCCTCTGCCTCCCCCATCCCCCAGCTCTTCCCCCATCCTCTCCAAAAAGCCCAGAGGCCAACGCTGCAGGCTTTCAGGGGTTGCCATGACAACAGGGCCTCGTCCCTCGTCCCCCTGGGGGTGGGCTGAGGACCCGGCCAGCCAGACCGATAAGGGGGTTCCAGTTACTGTGGCAACCGTTGCAGGCCTGAGCTCTCTGCTTCCAGAAGGGGAGGGGGGCGGAGTGAGTGAATGGTTGCCAAAGCAACCAGGGAACCGCAAGAACTGAGAAGAGGCAGCTGAGCCCTGTCTCCCCTGCCCAGGGCTGCTGTGGGCATCGCAAAACATTTAAGCATCATTCTTCCATCCCTAGAGGTTGTTTTAGGGGAGGGAGATGAAGTGCAGATTATAAAACAGGATGGCACTCATTCTCCCAGCTGCCCATCATGGCCTGCCAGCCCATGCCCGCTCCCCCAGGCTCACCGTGTGATCAGTCAGGTCCACTCTCTGGACCTCAGCTTGCCTCTTCCATTAAATGGGGCCTGTCTCTCAGGAATGTTCCCATTCCTGTCTCATGAGTGTGCCCTCTCTCTCCCTTGCTCAACAGGAACCACAGAGCGGGTATGCCTAGTACAGGGCACGGCAGAGGCCTTGAATGCTGTGCACAGCTTTATTGCCGAGAAGGTCCGAGAAATCCCACAAGCGATGACCAAGCCTGAGGTGGTCAACATCCTTCAACCCCAAACCACGATGAACCCCGACAGAGCCAAGCAGGTCAGCTGGGGCAGAGACTGGGTTGCTGTAAAGCTGTTGACATTCACAAAGAAACATTCCTCCCACATCACTGCTTACTGTGAGGTTCAATGGGACAAAGCTGATAAAAATCTCATCAGTCAAAGACCACATGGTAGTGGTTAGTATTATTTTTAGGGAGTCAGCTCTAATAGAATAGAAAGGACTCCAGAACATTTAGAGTGGGCTTGATTCAGAGAGGGAGTGAAGGTCTGGGAGAATGTGGCATGATTCCCTATTGTTCGATCCTTTCTTCCTAGGATTCTCTAGTTCCTCTTCTCTCTTCCACCTCATCCCATTGTCTCTCTGAACGACCTGCCTCCCACTTCCTGCTATCACCGGAAGTGACCTCAGTGACAGTTCAGCCACATCCAGAAGAGTTTACAAATGGCCTCTCATCCTCCTTCCCTCCATAATTAACGTATGGGGGTAGAGGTGGTGTTTCATTAGCGAGAGAAGAGGTGGGTCCCTCTCCTACACAGCCCTCTCCAGGAAGGAATGGAAGGGGGAAGGCAGCGCCCCTCCGTTGCCTCAGTTACGGGGAAGCAGTGGCATAGGGGCGTGGCAGGGAGTGGCCAATCGCTTCCCGGGCCTGTCCGGTTGCCATGACGACGGCGCTCACGGGGCAGGTGGGCTCCCCTCAAAGCTGCAGGCAGCGCTGTCCGGACCCGGAAGTGCGTAAGGGAACGGAAACGCGGGGCTGGCTCCCGTTTTCTCTCCCGTCCCCACTCCCCTATGCATGCGTACTCCGTGCAATGGGGCGAGAACCCCTGGGCTGACGGGAGGGCCCCTTGCGAGGGCTCGTTAACGTCTACCTAGAGGCAAAGACAGGAGAGAGGGAGTCCGTAAAATCTGGAATTCTTGGGTCCTGTCGTTGCCCTGAGGTGGGGCAGAGCACAGGCCTGAGTTCCCCTAAGCTCATGGGGAAATGGTGGGCGGAGAAGCCTGGAGGAGAGCTGCAGGGTGGAGCGCTCCCAAAAAAGACCGCAGGGCTTGGGGCGTGTAGCGCGGACGCTGTCCTTGGTGCTGAAGCTCCTCGCTCCCCGCCAGGTTTCTCCCGAATCCCTTCCCACCAGCAGCGCACAAGTTATTCACAGTTTACAGGGAGGCGAGGGCATTGCCTCTTCCCTCCGCCTTGGTCGTGGCCACAAGGGACTCAGGGTTCATCAGGAGTTTGTGAATGTTGCAAGGAAAATGGGGTCAGCACCATCTGTGCCTGAGCCTTCTACCCCCTCCCCCTAATCCACAGGAGCTCTGAGACAGTGGAGTCGAAAGGTTATAGAACCAGGATTTATTCCCTGCCTTATTACTCGAGTGTTCCAAAGACTGAGGGAGATCATAGCTGAAAACTCAGGCTCTGGGCTCTGTTGTTTAGTTGAATCCTTCTCCGTACAGTACTTACGTCCTATGTGACCTTGAGCAAGTGACTTTGATTTCTCCAATCCTCATTTTTCTCACCTGTAAAATGAGATTCATTATGATGCCTCCTTAAGGGTGATGGTTAGTGTTCGTTGATGTTTGAAAAGCACATAGCTTATGTGTATAATGCATAGAAAGTTAGCCCCAAAAATGTTCTCTGTTGTTATTATGGGATTTTTGAGTCAGGAAACAGGTCTACTTCTTTTCTGCCTTGGACTTGCAGTGTTACTCAGAGCCCCTTTCCTTCTGTAGACCTCAGTTTCTCTTTTATTACAGTGCAGCAGCTGGGCCAAACCAGGGATTATAAATTAAATAACTAAAGTATTGAAAAAGGTAACAAAAGCCTTGAGGGTTGTTGCTCTCTGGAGAGGGTATGCCATCTTTAAAGGGAGAAGCTGCCACTCAAATCCACCGAATTATTGCACTTTGGGAACATGAACATAGTGCTACCACATCTTCCAAATTTTTCAAAAGAAGCCATAAATTTTTTAGATCAACTGACTTTAAAATGCTTTATTATTATTATTATTTAATATATATTAGTCTGAGGCAGAGTCACACTCTGTCACCCAGGCTGGAGTGCAGTGGTATGATCTAGGCTCACTGGAGCCTCGACATCCCAGGCTCAAGCGATCCTCCCACCTCAGCCCACTGAATAGCTGGGACTACAGGTGAACACGACCACGCCTGGCTAATTTTTTTTTCTTTTCTTTTTTTTTTTTTTGAAACGGAGTTTTGCTCTTGTTGCCCAGGATGGAGTACAATGGCCTGGTCTCAGCTCACTGCAACCTACAACTCCCGGGTTCAAGTGATTCTCCTGCCTTGGCCTCCCAAGTAGCTGGGATTACAGGCACCTGTTACCATGCCTGGCTAATTTTTTGTATTTTTAGTAGAGATGGGGTTTCACCATGTTGGCCAGGCCAGTCTCGAATTCCTGACCTCAGGTGATCTGCCTTCCTTGGCCTCCCAAAGTGCTGGGATTACAGGCATGAGACACTGCGCCCGGCCCCTGGCTAATTTTTGTATTTTTTGTAGAGACAGGATTTCACCATGTTGCGGGCTGTTCTCTAACTCCTGGACTCAAGCAATCCACCCGCCTCAGCTCCCCAAAGTGCTGGGATTACAGGCGTGAGCCATTGCGCCAGGCCAACTCTGCTTTTAAAACACTATGAAGGTCAAAAAAACATGTATGGCTGTAGGCTGACTGGGGCCTGAGGATCACCAGATTGCCACTTCTGGGTTATACCAGTGGCTCTCACCCCTAGCTGATATCTGAGTCATCTGGGTAGCTTAAAATGCAGATTCATGGGTCCTGTCCAGAACCACTGAATCAATATTTCTGGTAAGGCTTAGGAATCTGAGCATAAACTCTGGCCCGGGATCAGATCCTGACTCTACTGCTCATTACCTGTGAAAGAACTTGTGCAAGTTCTTTCTTTGTGCCTCCATTTCCCAATCTAGAAAATGGGGTAATAATAACACCTATCTTAGGGTTGTGGTGGAACCTAGATAAGTTACTCTATTAAACTGTTAGCTGTTGATGCTGCTTTTGTTGTTATTGTTGGTGGTGGTAGTAGTAGTATTTGCAAATTTCCATGGGCTTGCAAATCACTGGGGCAGATGGTCTCTGGTCCTTCTGGCTCTAAAACTTCAACAGTTCTATGGCTCTGTGATTCCAAGATTCTAAGCATGTATTATCTAAGATTCTACTGTTCTAATGTCCTGGGATTCCAAGATTCTATGAGTCTGCATCTGCAGATCTTTCTAAGATGCTGTAGTTCTACAATTCAGGGTCTATCATGAAGGCAGCTGCCATTGGCTTAGCGCTTCCCATGTGCCAGGCACTGGGCATCACTTTAGTCATTGAATGTTTCCCATAACAGGCCGGGAGCAGTGGCTCATGCCTGTAATTCCAACACTTTGAAAGGCCGAGGTGGGTGGATCACCTGAGGTCAGGAGTTCGAGACCAGCGTGGCCAACATGGCAAAACCCCATCTCTACTAAAAATACAAAAAAATTAGCCGGGCATGGTGGTGCACACCTGTAGTCTCAGCTATTCAGGAGGCTGAGGCAGAAGAATCGCTTGAACCTGGGAGGCGGAGGCTGCAGTGAGCCGAGATCGCGCCACTGCACTCCAACCTGGGTGACAGAGCAAGACTGTAAAAAAAAAAAAAAAAAGAATGTTTCCAATAATAATATAGGGTAGGTGTGGTTATGCTAATACTGGAGATGAGAAAGGTAAGGCACAGAGAGGTGAAGGCATTTGCCTAAGGTCACACAGTTACTAAAGAATAAACTAGGAGGCTGGACGTAGTGGCTCATGCCTGTAATCTCAGCACCTTGGGAAGCCGAGGTGGGCGGATTACTTGAGGCCAGGAGTTCAAGACCAGCCTGGCCAACATGGTGAAACCCCATCTCTACTAAAAATACAAAAATCAGCCAGACATGGTGGCAGGCGCCTGTAATCCCAGCTACCCCAGCGGCTGAGGCAGGAGAATCACTTGAACCTGAGAGGCAGAGGTTGCAGTGAGGCAAGATCGCACCACTGCACTCCAGCCTGGCTGACAGAGCAAGACTTTGTCTCAAAAAAAAAAAAAAAAAAACAACCTACGATTTGGACCTTGCTGTGTTGTAGAAACAGCAACCCTGCTGACTGAGTGACTCCAGAGAGCAGGCTTCCAGTGTCTCACTGAATATTTGCACAAATCGTATGGATCGGGAATAGTATGCCCATTTTACAGATGTGGAAAAAGAGGCTCTGAGAAGTAAAGGGACTTTCACAGGCCACCAGCTAGGAGGTGGAAGAGGTAGAAATTTTCTTAAAACCTAACTTTATTTTTCCCACATGATTAACCCCTTGTCCTCAAACCTTTTCTTGGCCAATCTATCCTTCCTTCACTGCTCTAAAATACTGCATCACAGACTAAATACCACTCCTGGTTGTGGTTGTGAACATGCTGTTCCATCTTCTTGATTTGTCAGGCTGTTTGTTTTTCCTGGTGTTTTTTTTTTTTTTTTTTTGAAATAACAGCTCTGTTGAGCTATAATTCACATACTGTAAGCTTTACTGTTTAGAAGTGTACAGTTTAGTAGTTTTGTTGTATGTTCACAGAGTCGTACATCAGTTACCATCTAATTCCAGAACATTTTCATCATGCCAAAAAGAAACCTTGTGCCCATGAGCAGTCACTCACCATTCCCCCAGATCCCAGTCTCAACGTCTTCCAGCCACTAATCTACTTTTGGTCTCTGTGGACTTGCCTATTCTGGATCTTTTATATAAACAGAATCATATAATATATGGTCTTTTGTGTCTAGCTTTTTTCACTTGATGTAATACTTTCGAGGTTTATCTATAGTTTAGCATGTGTCAAAACTTTACTCCTTTTTATAGACAAATAATGTTTCATTGTATGCATAGACCACATTTTGCTTGTCTGTTCATCAGTTGATAGACATTTGGGTTGTTTCTCCTTTTTAGCTATGATGAGTAATGCTTCTGAACATTCATGTACAAGTCTTTTTGTAGATATATATTTCCAGCTCTCGGGTAGATACCTAGGGTGGAATTGTTGGGACATATGATAAATCTATGTTCAACTTTTTGAAGAACTGCCAGACTGGTTTCCATAATAGCTGTACCGCAGATGTGGGATTTAAATCCAGCTCCATCCATGGGGATAACAATGACAATAATCATTTCTTTTTCTTTTCTTTTCTTTTTTCTTTTTTTTTTTTTTTTTGAGACAGAGTCTCCCTCCGTCCCCCAGGCTGGAGTGCAATGGCGCAATCTCGGCTCACTGCAAGCTCCCCCTCCCGGGTTCACGCCATTCTCCTGCCTCAGCCTCCCGAGTAGCTGGGACTACAGGCACCCGCCACCACACCTGGCTAATTTTTTTGTATTTTTAGTAGAGACGGGGTTTCACCGTGTTAGCCAGAATGGTCTTGATCTCCTGACCCCGTGATCCGCCCACCTTGGCCTCCCAAAGTTCTGGGATTACAGGCATGAGCCCCCACGCCCGGCTGACAATAATCATTTCTTGAGTGCTTCTATGGCTTATATTAATTGCACACATACATGATGCCCTATGCTTGGCACATAGTAGGTGCTCAGCACATGTCACTTATTTGAATGAATAGGTGATGACTTCACCCACAGGGCCAAGCAGAAACATAGGGACTGAGGTGTAATCTGCCAATGGTAGCAGTTGTGAGTCACCTGAAGGGCACTCACTCTCAGTTCCAGCTACTTGTGGTCATGCTTGGATTTCAAGCTCACCATTACATGCATAAGCTCAATTAAGCTTCATCATAGTCCTATGAGGAGGTCTGAATATCCTTGTTTTACAGATGAGAAAACTGAGTCTCAAAGAGGTTAGGTCCCTTGCCCAGCATCAGACAGGGAGCCAGGATTTAAACCCAAGCAGGTGACTCCAGAGTCCAAGGCAGCTTTTCAGGGATTTGTATGCACAGACTGCAAATGGGTAGCCTGGCTAGTACATTGCATTGTTTCTACTACACAAATCTTAGACATTTTTAAGAGATTGCCAACATTTAAAAACTAGGATGCTGGCCAGGTGTGGTGGCTCAGGCCTGTAATCCCAGTACTTTGGGAGGCTGAGACAGGCGGATCACGAGGTCAGGAGTTCAAAACGAGCCTGGCTAACATGTTAAAACCCCATCGCTACTAAAAATACAAAAATTAGCCGGGCGTGGTGGTGGGTGCCTGTAATCCTAGCTACTCGGGAGGCTGAGGCAGGAGAATCGCTTGAAACTGGAAGACGGAGGTTGCAGTGAGCTGAGATTGCGCCACTGCACTCTAGCCTGGGCAAAAGAGCGAAACTCCGTCTCAAAAAAAAGAAAAAAAAAAAACTAGGGTGCTTCACATTTTACAAATCAGCATTTCCAACTCATCTGGAAAATGTCCATCAGGCTTAGTTTGGCTGCCCAATTGCATAGTACTCTACCACTCCCCACCCCCACCAGGTAAGATACACCTGCTGCCTCCACCCATTCGCCTTCCTGCTTGGGCCTGTGGGCGTGTCATCCTTCAGTCTTCATCCGTCTATTTATTCGCTCACCCTTTGCTGAGTATCTACTGTGTTCCAGGCACTTTTCTAGGCGCTGAGAACCCAGCAGTAATAATACAGGCAAAAATCTCTAACCTCGTGGATTTGAAATTCTTTTACAGAGAAACACAAAATAAACAAGGAGATAAGTAAAATATAGAGGATGTTAGAGAGTGAAAAATACTATGAAGAAAAATAAAGCGGAGAAGAGGAAAAGGGAATGTTAGGGCATAGATTTTTTTCCTTTTTATTTTGAAAATGTTTAAGGAATAGTCCCCATACACTGCACTTAGATTCACCAGTTGTTAACATTTGTGCATGCATGAACACATGTGCATGCATGTGTGTACATGCGCGTGCGCACACACAATTTTTGTTGTGATTTTTTTTTTTTTTTTTTTAGACGGAGTCTTGCTCACTCACCAGGCTGGAATGCAGTGGTGCGATGATCTCGGCTCGCTGCAACCTCCGCCTCCCAGGTTCAAGCAATTCTCCTGTCTCAGCCTCCCAAGTAGCTGGAACTACAGGCGTGTGCCACCACGCCTGGCTAATTTTTGTATTTTTCATAGAAATGGGGTTTCACCATGTTAGCCAGGATGGTCTCGATCTCCTGACCTCGTGATCCGCCCGCCTTGGCCTCCCAAAGCGCTGGGATTACAGGCGTGAGCCACCGTGCCTGGCTGACCTCATGACTCTTTACTCCTAAGTACTTTAACATGTATCTTCCAAGGACAATCTCCTACATTATTGTATTACTGTCAACACACCTAAAAACAAAAACAAACAAACAAAAATGCTAATTCTATACTATTGTCTCATTGGAAAGTCCATATTCAAATTGCCCTAAAATATCTTTTATAGCTATAGAGGATTTTTCAATCTGAGATTCAGTCAACATTCGTGCTTTGCATTTGATTGTTACACCTCATTAGTCTCTTTTACTCTAGAATAAATGAAGATTCCTTTTTCTTGTTCACAAGGTCTGGCTCGATCACCCAGACTGGAGTGTAGTGATGCCATTTTGGCTCACTTCAACCTCCACCTCTTGGGCTCAAGCCATCCTCCCTTCTCAGACTCCCAAGTAGCTGGGACTACAGGCATGCACCACCACACTCAGTTAATTTTTGTACTTTTTGTAGAAATGAGGTTTTGCCATGTTGTCCAGGCTGTACAACTTGTGAGCTCAAGCGATCTGCCCACCTCAGCGTCCCAAAGTGCTGGGATTACAGGCATGAGCCACCATGCCTGGCCTTTTTTTTTTTTTTTTTTTAGATGGAGTCTCACTCTGTCATTCAGGCTGGAGGGCAGTGGCATGATCTCGGCTCACTTGAGAATCACTTGAACCCAGGAGGTGGAGGTTGCATTGAGCTGAGATGATGCCACTGCACCATAGCCTGGGTGACAGAGCAAGACTGTGTCTCAAAAAAAAAAAAAATAATAATAATAATAATAAAGTCAGGGAGACCAACAGGGAATAGAGCATGGGGAGCTCTGTCACAGCAACACCCCCTTTCTCCTACAAATATTTTGTCATGTTCACTTGACTCTCTGAAATACTATTCATATTCATATATACACATATAGACATATCTACACCCGTAAGACTTTTTGACAGCTTTATTGAGATATAATTCACATACAACTCACCCTTTTAAGGTACACGGCTCTAGGCCCAGTATGGGGGCTCATGCCTGTAATCCCAGCACTTTAGGAGGCCGAGGCCGGAGGATCACTTGAGCCCAGAAGTACAAGGCTGCAGTGAGCTCTGATCACACCACTGCACTCCAGCCTGGGTATCAGAGCAAGACCCTATTTAAAAAAAGAGAAACATAAAATACATGATAAATAAAGTGTACAGTTCATTGGCTTTTATTATAGTCACATAGTTGTACACCTATTGCCACAATCCATTTTCAAACATTTGCACTGCCTTCAAAATAAATCCTTTTTTTTTTCTTTCTTTCTTTTTTTAGAGGCAGGGTCTTGCACTGTCACCCAGGCTGGAGTGTAGTGGCACCTGTTATAGCTCACTGCAGCCTCAAACTCCTGGGCTCAAGTGATCCCTTAGACTCCTGAGTAGCTGAGACGACAGGTGCACACCACTGCATCCAGCTAATTTATTTTTATTTTTTGTAGAGATGAGGTTTCACCATCTTGCCCAGGTTGATCTCTAATTCCTGGGCTCAAGCAGTCTCTGGCCTCTGCCTCCCAAAGTGCTGGATTACAGGCATAAGCCACCGAGCCTGGCCTCCAAAAGAAATCTTGATCATCTTAGCTATGACCCCTCGATCTCCCACCTCAGCTCACCCTCTCCCTAACCCCAAGCCACCACAAATCTACTTTCTGTGTCTATAGATTTGCCTATTCTGGACATTTCTGTAAAAGGAATCACACAGTATATGGTCAACCATCAACACTTTCTAATTCCAGAAAGTATCTATTACCCAAAAGAAATCCTATGCCTGTAGGCAGTTACCCCCAATCCCCTTCCTCCCATTCCCTGGCAACCACTAATCTACCTTTTTGGCTCTGTGGATCTGCATATTCTGGACATTTATGTAAATGAACTCAGCTGTGGTCTTTTGTAACTGGCTTCTTTCACTTAGCATAATTTTTTCTAGATTCATCCACGCTATAGCATGTATCAGTACTTTGTTCATTCAACGTATTGCCAAGTAATATTCCATTGTATGGATATACCATGTTTTATTTATCCCACGAGACTTTTTTAAATAAAGAAGAAATAAAAGGAAGGTGATTTGTTATAAAACAAGATGAATTTTATTTTTTGCTTCTTTGTTGTTGTTTTTGTTTTTTGTTTTGTTTTGTTTTTGAAACAGGGTCTGCTCTGTTGCCCAGGCTGGAGTACAGTGGCACAATCACAGCTCACTGCAGCCTCAACCTCCTGGGCTCAAGTGATCCTCCCACCTCAGCCTCCCAAGTAGCTGGGACCACAGGCAGATGCCACCACACCTGGCTATTTTTTGTATTTTTACTAGAGACAGGTTTTCATCATGATGCCCAGGCTGGTCTTGAACTCCTGGGCTCAAGTGATTCACCCTGCCTCAGCTTCCCAAAGTGCCGGGATTACAGGTGTGAGTCACTGCACCCAGCCAAGGTGAATTTTAATATGTAAATAAATAGTCAGGACCACAATAGAAGGAATAATGAATTAGGCAGCTGCTCACACCTAAGCATAGCTAAGTGAGACAACTACATATGTAAAGTGATCCAGAGTATAATACTGGAGACTTAAATAATACAAATGCTGTTGCTACTGACGCCAGGTTTTCTAAAATGATGAAAACTTTTAGTGAAGTGCAGAGCAAAACAAAGCACAATCTGCTCTTGATTTACTGGTAGTTGCGTTCCTGGAAATTTCAGTAGCTCTTAAAACCATGCAAACAATACTTGGTACTTACATGTGTCATGGGGTTGGGCTCTGAGCTCAGAGATTTTTTTTATTTTGTTATTTTTATTTACTTATTTATTTTGGGGGGGATAGGGTCTCACTGTGTCAGTTGGGTTCTGGGCTCAGAGACTTTTTTTTTTTTTTGAGTCAGGGTTTCACTGTGTTGCCCAGGTTGAAGTGCAGTGGCACAATTACAGCTCACTGTAGCCTATACCTCCCAGGCTCAAGTGATCCTCCCACCTTAGCCTCCTGAGTAGCTGGGACTACAGGCATGTGCCACCAGGCCAGCTAATGTTTTTAATTTTTTTTTTGTAGAGATGGGGTCATGCCATGTTACCCAGGCAGGTCTACAACTCCTGGGCTCAAGTGATCCTCCCACCTTGGCCTCCCGAGGTGCTGGGATTACAGGCGTGAGCCACCGTGCCCAGACGTGGGCTCAGAGATTTAAAAACAGGCTCTTCATCAGCATGAATGTCCAACAGGACATTCAAAAGTAGTCATATAGTGTCTGGGTGCGGTGGCTCACACCTGTAATCCCAGCACTTTGGGAGGCTGAGGTGGCTGGATCACTTGAGGCCAGGAGTTCGAGACTGGCCTGGCCAACATGGTGAAACCCTGTCTCTACTAAAAATACAAAAAAATTAGCTGGGCATGGTGGTGGGCGCCTGTAATCCCAGCTACTAGGGAGGCTGAGGTGGCAGAATCCCTTGAACCCAGGAGGTGGAGATTGCAGTGAGCCGAGATCGCACCACTGTGTACCAGCCTGGGTGACACAGTGAGACTCCGTCTCAAAAAAAAAAAAAAAAAAGTAGACATATAGGGCCTGGGACAGCTCTTTCTTGTGAGGGACTGACTCTCCATTGTGGGGTACAGACACCTATGGTCCTCCCCACTGACAGTCCACATCTTCCCCCAGTCCTTGCAACAACCAAAACCACCACCCCCACAAATTTCTCAGACACCCCCAGGGTTTAAGGGGACATGGGAAGGATTTTTGAGAGGGAGGAATTTATGTGTAGAAATGCTCTCGGAGGTGCAAAAGGACATGACTGGTTTTGAAATGTCTCCACAGGAATTAAGATTGATCAGACTTGCAGATGCTTGGACAAATGGGTGGTTGAAGGATGGCTGCTCTGCAACTGAGAAAGGAGAGGTCACCAGATTCAAATGACCAACTTCTTCATCCTGGAGAGTTCCCGTCCCAGGAATTAGAAGGAGATTGAAATCTAGATTCTTGGGTTCCCGATCCATTGTGTGACATCCAAGACATCCACTTACGTCTGCCTTCTCAGACAAAAGCCTTCATGTTATCTTCATTTTACAGACAGGACAACTAGATTAGTCTGCTAGGGCTGCCATAACAAAGTGCCAGAGACTGGGTGGTCTAAACAACAGGTATTTATATCTCATGATTCTGGAGGCCAGAAGTCCAAGATCAAGGTGTCAGCAGGGTTGGTTTCTTCTGAGGCCTCTCTCCTAGACCTTCTTCTCCCTGTGTCTTCACACAGTCTTCCCTCTGTGTGCATCTGTGTCCTAATCTCCTCTGCTTATAAGGACACCAGTCAGTAAATTAGGGCCCGCCCTAATGACCCCATTTTACCTTAATTATCTCTTTAAAGACCCTCTCTCCAAATATAGTCAAATTCTAAAGTACTGGAAGTTACGCCTTCAACATATGAATTTGAAGGGGACACAGTGTCAGCCCATAACAACAGAGAGTTCAACGAGAAGACCATGTCTAGGGGAGCACAATGGATCAGGAACCCAAGAGCCTAGATTTCAGCTCCGTCACTAACTGGGGAACCTTAGGACAAGTCCTTTCACCTCTTGGGCCTCAAGAGGCTCATCTGTAAAGTAAGGCTTAATGAAGGCTTTTCCAGGGCTGGAAGTCAGAGTACGTAACACTAGAAGGCATGGGTGGGCCATTGTGCAAGCTTGGAGTGAGATCCTGGAGGGCCCCATTGGATTAGCCATTAAGCTTTTAGATGCTGGACGCAGAGGAAGTACTAAGAGTCCCAGGTACATGGGACAGGGTGGTTGAGGGGCTACTGAGGGGACCTCAAATACTGGCTATTCATTAACCAACCATTGTGGATATATTTCAATTTTTTTAAAAAAAATTTTAATGTTAGAGGCAAGATCTCGCTATGTTGCCCAGGCTGGTCTCAAACTCCTGGGCTCAAGTTATCCTCCCACCTCAGCCTGTCAAAGTGCTGGGATTACAGGCCTGAGCCATTGCACCTGACCTGAAATATTTCAATATTTTTAACAACCAGTTGGACCATACTGGTGCATATCAAAAGGCCATGCTGGGCCTGATTTTGGATGCTGGAGAGGAGGGGTAGGGAATGACCTGGGGCGTCTCAGTCTCCAGCCACCGTAAAGACCCTCCCTTCGCCAGTTTGGTGGCTCAAATCTGTAATTCCAACACTTTAGGAGGCTAAGGCAGGAGATCCCTTGAGGCCAAGAGTTCAAGACCAGCCTGGGCAACATCGCAAGGCCCCATCTCTACTAATATAGATAGACAAAATTATATATATATATATATATATTATTTTATTTTATTTTGAGACAGGGTCTCCCTCTGTCACTCAGGCTGGAGTGCAATTTGGCACGAGCTCAGCTCACTGCATCCTCCCTCTCCTGGGTTCAAGCGATTCTCCTGCCTCAGCCTCCTGAGTAGCTGGGATTACAGGCATGTGCCAACACACAGCTGGCTAATTTTTGGATTTTTACTAGAGACGGAGTTTCACCATGTTGGCCAGGCTAGTCTGGAACTCCTGACCTCAAGTAATCTGCCTGCCTCAGCCCCCCAAAGTGCTGGGATTACAGGCGACAGCCACCGTGCCCAGCCTAATTTAATTTAATTTTTTAAAAAAATAAAATTAAAGACCCTCCCTTTTGCTCCCCACGCAGGCCAAGCTGATCGTCCCCAACAGCACGGCGGGCCTGATCATCGGCAAGGGAGGCGCCACGGTGAAAGCCGTGATGGAACAGTCAGGAGCATGGGTGCAGCTGTCCCAGAAGCCGGAGGGCATCAACCTGCAGGAGCGCGTGGTGACGGTCAGCGGCGAGCCCGAGCAGGTGCACAAGGCCGTGAGCGCCATCGTGCAGAAGGTACAAGAAGACCCCCAGAGCAGCAGCTGCCTCAACATCAGCTACGCCAACGTGGCAGGCCCCGTGGCCAACTCCAACCCCACCGGCTCTCCGTACGCCAGCCCCGCGGATGTGCTGCCAGCCGCGGCCGCAGCGTCGGCCGCCGCCGCCTCCGGCCTGCTGGGCCCCGCCGGGCTGGCTGGCGTGGGGGCCTTTCCCGCCGCGCTGCCCGCCTTCTCAGGCACCGACCTGCTGGCCATCAGCACGGCGCTTAACACGCTGGCAAGTTACGGCTACAACACCAACTCCCTGGGCCTGGGCCTCAACTCGGCCGCAGCTTCCGGCGTCCTGGCCGCCGTGGCCGCCGGGGCCAACCCAGCAGCCGCCGCCGCCGCCAACCTCCTGGCATCCTACGCGGGCGAGGCCGGGGCCGGGCCAGCCGGAGGGGCCGCCCCGCCGCCGCCCCCGCCTCCCGGAGCCCTGGGGTCCTTTGCGTTGGCCGCAGCCGCCAACGGCTACCTCGGGGCCGGGGCGGGCGGCGGGGCGGGCGGAGGGGGCGGCCCGCTGGTGGCCGCTGCAGCCGCGGCCGGGGCGGCCGGGGGCTTCCTGACGGCGGAGAAGCTGGCGGCTGAGAGTGCCAAGGAGCTGGTGGAGATTGCGGTGCCTGAGAACCTGGTGGGAGCCATCCTGGGGAAGGGGGGCAAGACGTTGGTGGAGTACCAGGAGCTGACGGGCGCTCGCATCCAGATCTCCAAGAAGGGCGAGTTCCTGCCAGGCACGCGGAACCGGCGGGTCACCATCACGGGCAGCCCCGCGGCCACGCAAGCCGCTCAATACCTCATCAGTCAGCGGGTCACCTACGAGCAGGGAGTGAGGGCCTCAAACCCCCAGAAAGTGGGATGAGGCCTGTGGTGTGTGCTCCCACCCTTTTCTCTCCTCCCATCTCCTCCTCTTCCCTCTCCTCCTCCCCCCCAACTCCTGACCTCAGCTTGGTGTAGTCCTGCTCCTCTTGGGATGGGGCTGGGGTAGGCCCGACTGCACCCTCCCCTTCTGGTAGTCATAGGCAGGATTGAGTGACGGTTGGGAAGGGGGCTCAGAAGCCCCCTCCCCAGCCCGGAACTGACCCCTCCTTCCTCCCTCCCTGTGCTTGGCTGGGCCTGACCCTTCCTGTCCCAGGGCCCAGGTCTGTGTGATATCTGTATATATTGCATTTTGTTGATTTTAATAGAAAACAAAGCGTTATTTTCTCTTTCTTTCCCTCCTTTTTTTTTTTTTTTTTTTTTTTGGTAAGGATTTTTTCCCCCTTTATAAGTTTTTGTTTCCATATGGGAGGAGGGGAGGGAGCCTCTGGGTCACCCAGAATGAGGGGCCTTCCCAAAACACAACACCCCACCTCTCTGCTTTCAGTTCTAGATCTGAGGGAAGCCATGGGAGTAGAGGTAGCAGAGGCGTCTGAGCTGAAATGGGGCATTTGGAGCAAGGACCCCAGAGTTCCCAGATCTTCTCAGCTACTCTCCTCCCACTGGAGCTGTCCCTCCTAGGTGGGAATGTTCACTCTTTTGTTGTCAGGTTGTATGGGGGGGCAGGGACAGTGCTGCTGGGAAGGATGCCAGCTCTGGGATTGGGCCAGTCCTGTGGGCAAGACTTGCAAGAGGCTGGATCAACTTGGTGTGGTATCTCTGATGGCTTAGAGTAATGGCAATGAGGGTCTCTGTTGTGATGTCACTGAGTACTTTCTGGGGTGCTTCTGGGCACCCCTTATGATGTCACAGGAAGCAGTTCCTCAGAGGTTACTTCCTGTGAACATAAGGGAGCAGGTACTTCCTGTGATGTCTCAATGAGTTCTTCCTTGAAGGTCACTTTGGTGATATCATGGGAAGGTGTACTTCCGGTGATGCCTAGAGGTCACGTCCTGTGATGTCATTAGGCTGAAGCATGTACTTCCTGTATTGGACAGTGACCAGTCTCTGACCTGCCTTCTCCCTCCACACCCTTCTTTGGTGGGTGTTGGCCTGGGGGTCTTCCTAGGAAGAGAATAAGGCACGGGACTTGGATCCAATCTGGAGGACTCTAACGGAAAAAAACCAATATTGTCAGGGTCATCTCCATTCAAACACGTCAAGTCTGCGAACTCGCCCTGGAGGGAGGGGTGGGAGATGGACCTAGTGCAAACTACTGTTAAAGACCTCCCTTCCCACCCCTGCCTTTTGTGTGCATGCCTGTGTCTGCGTGGCTTTGTTTCATTGAATCGGGTGAGCCAAGTGTGTGGTGGCTCTGTCAGGCCAGTATGGCCAGGTGTAGAGTTCAGTGAGCCATAGTAGGGTCCCTTGGGCCAGAATGCTTCGTGTGGTCTGATAGGTTAGATTGGTTTGGTGGCTTCCAGCAAGCTGGCATACTTCGGTGATGTCTGATGGATCAGAATGTTTTGGTGTGCTCACCAGGGGCTCTGGAGAACTAGAATGTTCTGATGGAGTCTGACAAGCCAGGCGGCCTTGAGAGTTGGTTTAGGAGTGGCTCCCTGAGTGCTGTGGCTGTGGTCAGCTCTAAGGACCTGTTGGCAGACTGAGATTTCAGGGCCTGACAACCATGTAGACTAGGATAGCTGAGACCTCCCTCTACCCCCACCCATCTCCCTCTCTTCCTTGGAGACCACCTCCACTTTCTCCAACCCAAAGCAGGGCGCCCAGTGCCCTGGTTCCATCATCAGCATCTCTGGGGGAGGGGCGCCCCATGCCCACCCTCTCCCCCATTTGTCCGCCTCCTAGGTCTTCCAAACCCTTTTCTTCTCTATGACTTTGGGGGAAATCCAGCCTCCTTGTCTCTCTCCTAAAAAAGGAGGGAAGAAAAGCCACAGAGACAATTCCTGCCCCTAAAGCCTAGGAGATCCCTCTCCCTTGCTAGAGAGCCACCCCCAAATCAAAATGTGAAAATCCCTAGAAAGCAATAGCCTTCGAGGTACCTTGCACTGAATTTCCCACCCCAGCCCTTCCACCCGATGGGAGGCTGTAACTTGGGCACTGGGGTGACTTTTTCCATGCCCTTGTCATCTCCAGGGTGGGAGGCAGGCCCCACTTCCCCTCCCCTATCCCCCACTTCCCATTGTTGTTGCCCCACCCCTAATCTCCAGACTGAACCCAGATGGAGATCTGAGTGCCAAAACAATTCTTGATGTAACTTTGTACATATCTTCTACTACCGTTGGGGGCTCTTGGGGTTAGAGGTGGGGGCGGCTCTGTGGGCCATTGCTCCCCTCCACCTCTCAAAAGACCTTACAGTATTTCACAGTATCTCTACCCGCACGCGAGTATTACAGTATCTAGCTGGAATATCCCCCTACAGCCCCCCAGGACCCTATGAGGAAGGGAAGGAGCCAGGGAGAGTGAAGTAAGGTCTGGGACTGGGGAGGTGGGATCTGAATGAACTCATTTGCATATCATTTGCATCCTCCGCTTGGCAGCCGCTTTCTACAAACTCATTCACTGGAGTCTGGGTCCCAATCAGCCGGGTCCAGGACTCCTCTCACACAGACACATCTCCGGAGGCTGGGCCTCCTGAAAAGTGTTTGCTTGGGGTGTCTGTGTAACAACCCCTCCCTATTCATATTTCTTGGGGACCCCCTACCCAGCCAGCCAGGGTGATCTGAAAGGTATACTTTGCTAGCTCAGTGAGCTAGTTCACTCACCATGTTGGTGAGCAGAGAGCCACACCTTTCCCCATTTTACCTTGGGAAACTCACTCCACCATCTTTGCCATCTCTTGAAAGTCCCTTCTGCAATCTGACCTCAATCTTTTGTGCTGCAGTTTGTCCAGAGGGGACACAGATGTGGGGTCAGGGATGAGGATTATTGAAAAACCCATCATCTCTTTTTTTTTCCCCGTCTCCCTATTAGCCAATCCGATCTCAGAGTCTCTGAGTGGCCTCCTTGCACCCTTCTCTTCAGCACCCAGTAGGTGCTTAATAAGTGTTTGCTGCATTGGATTATCTCCCTATTCCTTCTCATTTGCCCTCTAGCTTCCCATACCTTCTCCAAGTGTCTTCCTCCCTTTCTTTGTCTGGCTCCCTATGACTTTCTATTTTTTTTTCCTCCGTGTGGTTCCCATTGTTTTCTGTCCTGTCTCTATCTTAGTCTTTGTCTGTCTTCCTCCTTTCCTCAAATGTCTCAACTCTCTCTCCCCAATTTCCCCATTTAAAAAAAAAAAAAAGTGCCAAACTTCCTTGGAACTGAGCCGCTCTGGGGGGAGAGGACCTTGGATAGAGGGGAGGAAATGGGACCATTTCTCTTTGAGGAGGTCCCTAAGAGGCATTGCAAAAGTGTGGACATGGAGCTAAATTGGGTCCCCCTTCCACAGCCCTCCCACCCTGAGTTTTTCTTAGAATCTTTGTAAGAAAAAAAAAAAAAGACAGAAAAAAGCTCTCCTTTTCAACTTACCCCTATCCTTTTGGGTCCCCCCAAATTCCACCAGCCAAGGAGAATCCCACTTGCCAACTTCCTGGCAAATCTATGGAAACTGGGGAGGAGGAGACAAGCTCAACTCCTCCTCTGCTAGCCCAAGGGGCGGTACCAACTGGATTCAAGAGAAGGACCTCAAAGCTCCTATGAGAAGAGGGGGTTCGATGTGCCAAATTAACCTCCTTCATCCCCCATCTCAGGGGGCTCTGAGCCAACCTGCCCAGCCACCTTCTTCTGCCCTGTCCCAGCCACCTCTACATGGGCAAGGAGGCTTCACTGCAATAATTAGTAGGGGTGGTGATCAGAAGACAATGATTTTGCCGTTTCTATCTGCCCTAACGCCTACCCTGGACTTGTAGTTGGGAATTATGGGTATCCCAAGTGGATGTTGATAAAAGCCGACCTATAGATGGTTGGGGACCTCTACTTGGAACACCAGGGTGTCGCTTATCTCCGAGGTGTATTTCCTCTCCCCTCTGGACCACCAAATCCTTCAATATCCCCTCATTCTGTTTCTCCTCCCTGTTCCTCCATCCCACATCCTCCTTCTTACTTTGTTTTGATTGGTGGCCAATTGTTTGGAAAATGAGAGGAGTCCCCCTGAATGGATGATTGCTGTTTCAGGACCGGGATTAGAGGCTGTGATAGACTGTGCAGTGGCAAAAGTATTAACAAGAGTGGCGATGAGGATGGCAGTTGGGGCGTCCAGGCTGCTGACTGAGTGCCCGCCTGTCGGTACAGCCAGCCAGGCCTTCGACAAGCACCTGCCTGGAAACCGGGCTCGCTGTCCTGAAAGCCTGGACTGGATGTCACGATGGGGAGAACGGGATCGCGATACCCAAGCTGGGGCACAGGCGAGCCAGGGACACTGGTTTACTGGGGTGATAACACCCAGCCCTGCTATCGCGATCCGTTTGCACTGTGGTCAGCTGTCTCCACGCCGTGGTTGGAGAGGGCTTGTCTCCGGGCGCCACTGCTGGTGTGTATGGTCTGTCTTAGTGTCCCCTGCAAGTTGCATTGGAGATTGCTGGGTGGCAGGGAGGGAAATGGGAAGAGAATCTGTGGGGTCATGGTGGTGAAGGCTGCTGGTTTTTAATCCCTTCTCAACCAGTCCAGGACACTTGTCTCCCAGAGATAACTGGGGGGGGACTGCCTAACCCCCCCTCCCCCACCCCTTTCCCTACCCCACCTCTCCCCCCAAAACCACCAACCTCTCATCTTCTAAGTGACTCCATCACCACCGGCCACCGGGACCTGCGGCCTCATTGCTCCAGCCCGCCCCACTCGACCGTCAGACTCGCTCATCGAACTCTTTTTGATTAACCCTTTCTGTGTTCATCCCACGGAAAACTGTGTGTCCGGCAGGGGGGAGGGGGGAGGCTAGGGGCAGTTGCTACCTTTCCTCCATCTCCTCCCACCACCCATGCCTCCCCACCCGCACCCCATCCCATGCCCCACCCCCATCCCTCACCCCTAGGGTCTGCCCCACCCTGGGGATTGACATCCTCTATAAATATCTATGCTATTTGGCTTTGTCCCTTTAAAAGGCGGGTCCAGGGGCGTGGCCTCCCTCAAATGGAGCGCTCACTCTGACCCCCTCCTTCGTGTGCCCCCCACACACTCCCCACGCCTTCATTGTAAATAGTCACTTTTGTACTGGGTTTGAGCCAGGGGACGTGGGGAGTCATTTTTCTTTTCTTTATGTTGGCATCTCAGGCCACTGGAGGCATGGCCCACATCCCGGGTCGATTTGGGAGAATTTTAAGGTATGTCCCCTCACCTGTCCCCATCGCTAAGGATTTCAAGCTATCAGTATTACTCTAGAGGGATGGGGTGCATAGATTCCCCGGCAGGGTGGTGGGAGAGGTGTGGAAAGGTGTAGTCTGGGAGGATGCCTCCGTTTTCCCCTTCTGTGAAATGGATTCATCCTCCAATTTCCCTGAGGAGCCTCAGTGAGATAATGGTGGAGTCAGAGGAGCTAGAACCTCTCTTCCCCCTTTCTCTGTTGGAGACAGGGTAGCAGAAGAATGGGGGACAGGGGAGGCTGCAGGGCCATCTTTGGAGAACCGATTGCTAAATCCTTCTTAGGACCTTAAGGTAGCCTCCTCTCCAGGCTTGTTCTCCCTCTTGGAATATGGGGAGGACTGGAGGACCTCTAAGGTCCCTTGGTTCTCCCCAGTCCTTAGATTAAAAGGCCCAGGCCCCAGGCTGGCCCCCTGCCTGCTGTCCCACTCCTTCATTCCATTTCTTGGAATGTGGCCATGCCTCCAGTGCCTCCATTCAACCCCCTCTAACTGATTCCTTCCATCCTCTGCGACCAGAGACGCCGCCCGCCTCCTGCCCACCACCTCCAGAAGCTCCTGGCTGGGGTGCACTGCCGTCTCCTCCCACTCCCCACATTGCCATGCCTGGGCCACGCCCACCCCACCCACTCACCCACCCCCAGTGTCCGTTGTGTGACCTAGTGCACCATGTATTAGCTTCCATGGCCCCCACCCCAGCCCCCACCACACCCCCTTTCCCCACCCCTTTCCCCTCGGCGACTTCACCTTTTTTTGCCGCGATAAACGCCATCTCAGCATCTGTGTCTAATGTTGTCTTTTTTGCTTGACATCACACACTCCTTCTTAACCCATCCCCTTCCCTCTCCCTCCTCCCTGCACCTCCACCCTCATCCTAAATTCTTTCCCCCTTTCCCCCAGGGCTCTGGGCATTTAGGGGAAGAGGGTGGGGGGACCCCTGAGGATGGTCCCAGATGGGGGAGCTGGGGAGGGAGGACTGTTCTCTCTGGACGGGGTGAGCATCCGGAGTAACTGTGATTGAAGAGAAGCAGGTGCTCAAGTTTAGCTTCCAGAGGCCGGGCGCAGTGGCTCACGCCTGTAATCCCAGCACTTTGGGAGGCCGAGGCGGGCAGATCACCTGAGCTCAGGAGTTCGATACCAGCCTGGCCAACATGGTGAAACCCAGTCTCTACTAAAATACAAAAAATTAGCTAGGCATGGTGGCACGCGCCTATAGTCCCAGCTACTTGGGAGGCTGAGGCAGGAGAATTGCTTAAACCTGGGAGACGGAAGTTGCAGTAAGCCAAGATCGCACCATTGCACTCCAGCTTGGGCAACAAAGCAAGACTGTCTCAAAAAAAAAAAAAATGTAGCTTCCAGGGCCTCAGTGTCCAGTCAGGAGAACCGACACCACCACCACCACACACATATGCAGAGCCACAGTCCCACAAACAGGCTTTTGTCTTGGACGCACATCCCCACACACAGCCCTGCAAATACACAACGCCAGGTAGAATCAGGATAGGCCAAGGTGGAGGTTTTCGAGTCAGGTGAGCTATGGGTTTAGATCCCCGTGCTGCTGTGTTACCCTCAGTCCTTTGCTCCTCTGAGCCTTCAGGTCCCCATCTGTAACATGGGGATTTTTTAAATTGTTATTTCTACATCATATGGCTTATGCTTGGATCGATACACTATTCACTTTTTTAAAAATGATTACTGAAGACCTATGATGCATAAGGCACTGTTCTAGGTGCTGAAGATAAAGCAATGAACAAAACAGACCCAGGTATCTCTGGCTTTTTGGAGCATACAGTCTACTGGAATTGGGAAATTCTTCTTAACACAAAACCTGACACGTGGGACTCAAATGAATTCAGAGGTTGCAAACCATCGGCCAACAGGCAGGTGCGGTACCCATAATTTCATTTGACCCAAACAGTGTTTTGTGGAATTGTTGCCAGCATTTAAACATTGGGAGACTTTTGAAAACATGGGTTTCAAGACCCTCTTGAGAAATGCCATGTGATAGCTTTGATTGCAATTGCCACCTGCCCATAATGGGCTGGCCTGGGGCAGCCACTGCCACTCACCCAGGGCAGAGAGGCTTAGCCCCTTCCTGACCGGCACTGCTCATTTATCTCACATGCCTAGGCTCTGGACGTTTGCAACCCCTGAGCAAATATTTAAAAATTACTAGCCTGGCTGGGTGTGGTGGCTCACACCTGTAATCCCAGCAATTTGGGAGGCTGAGGCAGGCGGATCACTTGAGGTCAGGAGTTCGAGACCAGCCAACATGGTGAAACCATTTCTTTACTAAAAATACAAAAATTAGCTGGACATGGTGGCAGGTGGCTGTAATCCCAGCTACTCAGAACACTGAGGCAGGAGAATCACTGGAACCCAGGAAGCGGAGGCTGCAGTGAGCCAAGATCGCACCACTGCACTCCAGCTTGGGCAACAGAGCGAGACTCCGTCTCAAAAAAAAAAAAAAAAAAATTGCCTGACTGGATGTGGTGGCTCACACCTGTAATCCCAGCACTTTGGGAAGCCATGGCAGGAGAATCGCTTGAGCCCAGGAGTTTGAGACTCTGTCTCACAAAAAACTTCAAAATTAGCCAGGTGTGTTGGTACATGCCTATAGTCCCAGCTACTCGGGAGGCTGAGGCAGGAGGATCGCTTGAGCCTGAGAGGTCGAGGCTGCAGTGAGCTGTGATTGCACCACTGCACTCCAGCCTGGGCAACAGAGCAAGACCCTGTCTCATAAAAAAAAAAAAAAAGATAAGTAATTGCCTTACATTTTGGAGGTGTCAGAGATGCAGCTTGGCAGATAATGACAGAGAAACAAGAGACCAAGGCCAAGGAGGCTGGGTGGGGTGAGGCCAGACGCTTGGATTCTGGTGTGACCCAAGGCACTTTCTCTTCCTCTCCCTGGCTCCCAATTTCCACATCTGGAAAACGCCCTAGAAAGCTGTACTTGCCTTCTGGAATATTCCAGAAGGATTCTACATGTCACTCACCCCTTCAGTACCTGACATAGAGAAAACGCTCAGCGCATGGTAGTCACCAGAGACCCCCTCCAGCTGATAAAAATAACAATAACAGGACTCCAGAAAAGGACAAGCCCAACAGAGGGGGATGGAAGAAGGGGGACTCAGGCTAGGATAAAGTAAGCAAGAGCGATAGGGATGAAGAGGAGGGCAGACATGGAGATGAGGCTCCACCTGCTGGGGATGTGTCCATCCACTCATTCATTCGTTCATTCAACAGGTATTTATTGAACACCTACTGTGTTCTGGGCCTAGGGATATGGTGATGCCCAGGACACATCACTGTTGTTGTATTTACAGCCCACAGGCCATATCCCTCACTCTCAGCACATAGTAGGTGTCCAAAAGTCTACCATCCCATGAGCCACAGGCGCCTCTGGTCCTGGCCTGTGACCCTCAAGCATTGCCTGGTATTCAGAAACATTGCCAAGCCAGGCCATTTTCAGGAAGAGTAAAGGAATTTTCCACCAAGAAGCTGGGAAATTGGAAGGGATTTGGAGGGACAGGGCGGGTGTTTCTGTTCTGCTGTGTGGCTTTGGAAAACCCTCATGATGTCTCTGGCCCAGGAAATGGAAAGGAAAGGAGATGAGGTCAGGATGAAGGTGAGTAATGGGAGATTCCTAGCTCCCTCAAAGCCCCCAAACCTTCTCCTCTGGGCAGGGGGTGAGGGGAGTATAGAGAGAATTGCAAAGGTGGGGGATCTGAATGAGAAGAGAGATGGAGAAAGAAGACAGAGAAGTTGCCTGGAGCACAGAGACAGCCCTAGAAAGAGGGCTGGGAAGGGGGAAGGAGGGAGGAAGGGGCCTAGGCAGGGACCTGGTGGGGGTGTCTCAAGAGAGGTCTCTACACATGAGAGGAGCCAGGTCATTAAGAGGGGACGGGGAGGCCAGGCGCAGTGGCTCATGCCTGTAATCCCAGCACTTTGGGAGGCAGAGGTGGGAGAATCTCGTGAGCTCAGGAGTTTGAGGCCATCCTGGACAACATGACGAAACCCTGTTTCTACAAAAAACATAAAAGTTAGCTAGGTGTGGTGGTGCGTGCCTGTAGTCCCAGCTCCTTGGGAGGCTGAGGTGGAAGGATCGCTTGATCCCTGGAGGCAGTTTGCAGTGAGATCACACCACTGCACTCCAGCCTGGGTAACAGAGGAAGACCCTGTCTCAAACAAAAATAAAAAACAGAGGAAGGAGAATAGAGATGGTGGAGATGAACTAGAAGAGAGGGAGAGGCAGGCACACACAAATAGAAAATGAAAAAGAGGCAGAAACTGGAAAGTGACGGAGATAAGGTTGCCAAGGTTTAGCAAATAAAAATACTGTGTGTCCAGTGGCATTTGAATTTCAGATTAAAAGAACTTTTTAGGCCGGGCGCGGTGGCTCACACCTATAATCCCAGCAATTTGGGAGGTGGAGGCAGGCAGATCACCTGAAGTCAGGAGTTTGAGACCAGCCTGGCCAACATGGTGAAACCCCCATCTCTACTAAAAATACAAAAATTAGCCGGGCGTGGTGGCACACGCCTGTACTTCCAGCTACTTGGGATACTGAGGCAGGAGAATCGTTTGAACCCAAGAAGCAGAGGTTGCAATGAGCTGAGATCAAACCATGGCACTCCAGCCTGGGTGACAGAGTGGAATTCCATCTCAAAAAAAAAAAAAAGTGTAAAAATGTCCCATGCAATATGTGGGCAATACGTATGCTACAATATGAATTGTTGCTTATCTAAAATTCAAATGAAACTGGGCATCCTGTATTTTACCTGGCAACCTTAGGTGGAGGAAAACAAAAAGAAATCTGAGGGGCAACAAAAAAAGCCAGGAGAACTGGTTAAAGGAGCCGAGGCGTCCACCATCTGGAATCCCAACTGGGGCATGCCCAGCTTACTGCCCGTAACTCCTGTATCCCTTTCCTCTCTGCCCTTCTGTCACCCTTCTCTGTCCCTCTGTGCCCCCCATCTCTCTGTCCCCTCTCTATGTTCCTCCATCCTCCCTCCCTCTGTCCCTCTGCTCCCCATCCTGTCCCTCTGTCCCCCCTGTCCCTCTGTCTCCCTCTCTCTGTCCTTCTGTCTCCTTCTCTCTGTTCATCCTCCCCCTCTCTGTCTTTCTGTCCCCCTCCTCTGCCCCTCCTCTCTGTCCCTCTGCCCCCCACCTCTGTCTCCCCTCTGTCCCCTCTCTCAGCCCCTGGATCCCTCCCTCTCTCTGCCCCTAGTTTCTCAGTCTCCACTTTCCCTGCCTCACACGCTCCCTGCTTTCTGTCCCTACGTTTCCCTCTCTTTTTTCGTTGGTGTCCCTGTTTTGCAGTCCTTCTGTCCCTCCCGCCACCCCCAACTCCTCTTAGTTCCTCAGTCAGTCACTACTCCTGGAATCTGCCTCACACATTAAAACCAGTTGAGTCACTGTTCTCACTCCTACCAAGCTGTCAAGTGGGGGCTGGTTTTGGGGGACAAGGCCTCAGGGGCAAGTGATGGAGAATGGGAAACACTTTCAGGGGCACTACCCCCTCCGCAGTCAGAGCTGATGAAGCTTTGGGCTGGGAATAGGTGCTGGGACAAAGAGACGTTCTGCCAGGCAAATGCTCGCTGCCACCAAAATCAGAGAGTCTAGCAAGTCAGAGATTTCTCCAAAGTCCCCTCCATTCTCCTGCCTTCAACTGCCATGCCTTCAGAGAAGTCTGTTCTCTAAAGAGGCCTCTCCGGCCGGGCGCGGTGGCTCACACCTGTAATCCCGGCACTTTGGGAGGCCGAGGTGGGCGGATCACCTGAGGTCAGGAGTTCGAGACCAGCCTGGCCAACATGGTGAAACCCCGTCTCTACTAATAATACAAAAATTAGCCAGGCGAGATGGCAGATGCTTGTAATCCCAGCTACTCGGGAGGCTGAGGCAGGAGAATTGCTGAACCCGGAGGTGGAGGTTGCAGTGAGGGGAGATTGCGCCACTACACTCCAGCCTGGGCGACAGACCGAGAGTCCGTCCCTAAATAAATAAATAAATAAATATTTAAAATGAGGCCTCTCAACCAACACCTTCACGCCAGCATTCTGGTGAGGTCTCCGTGTCCCTGTTTCTGGCCCACCTGCCCTTGCCTCTCACTCCTCTCTGCCTGTTATCTTCCGTATTTCTCTGAGTGTCTGTCTAACCAGGTCTTCCTTCTCCCATTGATTTTTTTTCCTGCATCTCCACCCCACTTCTGCAGAATTGTCTTTCTCCTTGTCTCTTCGCAGGGATGGGGTCTCTGTGTGTCTCCCTGAATCACTTTCCCTGTCTCTGTCCGTGTCTGCATCTATTTCTCCCTGTCTGTGTACCCATCGTTGCTCAGAGGCGCGAACAGAATTCACTTGGGACAGTGTAAGCAAAAAGGACTTATTAAGGGACACAGAGCCTCTCAGAAGAAACAGAATCTAGGCTGAGCCTCCAGGGCATTCTCAAATCCAGCGCTCAGAAAGGGCCGTCCAGGAACCGCTGCTCCTCCTGCGCGATCAGGAAGCCGCCAGCCGGCTCCACCGCCGCAGCCTCTCGCCGGGATCTGCACTGGCCTTCGGGCTGCCTCTCGCCCAGCTTACTTCGGTAAGAAATTCAAGCTTCCCGCGGAGGCACCTGATTGGTGGAACCTAACCTCCGGCCACATGCGCAGCCACAAGGCATTCTGGGAAACGTAGTTTTGAGCCCTCCAGCCGCTGCAGTCGCAGGAAGGTGCGCTAGGAGAGTGGAATAGATGTTGAGAGGCGCCACACCTCCTCCACGTGGTTGCACGCCCTCTCTCTCTGTCCATCTCTGTTTTTACGTGCATGTATAATCTCACTTGCTGTCTTCGTGTGTGTTCTGTCTCCTTGGTTTGATTTTCCCCCCCATCTTTTTCACTCTCCAGAATTTGTTTTTGTTTTTGTTTAGTTTGAGACAGAGTCTCGCTCTGTCGCCCAGACTGGGGTGCAATGGCGCGATCTCGGCTCAGTGCAACCTCCGCGATTCTCCTGCCTCAGCCTCCCGAGTAGCTGGGACTACAGGCACCCACCACCACGCCCGGCTAATTTTTGTATTTTTAGTAGAGATGGGGTTTTGCCACGTTGGCCAGGCTGGTCTCGAACTCCCGACCTCAGGTGATCCACCTGCCTCGGCCTCCCAAAGTGCTGGCATTACAGGCGAGCCACCGTGCCTGGCCCCCACGCTCGTTTTATTTCAATTCTTCCATCTCTATGGCCTTCTCTGTCCTTTTTCTTGGTCACCACCTGTATGACCAGTGCCAATTCTCATAGCCCCCTGCCTCACCATTATCCTCATCCTCAGTTCCAACCTTACTATCGGGGATCTCCCTCTTGACCTTCACCCCACTCTCAGCTGAACCAGAAGCTCAGATCCCTAAGGAAGAAGAGGAGGGAGAGGTAAGACATGGGTGTCCCGTAGTTCCACAGACAAGCCAGGAACAGGACCCATGCTTTGGCATTTCTCAGCTGCTCTCCCTGCAGGTGGAAAGATCAAGCACCTCCAGGTAGGCAACGTGAACCGAAAGAGACCGGTGAGTTACTGGCTAGAGTTGGAGTGGCCACAGTGGGGGATTATGGTTTCGGTTTGGAGCAGAGTAGGGCCCTCAGTTGGCCAGAAGTAATTGACCACTCAGCTTTACTCTCCAGAAAGCTGCGGCCATCTCAACCCCATTTTCTCTTCACTGTTCTTTCTCTTAACCAATGAGCTTCCAACTGTAGGGAAATGGAGCTGCATCCTTCTCAGGAGGTACCTAGTCATTTAAAAAAATACATTTATTGGCCGGGCGCAGTGGCTCACGCCTGTAATCCCAGCACTTTGGGAGGCCAAGGCGGGTGGATCACGAGGTCAGGAGTTCAAGACTAGCCTGGCCAAGATGGTGAAACCCTGTCTCTACTGACAATACAGAAATTAGCAGAGCGCGGTGGCAGGCGCCTGTAATCCCAGCTACTCAGGAAGCTGAGGCAGGAGAATCGCTTGAACCCAGGAGGTGGAGGTTGCAGTGAGCCGAGATCGTGCCACTGCACTCCAGCCTGGAGACAGAGCGAGACTCTCTCTCAAAAAACAAACAAACAAACAAACAAAAAACAAGTACACACACACAAATGAGTACAAATAAGTGTAAAATCTGAACAACATCAGTGGATTGTATCGATGTCTATATCTTGGTTGTGGTATTGTACTACAGTTGTGGAAAATGTTACCATCAGGGAAAACTGAGGAAAGGACACGAAGATCTCCATTATTTATTATGACAACTTGTGACTTTACAATTCTCTCCAAATAAAAAGTTAAAAGAAAGCACTGATGAAATGCAAAGACAGGACATAACACCTGTAAAATGTGCAGTGTAAACAGGGTGGCTAGAAGAACACAAAAAAGGTGGTTGTTTCTTCAACGGGTTTGCTGGGAGCATATGATTGGATTTCAGTACTGTGGCCTCCAGGGCCTGGCTTAGATAGGAAGTGCAAAGAAAGACCCTCCTTTCACTAAGCTGGGACCCCAAAGTGCTTTCTGCTGAGTGAGTTCGAGCCAGACCTAAACCTGTCCCTGTCCCAACTCCAAGTCCCAACTCCAAAGGTAGCAGCATCAACACTGAGCAGAATGGGATAAGGAAGAAAAAAAAGTCCCTGAGAAGTTGTGGCTTCAGAATGGCCCAAGAACAGTGTTGACACCCCCAGTGTAGATAACTGGATGAGTCAAGGAACAAGAAACCAGAACCATGTTTGGAGAGGCTGTAACTGGAAGTGTCTGAGGGGTGCCTAACCAAAGCAAACACAGACCCTGGAATCCATGCATTCAACTCAGGCCCAGGGGAAATTCCCCAGTTAAATGCAAAGGTCGGCCGGGCGCGGTGGCTCACACCTGTAATCCCAGCACTCTGGGAGGCCGAGACAGGCGGATGACTTGAGGTTGGGAGTTCGAGACCAGCCTGGCCAACATGGTGAAACTCCGTCTCTACTAAAAATACAAAAATTAGCCAGCCGTAGTAGCACGCACCTGTAATCCCAGCTACTCCGGAGACTGAGGCAGGAGAATCGCTTGAACCCAGGAGGTGGAGGTTGTGGCGAGCCAAGATCACGCCCCTGCACTCCAGCCTGGGCAAAAGAGGGAGACTCCACTAAAAAAAAAAAAAAAAAAAAAAAAAATGCAAAGGTCAATAATCATCAGGCCGACATAATCAGGTCACAGGGAAATATGACACCAATAAGAATCAAAAGAACAGAAAAGGTGTGGCTCAGACTTTAGATGCTGGGAGATCAGACACCAGTATTAAAACAGTCATGAGTCATGGTGGCTCACACCTGTAATCACAGCACGTTGAGAAGCTTGAGTCTAGGAGTTTGAGACCAGCTTGGGCAACATGGCAAAACCTCATCTCCACTGAAAATAAACAAAAATTAGCAATCCTATAAGGAAAAGAGAGAGAGAAGGGGACAGAGATCAGATCTGAAGAGAGAGTAGTTGAAATTTTTCCAGAACTGATGAAAGACACCAGATCACAACTAGAGGAGGCCAGCAGATTCCAAACATGCCTGTAATCCCAGGACTTTGGGAGGCCAAGGCAGGCAGATCACCTGAGGTCAGGAATTCGAGACCAGCCTGGCCAATATGTGAAAGCTCGTCTCTACTAAAAATAGAAAATTTAGCCAGGCGTGGTGGTGGGCTCCTGTAATCTCAGCTACTCGGGAGGCTGAGGCAGGAGAATTGCTTGAACCTGCAAGGTGGAGGTTGCAGTGAGCCGAGATCGGACCACTGCACTCCAGCCTGGGCAACAGAGCAACACTCCATCCCAAAAAAAAAAAAAAAAATTTAAAGCGACCACAGGAGGAAATGGAAGGTTGTTAGGCTAAATGGTGACTTCTCAACAGCACCAGTAGAAATCACAGGAGTGTAAAATGAAATCTTCAATGTGCTGAAAGAACAGAACGTCTAATGTAGAATTTTATATATTTTTAAATATCTTATGTACACAGGGAAAGAAGGAATAATGTAGAATTTTATACCTTGCAAAAATAACTTTAAGAATGTATATTGTATTAGTTTGTTACGGCTGCCATAAAATACCACAAACTGGGTGACTTTAAACAAGAGAGATTTATTTTTTCACAATTTTGGAGGCTAGGAGTTCAAGAACAAGGTGTCAACAGATTTGGTTTCTTCGGAGGCCTCTCTCCTTGGCAAATCGCTGCCTTCTCTCTGGGTCCTCACATGGCCTTTCCTCTGTGCACAGAGTGTCTAGTGTCTCTTTGTATGTTTCAATCCCCTCTTCTTTGTTTGTTTGTTTGTTTGTTTGTTTGTTTGTTTGTTTTGAGACAGAGTCTCGCTCTGTCGCTCAGGCTGGAGTGCAGTGGCGCAATCTCGGCTCACTGCAAGCTCCGCCTCCCGGGTTCACGCCATTCTCCTGCCTCAGCCTCCCAAGTAGCTGGGACTACAGGTGCCCGCCACCATGCCCAGGTAATTTTTTGTATTTTTAGTAGATACAGGGTTTCACCATGTTAGCCAGGATGGTCTGGATCTCCTGACCACCCACCTTGGCCTCCCAAAGTGCTGGGATTACAGGCATGAGCCACCATCAATCCCCTCTTCTTATAAGGACACTAGTCAGATTGGATTAGAGTCCACCCTAACAGACTCCTTTTATTTATTTTTTATTTGTATTTTTTTGAGAAGGAGTCTCGCTCTGTCACTCAGGCTGGAGTGCAGCGTGGCGATCTTAGCTCACTGCAATCTCTGCCTCCCAGGTTCAAGCGATTCTCCTACCTCAGCCTCCCAAGTAGCTGAGACTACAGGCGTGTGCCACCACGCCCAGCCAATTTTGTGTTTTTAGTAGAGACGGGTTTCACCATATTGGCTAAGCTGGTGTCGAACTCCTGACCTCATGATCTGCCCGCCTTGGCCTCCCAAAGTGCTGGGATTACAGGCGTGAGCCACCGAGCCCCACTCAGCCACCTTTTAAATTACCTCCTTAAAGGCCCTGTCTCCAGATGCGGTGGCTGACACCTGTAATCCCAGAACTTTAGGAGGCCAAGGCCAGTGAATCGCTTGAGTCTAGGAGTTCAAGACCAGCCTGGGCAATACAGTGAGACTGCATCTCTACAAAAAAAAATTTTTTTAATAAATAAATAAATACAAAATAATGGTCCTATATCCAAATATAGTCACATTCTAAGGTCCTAGGTGTTAGGGCTTCAACATATGAATTTGGGGAGACACAATTCAGTCCATGATATAGCAAATGTTTTTAAAAACATTTTTAGGCAAATATTTTTAAAAACATGGCGGCTCACCCTTTAGCCTCAGCTTTGGGAGGCTGAGGCAGGTGGATCACTTGAGGCCACGAGTTCAAGACGAGCCTGGCCAACATGGTGAAACCCCGTCTCTACTAAAAATACAAAAATTAGCTGGGCATGGTGGCAGGCATCTGTAATCCTAGCTACTCCGGAGGCTGAGGCAGGGGAATCACTTGAACCTGGGAGGCGGAGGTTGCAGTGAGCAGAGATCACGCCACTGCACTCCAGCCTGGGAGACAGAAAGAGACTCTGTCTCAAAAAAAAAAAAAAAAAAAAAAGAGAGAGAGAGAGAAATGACACCTGGGTGGCTACAGAGGAGTGAGCAACTGGAGCCAAATGCAATAGAAAATGAGATCATAGAGATCCCAGGGAAGGTGAGAAGAGGGGACACATATCACCTAGGAGCCTGTAGGTCACAGTAATGTTTTGGGACTTTATTCTGAGGATAATAGAGAATCAGAGTAAGTTTTAAGCAAGAGGAGTGACACGATCTGATTTATATTTTAGAAATCTCATTCTGCTGCTGTGCGGTAATCAACACCCAGCCACTCCTCGACACTTTCTCTCTCCCTTCCCTCTAGTCCAGCCACCATCACCTCTTGCCTTAACCTCACTGGGCTCTCAGCTTCTGCCCTCAACTCCCATTGTCTGTCCCCCTACAGGGCAGTTAGAGAAATCTTGCTAGATCTTCAGTCAAAGCATTCCCCGCTGCTGCTCAGACCCGCCCATCACTCCCACCTCACTCAAAGCACAACCCAATGTCCTTACTGTGGCCCACCGGGTCCTGCATTCTCGCTCACTCCCTCCCATTCTCCCTGTCAATCCACTGGAGCCACACTCGCCTCCCTGAACACCCAGTCATGGTCCAACCTCAGGGCCTTTGCACTGGCTGCTCCCTCTGTCTGGGTCGCACGTCTCCACGTATCAACAAGGCTCCCTCCTCTACATCCGTGAAGACTCTTCTCAAATGGTACCTCTTCCAAAAGGCCGCTCCTAACCACTGCCCCCTTTATTTCTTCTGTATAGCACATAGCCCAACCTGAAAAATACACATAACACTTATTATTGTATATGTATATAATTATTAACTTATATATAATTACATATATAATTTTTTAAATTATCTTTTTTTTTTGAGAGGGAGTCTCGCTCTGTCACCCAGGCTGGAGTGCAGTGGTGTGATCTCTGCTCACTGTAACCTCCACCTCCCAGGTTCAAGAGATTCTCGTGCCTCAGCCTCCTGAGTAGCTGGGACTACAGGCGCCCACCACCACGCCCAGCTAATTTTTGTATTTTTAGTAGAGACAGGGTTTCACCATGTTACCCAGGTTGGTCTCAAACTCCCGACTTCAGGTGATCTGCCCGCCTCTCCTCCCAAAGTGCTGGGACTACAGGCGTGAGCCACCATGCCTGGCCAATTATATATATAATTTTGATATACATTATCATATTCATGTTCAATAAAATATAAACAAATATAAATGTATTTTATATTTTTATATTATGTATATAACTATATATTTTATATATTTATATTTTATATATAAATATATATTATATTATATATAGATTTATATATATAAATTTATAATATATAAATATTACAGTTGTACATTATATATGAAATATAAATATATAAAAAGTATAAATATAACATAAATATATAAAATATACACATATAAATATATAAATATTAATAAATACATATTTTAATAATAAATGTGTCTTAATATTAATATATATTTATATGTAATAAATATATAAATATAAATTATAAATATATATTTAAATTTATGAATATATAAATATATAAATATAAAACATTATATATTAAGATATAAATATATATATTAATATATATTAATATATAAAATATAAGATATTTAATATCTTATATATAAGATATAAAATATCTTATATTTTATATAAGTACCCATATACCTTTTATATTATATTGATAATATTTATATATTATAAATATATAATTATTAATATATTATTAATCATCAATGTTGATATATAGTATTTTGTAAATGCAAATATATTTATGAATATATATTACTATATTAATGTTATATATTATGTGTAATATAAAAATATAAATATATATAAATCACATATAATTCTATAAAAATAGCATATATTTACTTATATATAACTATATAAATATATACAACATATAATTTTAACATATATATATATATATATATATATATTTTTTTTTTTTTTTTAGAGACAGGATCTTGCTCTGTCTGCCCAGACTGGAATGTAGTGGCACGGTCACTTCTTGACATCCTGGGCTCAAGCAATCTTCCCACCTCAGCCTTCTGGGTAGCTCAGACTACAGGCATGACTCCAAGTCCAGCTAATTTTTAATTTTTTTTAGAGATGGGGGTCTCACTATATTGCCCAGGCTGGCCTTAAACTCCTGGGCTCAAGCTACCCTCCTGCTTCGTCCTCCCGTACTGGGATTACAGGGGTGAGCCACCGCACCCAGCCCCAGATCTGGATTTCAGTCCAGCCTCACTGAATCACTCCATGACAGATGTCACCTCCAAGCCTGTTTCCTGTTCTGTGAAATGAGGATATTACAAGATACTTGACAAGGCTGTCTGGGGATTTAATGACATGGCACAGGCAAGCACGCAGCAGAGACCATGAGGACAATGATGATGATGGTGACCTCGCTGGCCCTCGGGGTCTCTCTCCCCCTGGTCTTCATCTCCCCTGTCTTGGTCCCCGCATGAGCAGGTCTCTCGGTCTCGCAGCGGGTCCCTCGGTCTTTCTGGGAGTCACTGCTGCCCATTTACGTGTTTCTCCCCACACTTTCTCGGGGTTTCTAACTCTTTCCCCTCCCCACTCGTCTCTGGACCCCCAGCAAGAGCTATTTTCTGCCAGGCATCAGGCGGAGACGGAAACTCACAAATAAACAGGGCACCTTGGCGTCAGGTTAGCAGACAGCGGTCGTGGCCTTGGGGTGGGGGCGGAGGTTAGGACGTAGTAAACACCGGGGCTGATGAATTTCTAGTCAGTATCATCTCCCGTTCCCTTAACTCAGAGCAGCAACCACACCAGGGAAAGAGAGCTTGTCTGAAGAAGGATAAGGGGTATCTTTCAATCAACTCATCCAATAATACTGGAGTTGGGGGGTGGAAAGCAGCCATGGCCCAAATAACAGAATCCTAGAAGAAAACAATTAGGGAGAAAACAATAAGGAGAAAAAAAAAAAAAAACTCCCAAGCCAGCAGTATCTGGGGTTCTCCGAACAATAGGTGCAATTGTTAAGGGGAGCCATGGAGCCTGGGAACGGCCTCTCCTTACATCATTCTCAGACATCCCGCAGATGCCACAGCTGTAACCACTGTCACTGGGTTACTGGGTCCAGGCCCTGCACACACAGGGAACTCACACCTCCCACGAGGAAAGTCAAGGCTGTGACTTTGCAGAAAGCACTCAGCACAGGGACCCCCATGCCCGTCGTGGTGCCTCCCCAGGAGTACTGTTCTTCCATTCTGCCGACCACAGTCTCTTCTGCTCTTGAGTATGTCCATCGGTGGCTGACAGGTCTCATCTGCTCTGTATCTGAAAAGCTACCTGGCTCAAATACCCCCATCCTTCCTGGCTTCCCACCTCAATCTGTCGCTACACACTGCAAGACCCCCAGGGTCTGCTGCTTTCCCTTGGGGTCTTAGGCAGGTTCTTCGCTCACAGCGGGCTTTGCGTGCTCCTTCTACAGGGGGTGGGAGGATGTCCAAGGTCGGGGTCAAACAGTCTTGGGTTTCAGCTCCGGAGAAACACCTTTTTTTTTTTTAACATTATTTTTATTTTTAATGGTGTTTTTTTTTGTTTTTTTTTTTTTGAGGCAGAGTCTTGCTCTGTCACCCAGGCTGGAGTCCAGTGGTGCGATCTGGGCTCACTGCAACCTCCACCTCCCAGGTTCAAGCGATTCTCCTGCCTCACCCTCCCAAGTAGCTTGGATTACAGGCACCCGCCACCACACCCGGCTAATTTTTGTATTTTTAGTAGAGACCGGATTTCACCATGTTGGCCAGGCTGGTCTCTAACTCTTGACCACAAGTGATCTGCCCGCCTGAGCCTCCCAAAGTGCTGGGATTACAGGTGTGAGCCACTGTGCCCAGCCCAGACTAACACTTACTGTCCATATGACTTTGGAAAAGCTCCTGAGCCCCTCTAAGTCTCCCTTTGCTCATCTGTAAAACAGGACCATTAACAGACTATTTGACAGGATCTGGGAGGATTTACAGATGACACAGGTCGGGCCCTGAGCATGGTGCCAGCCCACAGATGCTCAGTAATGAGTGTGCCTATGATTATTGTCTCAATTGTGTCTTCATTTCATAGATGATCTTTTTTTTTTTTTTTCGAGATGAGGTCTCACTCCGTCACCCAGGCTGGAGTGCAGTGGCACGAACACAGCTCACTGAAGTCTCAGCCTCCTGGGTTCAAGCAATCCTCCTGCCTCAGGCTTCCAAGTAGCTGGGACTATAGGCATGCATCACCAGTTAACTTCTTTGTACTTTTTATAGAGACTAGGTCTTACTATGCTGCCCAGGCTGGTCTCAACCTCCTGGACTCAAGTGATCCTCCTGCCTCAACCTCCCAAAGTGCTGGGATTACAGGAATGGGAATTTGGGACAATGGATGGGGCCAAGAGAGGACCCCCAACATTATAGATAACATTTTGCAATTACCCTTTAGGACCTTGAAAATTAAACTCATAGGTAATATAGCTCACCAACATACAAATTTTATTTTATTTTATTATTTTTTTTTCCTGAGATGGAGTCTTGCTCTGTCGCCCAGGCTGGAGTGCAGTGGTGCTATCTCAGCTCACTGCAACCTCCACCTCCTGAGTTCAAGCAATTCTCCTGCCTCAGCCTCCAGAGTAACTGGGGTTACAGGTGCGTGCCACCACGCCCGGCTAATTTTTGTATGTTTAGTAGAAACGGGGTTTCACCATGTTGGCCAGGCTGGTCTGGAACTCCTGACCTCAAGTGACCCGCCTGCCTTGGTCTCCCAGAGTGCTGGAATTACAAGCGTGAGCCACTGTGCCCAGTCACAAATTTTATTTTCAAAAATGGATATCGTGTCGTGTCCTAACCAAAATATAAAGGGAAAATAAAAAGACAGTAATTTATAATAAAATAATGTCTATGTAAGTGTATAAATGCTCAGGCATGGACACTCCAAAAATCATCTGAGCAGGGCAGACACTAGCCTCTCTGTGTAGATTCACCATGAATGAGATACAAACAAATGGTATGTTGTTTGGAGACAGATACCACAAGCAGCATTGCCTTGAGTGTTGTGGCTTCTAGAATTGGTGAATAACTGAATAAAGTTCTCAGAAAAACCAAGAGCTTGAAGACCAGAATGAACACAGTGGTTGCATTCCAGGAAAAATGAGTGTTATCTTAAAATAATGCAAAAAGCACCTAGTGCTTATATATAAAACATAGCTAGGCTCTGAATTTGGATAATTATAAATGGGTTTTTCTACCTAGATGGGTGTTCAGTGGGACACTGGAAAGTTAAGTGGGGCTCAGAACAGGTCTTGGTGGTGCGAACTGCGAGATATCTGCCATCCCTGGTCCCCACCTACTAAATCCAGCCACACCTCCAATCACGGTGACAAACTCAAAACGCCCTCACCAATTCCAAAACATGCCCTAAGGGAGATTTGCAGAGTCTGAGGGTGTCCAGCCTCTGCAAATCATGCTGGCTTCATCCTGGGATCTTCACTCCATTCTAGCCACTCCAGCCCCCTTGCTGTTCCCAAATTTCAGGATGTCTTTTTTTTTTTTTTTTTTTTGAGATGGATTCTCACTCTGTCACCCTGGCTGGAGTGCAGTGGCCCTAACTCGACTCACTGCAACCTCCACCTTCTGGATTCAAGCAATCCTCCTGCCTCAGCCTCCCAAGTAGCTGGGACTACAGGCACCCACCACTGCGCCCAGCTAATTTTATTTTATTTTATTTTATTTTATTTTATTTTTTATTTTTTATTACTTTTTTTTTTTTTTTTTGAGATGGAGCCTCGCTCTGTCACCCAGGCTGGAGTGCAATGGCATGATCTCAGCTCACTGCAACCTCCGCCTCCCAGGTTCAAGCAATTCTCCTGTCTCAGCCTCCTGAGTAGCTGGGATCACAGGCACCCGCCACCACGCCAGCTAATTTTTGTATTTTTAGGAAAGACGGGGTTTCACCATGTTGCCAAGGCTGGTCTCAACCTCCTGACCTCATGATCCGCCCACCTCAGCCTCCCAAAGTGCTGGGATTACAGGCGTGAGCCACTGTGCCCATCCTGCTAATTTTTGTATTTTTAGTAGAGATGGGGGTGGTTTCACCATCTTGGCCAGGTTGGTCTCGAACTCCTGACCTCAGGTGACCCACCCACCTCGGCCTCTCAAAGTGCTGGGATTACAGGCATGAGCCACCACACCCAGCCACAGTTTCCATATCCTGTGTTCCTCTTCCTGGAAGATTCTTCTTAGTGGTCTCAGCTTCCAAGTCCCATTCCTGAGCCAGCCACTCTTAGAACACCCGGTTCACAGGCCAGCAGGTCTTTACAGTCTAGCGTTTTCTCATTTACTGGTCGCTCTCCTGAACTCGTTCATGAAGCAGGCATAAGGTAGCCTTGGTCACTGCTGAATTTCCAGCACCCAATATGGAGCCTCAGTAACTATGTGTTGAATATCAAGGTGGCCCATGGAGACTGTGGGTGGAAGAAGAACCCCAGGTGCGGTGGGCGGGAGATGAGGCTTTTGCTCGTTCCAAAGGCCAGGAAGGATTTAAGACAATGGATGGGGCCAAGAAAGGGCTATTTTTTTTTTTTTTTTAGAGAGACAGGGTTGGCCAGACGCAGTGGCTTATGCCTGTAATCCCAGCACTTTGGGAGACCGAGGCAGGTGAATCACACCTGAGGTCAGGAGTTCCAGACCAGCTTGTCCAACATGTCAAAATCCCATCTCTACTAATACAAAAAATTAGCCAGGTGTGGTGGTGGGCACCTGTAATCCCAACTACTTGTGAGGCTGAGGCAGGAGAATCACTTGAACCTGGGAGGCGGAGATTGCAGTAAGCCAAGATTGTGCCACTGCACTACAGCTTGGGTGACAGAGCAAGACTCCATCTCATAAAAAAAAAGACAGGGTCCACTCTGTAGCCCAGGCTGGACTGCAGTGGCACAATCATGGCTCACTGAAGCCTAAACCTCCTGGGCTCAAGTGATCTTCCTGCCTCAGCCTCCTCACTAGCTAGGATTACAGGCACATGCCACCATGCCCAGCTGATTTTGTATTATATGTAGAAACAGGGTCTCACTATGTTACCCAGGCTGGTCTCAAACTTCTGGCTTCAAGTGATTCTCTAGCCTCAGCCTCCCAAAATATTAGGATTACAGGCGTGAGCCAGCATGCCTAGCCCAAGAGGGGGCATTCTAAGTGAGATTGTTCTGTGCCAAGTTCCTCTGCCACTTTTAACATCAATTCCCAGTTCCCAGAGTGATTATGAAACCCGACTCTGCCATTTCCTTGTTGTGTGACCTTGGATACATTCCTTAACCTCTCCAAGCTTCATATCTTTCTCTGTAAAATGAAAATACTAGGCCGGGTGCGGTGGCTCACGCCTGTAATCCCAGCGCTTTGGGAGGCAGAGACAGGTGGATCACCTGAGGTCAGGAGTTCGAGACCAGCCTGGCCAATATGGTGAAACCCTGTCTCTGCTAAAAATACAAAAAAAAAAAAAAAAAAAATTAGCCAGGCTTAGTGGTGGGCGCCTGTAATCCCAGCTACTCAGGAGGCTGAGGCAGGAGAATCACTTGAACCCAGGAGGCAGAGGTTGCAGTGAGCTGAGATCGTGCCATTGCACTCCAGCCTGGGCGACATAGCAAGACTCCGTCTCAAGTAAATAAATAAATAAAATAAATCAGGTCATGTTGTTATTATTATTTTTGTCTTTTTATTTTTTGTAGAGACAAGGTCTCGCTATTTTGCCCACGCTGGCCTAGAGGTCCTGGGCTCAAGCGATCCTCTTTCCTCAGCCTCCCAAAGTGCCAGGATTACAGGTGTGAGGCACTGCGCCCAGCCTGGCTGCTATGATGATTAGGAATAACTCTGAAGTCTATGAAGGGTGCAGCCCCTCCAGCCTAGGGGTGGGGGATATTTGCAGACATGGACTTTCTTTGAACAGATAGGGAAACTGAGGCACAGAGAATGGAAGTGTCTTCCCAGAGGTCACAGAGCACCTTGGCAGCAGAGCTGGGACCAGAGATCAGGGGAATGACCTCCTTCCACATCTCTGTGAAGAACTAAAGTCAGATGGGGGTTATGGGCAGGGAGTGAGCCCTTTAAATCCTAAGCTCCACCTTTACTTAGAAGAGTCTCTGGGCGTTATAAAAGGGGATGCAGCTCCCTTCTGCTCTGGGAAACGCCTGCTGCTCTTGCCCTTGCCCACGGGCCCCCAGCCCCAGCCCCTCTCCTGTGGCCCACCACCCCTGCTTTGGTGCCATGCAGCTGCCACCCTTCGACATGTGGAAGGACTACTTCAACCTGAGCCAGGTGGTGTGGGCGCTGATCGCAAGTCGGGGTCAAAGGCTGGAGACCCAAGAGATTGAGGAGCCAAGTCCCGGGCCTCCGCTGGGGCAGGATCAGGGGCTGGGGGCGCCAGGGGCCAACGGGGGCCTGGGGACCCTGTGCAACTTCTGCAAGCACAACGGGGAGTCCCGCCACGTCTACTCCTCACACCAGCTGAAGACACCGGATGGCGTGGTGGTGTGTCCCATCCTGAGGCACTACGTGTGTCCCGTGTGCGGGGCCACCGGTGACCAGGCCCATACGCTCAAGTACTGCCCGCTTAACGGTGGCCAGCAGTCCCTCTACCGCCGCAGCGGGCGCAACTCGGCCGGACGCAGGGTCAAGCGCTGAGCATCGTGAGATGCTCACCACCCGCACCCCTGACCCTCCTGGTCCATCCCACCCAAGTCCCTAAACTCTCTCTTCCAGTCACCCAGCCCTTTGGAATTTCTGGCCCCCAGAACTCCACCCTGGCTGGATCCTGAAACAGTGGAGGCTGCTGGGAGCCAGGCCAGCCCCGCCCCCTTGGACCTGTCAGCCCTCGGAGCTCTGGCCTGTGGGCGTTGGCCTGAGGGTCCTTGGTGCCGCGGGAACCCTTCCTGCACGGCCCTGTAGCGCCCTCTGGGCCCCGGTTCATGGATCTTTTGTCCTCGTGGGGCCTGCTGGTGACTGGAGCCCTGCCCCTTCGACTTCTCTGTTCCTTGTGGAGTTCTTGGATTTTTGAACCTCCAGGATTCCACGGTGCTGTCCCAAGCCAGCCCTTAGGAGATACTGAACAAGGCTGGCTGAGAAGTGCCTACTCAAGAACTTCAAGATGGGATGTCGACTTAAGACCAGCCTTCTCCATCTTCAGCCTCCTGCAGAACCACGGTGTCATCGTGGACCACGCCTGTTCATTCCTTCCCTGACCTCAGTACCCATCCGTCAGGAGCGGAGTAGGACTCTGGAGAGCACCGTATCACTGGAGGGCACCGTGTCTTCGCAGGCTCACCTGTGGATGGAGAGCCGTGGGGTGAGCTGACACCTTTCAATGCCCCCTGGTTGTTCTTCCCCTTGTTCAGCCCATTGCACCCGGTACCTGCCCCCATCCCCAAATCACCGATGGGTCCTTTCCCCCAGCGAGAAGCATATCTCTCGACCACCTCCCGTCCGACCCCCCAAATCGTGATAGTTGACTAAAGGACATTTTTTTTTCCTCCTGTGTTTTTCAACCTCCAACGTTCAAGTCAAGGAACCGCCGATAAGAAGGGGGTTTGAGTACCCGGATGGGAATGGCAATGGCCTAGCTTTTATTTTAGGGGCAAAGAGAAGAAGGGCCCCCGTCAGATTTTAAGTTGTTCAGTTTTTGGCACAGGGTCGGGACCCTGAGTATTGAGCTCTGGTGAATAAAAAGGTTTTCTAGTCGTCTTTGAAATGGCTGTATCTGTTTCCGTCTTTGGTTTGTTTGTGAGACAAGGTCTTGCTCTGTCGCCCAGGCTGGAGTGCAGTGGTGCGATCTTGGCTCACTGCCCGGATTCAAGTGATTATCCTCCCTCAGCCTCTTGAATAGCTGGGACTACAGGTGCGCCCCACCACGCCTGGCTAATTTTTTTTTTTTTTTTTGAGACGGAGTTTTGCTGTTGTCGCCCAGGCTGGAGTGCAATGACGCGATCTCGGCCCACTGCAACCTCTGCCTCTCGGGTTCAAGCGATTCTCCTGCCTCTCAGCCTCCGGAGTAGCTGGGATTATAGACATGCACCACCACGCCTGGCCATTTTTGTATTTTTAGTAGAGACGGGGTGACCGAGTAGGCGGGACTACAGGTGCACGCCACCACACCCAGGTAATTTTTATTTTTGGTTTTTGTTTTTTCTTTTTTGAGATGGAGTTTCGTTCTTGCTGCCCAGGCTGGAGTGCCAATGGTGCGGTCTCGGCTCACTGCACCATTGAACCTCCCAGGTTCAAGCGATTCTTCTGCCTCAGCTTCCCAAGTAGCTGGGATTACAGGCGCCCACCAACACGCTCGGCTAATTTTTTTTTTTTTTTTGTATTATTAGTAGAGACGGGGTTTCACCATTTTGGCCAGGCTGGACTCGAACTCCTGACCTCAGGTGATCCGCCCACCTCGGTCTCTCAAAGTGCTGGGATTGCAGGCATGAGCCACTGCGCCTGGACTTTTTTGTTTGTTTGTTTGTTTGTGATGGAGTCTCGCTCTGTCACCCAGGCTGGAGTGCCGTAGCCCGATATCGGCTCACTGTAACTAACCTCTGCCTCCCGGGTTCAAGCGATTCTCCTGCCTCAGGCTCCAGAGTGCCTCACACCTGCCTAATTTTATATATATACATATATATTTTTTTAGTGGAGATGGGGCTTCGCCATGTTGGCCAGGCTGGTCTTGAACTCCTGACCTCAGGTGATCTGCCCTTCTCGGCTTCCCAAAGTGCTGGGATTACAACGTGAGCCACTGCGTCAGGCCTCTGTTTCCATCCTCTCATCTGGCTTTGTCCTCAGCGGCTGCGTGAAGGAGCAGGTAGCTGCATTGGCCAGATCCAACACGGGGAACACGGAGGCAGGACAGGAAGGGGCTTTGGGTTCCCCTCCCAGCCGGCCCCTGATACATCCGCCACCTATGAACTGGCTCTCAAATTCCTCCTGTGCCTTTGCCTTGATCCCCATTCCCTTTTCATGTCATGTCTATGGGTTTCTCTGGCCCTGTGAACCCCCGGGATCTTCCAGGACCGGCTTTTTGGTAATTCTTAAACTTTGAGCTCCCAGACCCCATTGGCGAGGTGTTGAAAATTGTGGTCCCTGCCCTGTGCAGTGGCTAACGCCTGTAATCCCAACACTCGGAGAGGCGGAGGTGGGAGAATCACTTGAGACCGTGAATTTGAGACTAATCTGGTCAATATAGTGAGAACCCGTTTCTACAAAAAATACAAAACAATAGTCAGGCATGCTGGAGTCTTGCTTTGTTGCCCAAGCTGGTCTCGAACACTTGGCTTCAAGCGATCCTCCCATGCCTGTTGGGATTACAGGTGTGAGCCACTGCGCCCGGCCCGTTTCCCTTGTTTTAAACCACTCAGTTTGCAGTACCTTGTCATGACAGCTACAGGAAAGGAATGCACTGGGGCTCTGGGGAGGCATCCAGGGAGTCTGGACTGAAGTAGGTGCGTGTCAAAGTCCGGCCTGGAGCCTGTGAGAAGGCTGCATGCAGAGAGTTATGGGAAGAGGTACAGAGAGCTTTGCTGCTGTGGACAGGTCGAGGCCAGGTGCAGGACAGCTGGTCATTCTCCTGCATCTGCCCCATTCCTGCAGTTACCTCCCATGAACCTGAGACCAGGCAGGCAGGCAGATGGAGAGCACACAGGGCAGCCTCCTGGGCTCAGAGAAGATACAAAGAGGCAGAGTGGGCATGCAGGGGCCACTGGAGACTTGTGCGTGGCGCCCGTGTGCATCAGACACCATCTCGCCCACCCCTGAGGAAATCAGAGAAGACAGCAGGGAGACTCCATGCAGAGAAGCAAATGCTTCAGAACGGCCTCTTCCCTCCAGCACCACTTTGGGCTTAGGAGAGAGAGTAGGGGAATAGTTCTACACCCACAAAGAACCAGGGCAGGAAAATTAGATCCACTAAGGATAGACCTAGAGCCTCACAGAGTCCCCAGTGTGCTCTGAAGTATATAAGGCCAAGGCTTTGTCTCTGCACCTCACACTCCCACAGTGGCCAAGAGTGCCTACCACTGTGTTGGTCTCTGAAACTGGATTTGTGCACACGTGGGGTTCCAGGGGTTCTGGTGAGTGGTGACCATAGATTAGAGCCTATTTCCAATGCTAACCAGTATCTGGCCCATTCTAGAGAATTTTATACAAAGGAAGGGAAAAGATTGCACTTTTTTTTTTTTTTTTTTTTTTGGGACAGAGTCTCAGTCTGTCACCCAGGCTGGAGTGCAGTGGCATGATCTCGGCTCACTGCAACATCCACCTCCCGAGTTCAAGCAATTCTCCTGCCTGCCCAGCTTACCAAGTAACTGGGACTACAGGCATGCGCCACCACGCCCAGCTAATTTTTGTATTTTTAGTAGAGATGGGGTTTCATCATGTTGCCCAGGCTGGTCTCGAACTCCTGACCTCAAATGATCTACCTGCCTAGGCCTCCCAAAATGCTGGGATTACAGGAGTGAGCCACTGCACCCAGCCAAGATCGCACTATTAACAAAAGTCTTTATTTTTAATTTGTACTAAGAATGTTGAGAGATCACTTTTAGGTTTATCATTCAGTTTCTCCTTCTCTCTGCCCTCCCGCAAAAAGTCTTGCTCTGTCACCCAGGCTGGAATGCAGTGGAGTGGTCATAGCTCACAGCAGCCTCGAACTCCTGGCCTCAAACAATCTTCCCTCCTAGGCCTCACAAAGTGCTGGGATTACACACATGAGCCACTGTGCCCGATCCAGATTCTCTCTTAACGTGTCTCTCCATCTGTCGTTTTTGCCTTCTTCTTCCGCCCTCCTTTCTTTCTCCTTTCTCCCTCCCCACATTCCTTCCTTCCTTCCCTTCTTTCCTTCCCTCCTCCTTATCCAGTCCAAAACAGAAATCTCACATTCATTAGGAAATCCTCTTGGCTCTAGCTTCAACATCCATCCCAAATCTGACCATCTCTTCTCCAGCACACTACCTTCCAATGCCCCACCACCTCTCACCCAGAGTACTGCAGTCACCTCCTCAATGATCTTCCTGCTTCTACTCTCAACCCCTAAGGGTATATTTTCAGGCTGGGCACAGTGTCTCATTCCTATAATCCCAGCACTTTGGGAGGCCGAGGCAGGTGGATCAGTTGAGGCCAGGAGTTCAAGACCAGCCTGGTCAACATGGCGAAACCCCGTCTCTGCTAAAAATCAAAAATTAGCCAGGCATGATGGTGCACACCTGTAATCCCAGCTACCTGGGAGGCTGAGGCACAAGAATCTTTGAGCCTGGGAGGCGCAGGTTGCAGTGAGCCAAGAAGGCGCCACTGCACTCCATCCTGAGCAACAGAGGGAGACTGTCTCAAAAAAAAAAAAAGTATATTTTATTTTCTTTCTCTCTTTTTTTTTTTTTGAGATGGAGTCTCACTCAGTCTCCCAGGCTGGAATGCAGTAGCATGATCTCGGCCCACTGCAACCTCCATCTCCCAGGTTCAAGCAAGTCTCCTGCCTCAGGCTCCCGAGTAACTGGGATTCCGGGTGACCGCTATCACGCCTGGCTAATTTTTGTATTTTTAGTAGAGATGGGGTTTTGCCATGTTGACCAGGCTGGTCTCAAACTCCTGACCTCAAGTGATCCACCTGCCTCGGCCTCCCAAAGTGTTGGGATTACAGGTGTGAGCCACTGTGCCCAGCCAAGAGTATATTTTCAAAACCCAACAAAAGTGATCCCATTAAAACACAAGCCAGCTCATCTCCCTCCTCTGCTCAGAGCCCTCCTGTGGTCACTGTCTCACTCTGACTAAAAGCCAAAATCCTCATCTCAGCCCACAAGGCCCCACACAATCTGCCTCTCACCCAAGTCTGGCTCTTTTCCCACCCTCTCCCGTTTGCTCAGTCTTCTCCAGCCACTTTGGCCTCTAAGCTGTTCCCCGAACACTTCTGGAACATTCTGGCCTCGAGGCCTTTGCACTCACCCTTCCGGCTCCTTGGACAGCTCTTGGACCAGATACTCACATGGCCTACTCTGCCACTTCTTGCAAGCCTTTGCTCAAAGGCCGCCACCTCCCCGAGGCCTTCCCACCCACATATTCCTGATCCCTCCAACCCATCTCTACTTTTCTTACCTCCTTAGCACTTACCACCATCTAACATGCCACATGGCTGAGTTGTTTATTATGTCTCTGGTTGCAATGGTCAGTTTCACATGTCAGCTTGTCTAGACCGCTGTCCCCAGTCATTCAGTCAAATATGAATCCAGCTGCTGCTGTGAAGATATCTCATAGATGTGATTAAAGACTATAATTAGTTTACCTTAAGGAAGGAAATTTATCCTAGATAATCTGAGGGGGCGGTGGCTCATACCTGTAATCCCAGCACTTTCGGAGGCTAAGGCAGGTGGATCCCCTGAAGTCAGGAGTTCAAGACCAGACTGGCCAACATAGTGAAACCCTGTCTCTACTAAAAATACAAAAATCAGCCAGGCATGGTAGCATGCACCTATAGTCCCAGCTACTCGGAAGGCTGAGGCAGGAGAGTCACCTGAACCCGGGAGGTGGAGGTTGCAGTGAGCCAAGATCGCACCACTGCACTCCAGCCTGGGTGACAGAGTGAGACTCTGTCTCGAGTAATAATAATAATAATAGGCCAGTGCAGTGGCTCACGCCTGTAATCCCAACACTTTGGGAGGCCGAGGCAGGCGGATCATCTGAGGTCAGGAGTTCGAGACCAGCCTGACCAACATGGTGAAACCCCGTCTCTACTAAAAATACAAAAAAATTAGCTGGGCATGGTGGTGGGCGCCTGTAGTCCCAGCTACTCGGGAGGCTGAGGCAGGAGAATTGCTTGAACTGGGGCAGCGGAGGTTGGCAGTGAGCTGAAATCGTGCCACTGAACTCCAACCTGGGCGACAGAGCAAGACTCCGTCTCTATAAATAATAATAATAATCTAAGTGGGCCTGCTGCAATCAGTCAAAAGGTTTTCAGAGCAGAGCCGAAGCTTCCCTGAGGAAATTCCGCCTGTAGACAGTGGCTTCAGTTCACGCCCAAAGCTCCAGCCTGCACTTTCCGATGGTGCCCTGTGTATGGATTTTGAAGTTGCTTAGCCGGCCCTACAATCCTGTAAGCCAATTCCTTGCAACAGATCACTTCATACATACCCCCTACTGGCTCTGTTCCTCCGTGTTATCCCTGATTGAAGTGAGCTACTTCCTGTCCATCCACCATCCCCAGCTAGAAAGGAAGCTCTGAGAGTGGAGTTCAGTATTTTATTCACTGCTGTATCCCAGGTGCCTACGGCCAGCACTTTTTTTTTTCTTTTTTTTTGAGACAGAGTTTCGCTCTTGTTGCCGGGCTAGAGTGCAGTGGCACCATCTCAGCTCACTGCAACCTCCGCTCTGGTTCAAGCGATTCTCCTGCCTCCACCTCCCAAGTAGCTGGGATTATAGGCGTGCACCACCACACCCGGCTAATTGTGTATTTTTCGTAGAGACGGGGGTTCACCATGTTGGCCAGGCTGGTCTCGAACTCCTGACCTCATCATCCACCCGCCTCAGCCTTCCAAAGTGCTGGGATTACAGGCATGAGCCACCATACCTGGCCCCTTCTTTTTTTTTAAGACAGGGTATCAGCCAGTGCAGTGGCTCGCACCTGTAATCCCAGCATTTTGGGAGGCTGAGGCAGTAGGATCACTTGAGCCCAGGAGTTCAAAACCAGCCTGGGTGATGTAGCAGGACCTCATCTCTATCTTTTAAATTAAAAAAAAAAAAAGAAGAAAAGAAAAGACAGAGTCTCGCTCTGTCGTCCAGGCTGGAGTGCAGTGGCAAGATAATAGCTCGCTGCAGCCTGAACTCCTGGCCTCAAGCAATCCTCCTACCTCAGCCTCCCAAAGTGCTGGGATTACAGGCATGAGCAACCAGGCCCAGCCCTAGGGCAGCACTTGATATGCTTGTTGCATCCATTTCTTTTAGCATTAAAACAACACAAAACAAAACAAAAATTTAGCTTCCACTCCGCCTCTGCCTCCAGCCCTCTTCCACATACCTGATGGGTTCCTGGATGCTCTTCCTCATTCCCCAAACCTCCCCAGGCCTTTCATACCCACCACATCCCAAACCACTTCAGCATCTTACCCCCACATCTGCTACCCCTCAAGTCCCCATCTTGGCCGGCCCTACCATGTAATGTACCCTGTCTCCAGGGCCAGAGATCTAGGCTTTTTCCCTCACCCCTCACAGCCCATCAGGTTCCAAGTCCTGTCCATTCTTCCTCCTAAATATCTCTCCTTGCAACTTCCTAAGTATTTTCCTGGACTCACTAATGGGTCAAGATTCACAGTTTTGGCTGGACTCAGTGGCTCACGCCTGTAATCCCAACACTCTTGGAGGCTGAGGCCTCACAGAGGATTGCTCAAGCCCAGGAATTTGGGACCAGCCTAGGCAACACAGTGGGATCTTGTCTCTACAAAAAATTTTAAAACTTAGCCGGGCATGATGGTGTGTGCCTGTAGTTCCAGCTACTCTAGAGGCTGAGGTGGGAGGGTGAGCCTGGAAGTTTGAGTCATGATTGCATGATTGTACCACTGCACTCCAGTCTGGGTCATAGAGCAAGTCTCTGTCTCAAAAAAAAAAAAAAAAAAGGACTCACAACTCACAGTTTTGAAAATGTGGCCCTTCGCCAGGCACAGTGGCTCATGCCTATAATCCTAGCACTTTGGGAGGACAAGGCAGGTGGATCATCTGAGGTCAGGTGTTTGAGACCAGCCTGGCCAACACGGGTGAAATCCCATCTCTACTAAAAAAAAAACAAAAATTAGCCAAGTGTGGTGGCGTGCCCCTGTAGTCCCAGGTACTCAGGAGGCTGAGACAGGAGAATCGCTTGAACCAGGGAGGCAGAGGTTGCTGTGAGCCGAGATCGCACCATTGCTCTCCAGCCTGGGCGACAAGAGCAAAACTCCATCAAGAAAAGAAAAGAGGCAAGACAAGAAAGAAAATGTGGCCCTAGAAAGCCTTCCCTGACCCACCCTCACCCCAGGAGTCTTGCCCTCTGACTTCCTGCATCCAGCTTCCAGCTACCCACATCTGTGGAGCTCCATACCCCACTGCTGTGGCTCTCCACCTCCCACCGCCTCGTGAACCCAGAGCCAGGTTTAGACTCAACTCTCTGCCTGGACTGCCATGGAGGCAGCAGCTCCCTGAATGCAGCTCCCCGAATGCCTTCCCGGGGTCCCCAGTGCATTTGTTTCCTGTGGCTGCCATGACAAGGTACCGCAAACTGGGTGGTTTAAAACGAGAAACGTGGCTAGGCACGGTGGCTCACACCTGTAATCCTAGCACTTTGGGAGGCCGAGACAGGCGGATCACCTGAGGTAAGGAGTTCAAGACCAGCCTGGCCAACACTGTGAAACCCCGTCTCTACTAAAAATACAAAAATTAGCTGGGCATGGTGGCATGCGCCTGTAATCCCAGTTACCCGGGAGACTGAGGCAGGAGAATCACTGGAATCCGGGAGGCAGAGGCTGCAGCGAGCCGAGATCGTGCCACTGTACTCCAGCCTGGGCAACAGAGCAAGACTCCATTTCAAAAAAAAAAAAAAAACAGAGAGAGAGAAACGTATTGTCTCCCAGATTCACCAGGCTGAAAATCCGAAATCAAGGCATGGGCGTGGCCTCACTCCGGACAAGGCTCCAGCGGGTGATCTTTCCTGGCTTCTTCCAGCTTCTGATAGCACAGGGCCTTCCTGGGCTTGTGGCTGCGTCACCCCCGTCTCCACTTCTGTCACCATAGAATTGTCTTCCCTGTGTGTCTCCTCTTCTTATAAAGACACCGGGAATGAGGAATGACGGGTCCACCCTACACTGGTATGGCTACCTCTCAACGAATTCCCTCTCCAAGGACCCTATTTCCAAATAAGGTCACATTCTGAAGCACTGGGGGATCAGGACTTCAGCCTCTCTTTTTGGGGGAAACAGTTCAACCTGTTGGTCACTTTACACTCACGTATCTTTTTTTGATTGTGTTTTTTTTGTTGTTGTTCTTATTTTTTTAATTTAATTTTTTTTTGAGGCAGAGTCTCACGCTGTCCCCCAGGCTGGAATGCAGTGGCGCAGTCTCAGCTCACTGCAAGCTCAGCCTCCCGGGTTCATGCCATTCTCCTGCCTCAGCCTCCCGAGTAGCTGGGACTTCAGGCGCCTGCCACCACTCCCGGCTAATTTTTTGTATTTTTAGTAGAGACGGGGTTTCACCATGTTAGTCAGGATGGTCTCAATCTCCTGACCTCGTGATCCACCTGCCTCGGCCTCCCAAAGTGCTGGGATTACAGGAATGAGCCACTGCGCCCGGCCTTTTTTTTAATTTTTTTGAGACAGAGTCTCACTCTGTCGCCCAGGCTGGAGTGCAGTGGTGAGATCTCGGTTCCCTGCAATCTGTGCCTCCTAGGCTCAAGAGATTCTCCTGCCTCAGCCTCCCGAGTAGCTAGGATTACAGGCACATGGCACAACACCCAGCTATTTTTTTTTTTTTTGAATTTTTAATAGAGACAGGGTTCCACCATGTTGGCCAGGCTGGTCTCGAACTCCTGACCTCAGATGATCCACCTGTCTCAGCCTCCCAAAGTGTTGGGATTACAGGCGTGAGCCACTGCACCCAGCCTTACATTCACCACATCTTACCTGACCCCACACCCCCAAGTGAGAACCTGGGCCAGAGACTTGGGTTTCACCTAGACATCTTCCTTTCCCTCGCTAGCGCGACACTCACCATGCTTTCCATATATTCTCTCAAATGTCTCTCCGTGTCCCCCTTGACACTGTCCCTGTCTTAGTTTAGTCTCCCCTCGCTTTCCTAATCCTTTTCTTACCCCTGCTCATGACTTTTTTTGACTCTACCCAGTAGTCTTGCTCCCTCCCACCCACCCTCCACACAGCAGGCAGAGGGGCCTTTTTTTTCTCTCTCTCTTCTTTTGAGACAGGGTCTTACTCTGTTGCCCAAGCTGGAGAGCAGTGGCCTGATCATAGCTCACTGCAGCCTGCAACTCCTGGGCTCAAGCGATCCTCCCGCCTCAGCCTCCCAAGTAGCTGGGACTACAGGCATGTATTTTTTTTTTTTTTTTTTTTGAGACGGAGTCTCACTCTGTCGTCCAGGTGGAGTGCAGTGGTGCAATCTCAGCTCACTGCAACCTCTGCCTCCCGGGGTTAAGCGATTCTCGTGCCTCAGCCTCCCGAGTAGCTGGGATTACAGGCATGCACCACCATGCCCAGCTAGTTTTTGTATTTTCAGTAGAGATGGGGTTTCACTGTGTTGGCCAGGCTTGTCTCGAACCCCTGACCTCAGGTAATCCGCCCGCCTTGGCTTCCCAAAGTGCTGGGATTACAGGCGTGAGCTCCACCGCGCCCGGCCCAGGCTACGGATTTTAGCTTTTATGTTCATTGTACCAGGAACTGTGTAAGTGCTCATGTATATTTATTGAGTCGATGAATGAAGCACCAATTGTCGAATGACCTTGAGGACTCCTGCAGGATGCTAACGAACACACTTCTCAGCCGGACTGAGCTCCATCATCCTGCCATGCGGCTCACCCCACCTGCGTTCTGGCTTCATTCCTGTCTCCATGCACTTGCTTAAAGTCGTGCCGGCGTCAGGATCTCCCTTCCTACCAGCCAGGAAGCTCTTCCCTCTTATTTTCCCCGCTCCTCGAGGTAAAGGTGCGCACAGAGGGGCCCCCAAGGCGTGACTGGAAGGCTTGTGGGTCGCTATGGTTACTGCATCCGCCCGGGGCGGGACATCCCCAGGACGCCCAGCCTCTAGGGGTGCGAGGTGGGAAGCTCTGGAGCGGCCCAGCGCAGGGGCGGGCAAGCCAGGAGGCAAAGCGGTTTCCTCACGCCTCCACCCCACCCACACAGTTGTCAAGGAGACAAAGCGCTTCCCTTCAGCGCTGTCTCCCTCCCCTTTGGTTAGAGGGCAGGGTGGGCTGGAAGACTGTCCGAAAGGTTGGGTACTGGCGCGCTCCCAGCATCTCTCCCATCCAAGCTCGCAACGCCTGCGCCGAGACCCGGTACCGGGTACAACCCGAGGCACGCGCATGCGCGCGATGGAGTTTTTGCGCGTGCGCCGTTGTGGCCCCAGGAAGCTGGGGTACCCGCGCGGCGCTAACGTTGCGGCTGCGCAGTTGCGGCCTGCTGGTGGGGCTCGGCGGAGCGCAGTTCTGCGCCTGCGCTGTGCTGGGGTAGGTGGGAATGAAACCCTGGCGGTAAGGGCATTGGGGCCGACTGGCCCTGGGCGCGCCTGCGCCTTGGCATGCGGGGCGGCCGGAGGCGGGGCCGAAAGAGGGGAGGGAGGGAGGCGGGGGGTGGGAACAGGCCGCAGAAGCCCGAGCCCTGACCCACCGGCGGCTGCGGCGGAGCCGGTGAGTGACCCGTGGCCCGACTCGGTCCCCACCCTCCGCGACCTTCGCTCTCCCTGCCGTCCCCCGTAGCCTCCGTTGTCTCCTTGTGATACGGGACCCCCGTTATTTCCAGAGCTCCCCTTAATTTCTGGCAATCCCCAGAGCCCCCACAATCCTCGCAGACCCTGATCCCTAATATTTGATCGTTCCAGCTCTTCCAGTGATACAGGAGCTCCCACCTCACCATTATTCCTGGACATCCCTCTAAGGGCCCTTCTCATATCGGTCTTACAGACGCCCCGTTGCCCCCTAGAGCCCCTAGAGCGCCTCCTCTGCTCCAGATTCCCCCCTTCTTGCTGCATCCCCCCTTCCGCATCTCCTTATCTTCATGCATCTAAGACCCCCCCGAGGCACCCCCATCCTCCCTCCATTTCCTATCCTCCCGTGCCCCCATTCTCTAACTCCTGCAGACACCTCCTCTCCTCGCACTTTTCCTCCTTTCCTTCCATCCCTCCAGACCCTCCCCCAATTTCTATCAACTCTTCAGCGTGGCACTTCGCGCCGCGCGAAGTCCGAGCCAAGCGCTCAGCCGGTGTCAGCTACTCTTAGGCGCTTCCGACTTACCCGGGTGCCCGTCGCCCCCGCCCGCCCCCCGCCCCCACTCCTGCCCCCGGGGACTAAGGAGCTCTCGGCCCGGCGGTCTGGGAGAGGCGGCGGCGGGGGGACCCCGAACCCCAGCCAGCCCCGTGCGCCCTTTGCCCGCAGCGCCGGCGCCCCCCATGCGCCAGACGGCAGGACGGCGGCGTCGGGGGGCGCCATGGCCTCGGCGGCGGCGGGCGAAGCGGAGGAAACCACCCGGTTGCGCAAGCCGCGCTTCTCATTCGAAGAGAACCAGATCCTGATCCGCGAGGTGCGCGCCCACTACCCGCAGCTCTACGGCGCGCAGAGCCGTCGGGTGAGCGTGGCAGAGCGGCGGCGCGTGTGGGACGGCATCGCCGCCAAGATCAACGGTATCACCAGCTGGAAGCGCACGGGCCAGGAGGTGCAGAAGCGCTGGAACGACTTCAAGCGCCGCACCAAGGAGAAGCTCGCTCGCGTGCCGCACTCCACGCAGGGCGCCGGGCCCGCCGCGGAGGACGCTTTCTCCGCGGAAGAGGAGACCATTTTTGCCATCCTGGGGCCAGGTGTGGCGGCGCCGGGGGCAGGTGCTGGGGCGGAGGAGCCCCCTGCGGCCCCCTCTTCACAGCCGCCGCCCCCAAGCGCCTGCCCTCAGCGCTACGTGTTGTCGGAAGACCGCCGGGAGGACCGACGTGCAGGTGAGTGTCTTCAGAGTAGGCTGTGTGCCTGCGCTGTTGCAAGCCTTTTACATGTCTCATCAAAGCCTTGCTGCAGCCCTGTGAGGTGGATGCTGTCCTTCGCCCCATTTTATAGCTAGGGAAACTGAAGCTCAGAAAAATGAAATGACTTGCCTCAGTTCCGATAGCTAGTAACTGTCAAGAGCCAGGAATGGAACCAGATTTAGGAGGCCTGACTCAGGTCCACACCTGGGGTCATCAGCACAGGCAGGATTTCATTAAATGCAGTGTCGAGTAGTGACTCTGGAGGCAGGCTGCCTGGGCTCCGATCACAACTTTGCCACTGAACTGTGTCATCTGAGTAAGTTACTGTACTTCAGTTGCTGCATCTGTAAAATGGAGATAAAAATAGTCTGCACCTCAAAGCGTTGCTGTGAAGATTAAATGAGCTAATATGGGTAAGTTGCTTAGTTCAGCACCTCCTCAACTCTCATTGTTAGTTCTTGATAGAATCATCAATGCGGTAAGATGCATACTATTTCACTATTTCATAAATAAAAGACTCAGACATGTTTGGTAATTTTCCCAAGGTCATGCCTTGGATAGAGGTGTGGAGAGCTGACTACAGAAACTTCCTGCTTAGCCTTGATTCTGGATTATTTCTTCTACAGCCGTTCCCTGAGCACCTGCCCCATGCTCGATGAGGTTGGGGACACATGGATGACTGAGCCAGTCTAGTAGGGGGGTGGGGAAGACGGTGATGACTTGAGGGAGCAGGGCTGGGGTAGGGGATCCCAGGGACTGTGGGAGCCCAGAGAGGGTTTCTGATTTCGGTGGGGGGGGGGGTGGTCCAGGAGGGCTTCCTGGAGGAGGGGACATCAGAGCTGAGATGCAAAGAGTAAGAATGAAGAACTGGGAAAGTATTTTTGGTAGAGGGAACAGCATGTACAATGGCTTGGAGGCAAGAAAGCTTGGCCAGTTTGGGAAACTAAAAGAAGTTGCGGGGAAAAGAGTGTAGAGTGGAAAGGTTGAAGAAAAGTAACATTTTGAGATGAGTTCAGAGAGGTCAGCAAAGGCCAGACCATACTGGGCCTTTAGGCCAAGGTGAGGAGTTTGGATTTTATCCTGACTGCTATGAGAAGCCACTGAAGAGTTTGGAGAAGGGGAGGAACATGGGCATGATCAAACAAGACAGTTCAAGATTATGTGATTCAGAGAGGTTCATTCACCCACCCAAGGTCACACAGCAAGTAAGTGACAGAGTCAGGACTCAAGCATAAGTGTGCGTCCAACCCCCAGTCCATGGCACTTAACCACTGAGCAAGATTGCCCAGCAATAACAAGAGTTAATATTGACCAGGAGTTAATGAGTGTGCCAGAATTAGATTACACGTGGCTTGGAAGTCAAGGTCAGGAATTTGGACTTACTATTTTTTTTGTTTTGTTTTTTGTTTTGAGACGGAGTCTTGCTCTGTTGCCCAGGCTGGAGTGCAGTGGCGAAATCTTGGCTTGCTGCAACCTCCGCCTCCCCAGGTTCAAGTGATTCTCCTGCCTCAGCCTCCTGAGTAGCTGGGATTACAGGTGCCTGCCACCATGCCCAGGTAATTTTTGTATTTTTAGTAGAGATGGGATTTCACCATGTTGACCAGGCTGGTCTGGAACTCCCGACCTCAGGTGATCCACCCACCTCGGCCTCCCAAAGTGCTGGGATTACAGGCCTGAGCCACCACGCCCGGCCTGGACTTGCTCTTGAGGGCATTCAGGAGGCATGAAAATCTCCTAAGCAGGAAGGTGACACAATCACATGGGACCCTTGTTCTCAAACCTTGAATCAAACCTCAGTGTTTCCATCTGTGAGATGGCCCCATAGGACCAGAGCAGAGATGGCCAACTTATTTTTTCAGAAACTTGTTACCACTTCATTCACTCGTTTAGCAAATATATATTGAGAACCTCATCCAAGGCAGACGCTGTGGTAGGTGCAGGGAATAATGTAGAGAAAAAGACAAAATCCCCTTCCCTTATGGAACCGACATTCTTTTTTTGTTTGCTTGTTTGTTTGTTTGTTTGAGACTGAGTTTTGCTCTTATTGCCCAGGCTAGAGTGAAATGGCGCAATCTCGGCTCACCGCAACCTCCGCCTCCCAGGTTCAAGCAATTCTCCTGCCTCATCCTCCCGAGTAGCCGAGATTACAGGCATGCGCCACCATGCCTGGCTAATTTTGTATTTTTAGTAGAGATGGGGTTTCTCCATGTTGGTCAGGCTGGTCTCGAACTCCCGACCTCAGGTGATCTGCCCGCCTTGGCCACCCAAAGTGCTGGGATTACAGGCGTGAGCCACCACACCCGACCTGGAGCTGACATTCTATGTAGTTGGAGGAAACAGACCACAAAGAAGTCCCAAAACAGACTGTATACCAGGAGGTGGTGAGAACTAAGAGGATAAATAAGTCATATTCAGAGGATGGTGAGTCATGGAAGGGGGCTATACAGACAGGGTAATCAGGGAGGGCTTCTCTGAGAAGGTGAAATTCAAGTAGAGATGGGAATAGAGTAGGCCTGACAGACATCTGGGAGAAGGGCACTCCTGCTAGACTAGAGGAAACAGCACGTGCAAAAGCTCTGAGGCAGGAACACGCGTAGAGCATCCTCGATTAGAATCTTACACAGGCCTGGCCAGGCACGGTGGCTCACGCCTGTAATACTAGTTCTTTGGGAGGCTGAGGCAGGTGGCTTACCTGAGGTCGGGAGTTCGAGACCAGCCTGACCAACATGGAGAAACCCCGTCTCTACTAAAAATACAAAATTAGCCACGCGTGGTGGCGCATGCCTGTAATCCCAGCTACTCAGGAAGGCTGAGGCAGGAGAATCGCTTGAACCCGGGAGGCAGAGGTTGCAGTGAGCCATGATCGCGCCATTGCACTTCAGCCTGGGCAACAAGAGCAAAACTCAGTCTCAAAAAAAAACAAAAAAAAGAACCATACACAGGCCTGGCATGGTGGCTCACGCCTGAAATCCCAGCACTCTGTGTAGTACCAGCTCACACACTCATTTACAAGTAGGGAAACTGAGGGCCAGCTGCGGTGGCTCATGCCTGTAATCCCAGCACTTTGGGAGGCCAAGGCGGGCGGATCACCTGAGGTTAGGAGTTCAAGACCAGTCTGGCCAACATGGCGAAACCCCGTCTCTACTAAAAAATACAAAAATTAGCTGGACGTGGTGGCACACGCCTGTAGTCCCAGGTACTCAGGAGGCTGAGGCTGGAGAATCACTTGAACCTGGGAGGTGGAGGTTGCAGTGAGTCGAGATTGTGCCACTGCACTCCAGCCTGGGTGACAGAGCGAGACTCCGTCTTAAAAAAAAAAAAAAAGAAAAGAAAACAAGTAGGGAAACTGAGATCCAAAGTTTGCAAATAAATATGATTTTAACTTTTAAACAGTGGAAGCCAGGCACAGAGGCATGCCTGTAATCCCAGCACTTTGGGAGGCTGAGGTGGGAGGATTGCTTGATCCCAGGAGGGCAAGACCAGCCTGGGCAACAAAGTGAGACCCCATCTCTACAAAATAATCCAAAAATTAGCCAGGCATGGTGGCCGGCGCCTTGGTCCCAGCTACACATGAGGTTGAGGCATGAGGATCCCTTGAACCTGGGAGGCGGAGGTTGCAGTGAGCCATGATCGCACCACTACACTCCAACCTGGGCAACACAGTGAGACCCTTCCTCAAAACAACCAAAAACAAACTCTTGCAGGGGCACTGCTGTGACTCCTGTGAGCCTTGTGGGCATGAAGGCTGGGCTACTTTCTGTTCCTTTTTACTCAGTAGACTGGAAAAGCCACGTTTCTGCAATTCCCACGTTCCTTATAAGGAAGATTTGTCACTCACACCCCAGGCCCACAGCCCTTGCCCAAGGAATGGTTAGGAGCATGGACTCTGGCCTGGTGTGGTGGCTCACACCTGTAATCCCAGCACTCTGGGAGGCCGAGGTACACGGATCCCTTGAGGCCAGGAGTTTGAGACCAGCCTGGCCAATGTGGTGAAACCTTGTCTCTACTAAAAATACAAAAATTAGCCAGGCATGGTGGCATATGCCTATAATTCCAGCTCCTCGGGAGGCTGAGGCAGGAGAATTGCTTGCACTGGGAGGTAGAAATTGCAGGAAACTGAGATTACGCCATTGCACTCCAGCCTGGGTGATGGAGTGAGCCTCTATCTCAAAAAAAAAAAAAGGCCATGGACTCTGGCCAGGAGCAGTGGCTCACACCGGTAATCCCAGCACTTTAGAAGGCCAAGGCGGGAGGATCATTTGAGGCCAGGAGTTTGAGACCAGCCTGGGCAATATAGCGAGGCTCCCATCTCTATAAAACAAAAGAGGCCGGGCGCGGTGGCTCACGCCTGTAATCCCAGCACTTTGGGAGGCCGAGGCGGGTGGATCATGAGGTCAGGAGATCGAGACCATCCTGGCTAACAAGGTGAAACCCCGTCTCTACTAAAAATACAAAAAATTAGCCGGGCGCAGTGGCGGGCGCCTGTAGTCCCAGCTACTCGGGAGGCTGAGGCAGGAGAATGGCGTGAACCCGGGAAGCGGAGCTTGCAGTGAGCCGAGATTGCGCCACTGCAGTCCGCAGTCCGGCCTGGGCGACAGAGCGAGACTCCGTCTCAAAAAAAAAAAAAAAAAAGAATGGACTCTGGAGTCAACCTGGGTTCAAATCCCTTTTCTGCATATCACTCTATGACACCTCTCTCTGAGCCTCAAATCACCTCATCTATAAAATGGGGCGATGATCATGGTAGCACCTACCCCAGAGAATGGCTGGGAAGACTAGGTGGAATCACTTAAGAGGGGAGCTTAGCCCAGGGCCTGGCGGGAGCAGGTGTCCTGTCACTGTCCGCTCTACTCATCTGTCTCCCAGCCTCCCTACCTCCTGCTGGTGGCTGGCCCAGGGAGGCTGGACTCCCAGCAGTCAGGGTAGGAGGTGGCTGATTTGTTTGCTTGCTTGTTTGTTTTTGAGACAGGTTCTTGCTGTCGCCCAAGCTGGAGTGCAGTGGTGTGATCTTGGGTCACTGCAACCTCGGCCTCCAGGGTTCAAGCGATTCTTGTGCCTCAGCCTCCCAAGTAGCTGGGATCACAGGCGTGCACCACCACACCCGGCTAATTTTTGTATTTTGAGTAGAGACAGGATTTCACCATGTTGGCCAGGCTGGTCTCAAACTCCTGACCTCAGGTGATCCGCCTGCCTGGGCCTCTCAAAGTGCTGGGATTACCGGCTGAGCCACCGCACCCGGCCTGGATGGTTGGTTTTTTGTTTTTGTTATTTTTTTTTTCTCTATCTTCTCTCTTTCTTTGGCTGGCTGTTTTTGAGAGAAGAGCAGGGTGATCTGATTTGGCCAAGGAGCAGGAGGCCAGCTTCCCCGAGGAAGGAACATCCAAAAAAACATCCAAGCTGATGCAAGAGGCAGTGTGAGCCTGGCCCAGGGAACGACATGTGGGAAGACAGGCGGAGTTGGGGGCAAGTGCTGAGGCCCCATAGCCGTGGGAAGAGGCTGGACTTTCTCCTGTGGGTGCTGGGCACTCTGGGGCCTGGGACCCAATCAGCGCTGAGTCTCTGGAAGCCCCAGTTCTTTTCTCGTTAAAGAAAAAATGTTGTGCTGGACATTGTTCTAGGCGCCGGGTAAACAGAAGGGAGCAATACAAAGCCCTGCCTGATGGAGCTGACATCAGGAGGAGGAGACAGACAGCAGACACAGAGCCATACCGTGCCAGGTGGAGATAAGTGCTGGGAGAGGAATCAGGTAGGGTTAGGGGAGAAAAAAAGAAGGAGATGGGGCCAGCCTGAGCAACATGGCAAAACCCTGTCTCTACAAAAACAAAACAAAAATTAGCCAAGCGTGGTGGTGCACACCTGTAGTCCCAGCTATAGCTACTCAGGAGGCTGAGGTGAGAGAATCGCTTGAGCCCAGGAGGCAGAGGTTGTAGTGAGCCGAGATTGCACCACTGCACTCCAGCCTGGGCGACAGAATGAGAGTCCGTCTCAAAAAAAAGAAAAGAAGTAGGCCTGATGTGTTTGAGGATCAGCAAGGAGGCCACCGTGGCTACAGCCAGGTAACCCAAGAGGGAGGGATGGGAGCTGAGGTCAGGAAGGCAATGGGGGAAGATCGTGCAGGGCCCTAGAGGCCTCAAGGACTTTGCTTTTACCCTGAGTGAGGTGAGAGCCACAGGACGGTTTGAGCATAGAAACAATATCTGACTTGTGTTTTTTTAAACAATTATATTGCAATATAAGGCCGGGCGCAGTGCTTACACCTGTAATCCCAGCACTTTGGGAGGCTGAGGTGGGTGGATCACGAGGTCAAGAGATCGAGACCATCTGGCCAACATGGTGAAACCCCGTCTCTACTAAAAATACAAAAATTAGCTGGGCATGGTGGTGTGCACCTATAGTCCCAGCTACTCAGGAGGCTGAGGGTGGAGAATTTCTTGAACCCTGGAGGCAGAGGTTGCAGTGAGCCGAGATCGCACCACTGAGCTCCAGCCTGGGCAGCTGAATGAGACTCCATCTCAAAAAAAAAAAAGAAAAAAGAAAAAAATGTATATATATATGGCGATATAATTTCCACACTATACAATCACCTCAAAGTGTACGATTTGCTTGAGACCAGGAGTTTGAAACCAGCCTGAGGAACATAGTGAGACCTCATCTCTACAAAAAAATAAAATTATCCTGGTGTGGGGTCGCACCTCTGTGGTCCCAGAAGCTCAGGAGGCTGAGATGGGAGGATCGCTTAAGCTGGGGAGATTAAGGATGCAGTGAGCCGAGATCTCACCTTTGCACTCCAGCCTGAGCGAGAGAGCAAGACTGTGTCTCAAAAAAAGATGAAAATTAAGGCCAGGCACGGTGGCTCACGCCTATAATCCTAGCACTTTGGGAGGCCAAGGCAGGTGGATCACAAGGTCAGGAGATTGAGACCATCCTGGCTAACATGGTGAAACCCCGTCTCTACTAAAAATACAAAAAAATTAGCCGGGCGTGGTGGAGGGCACCTGTAGTCCCAGCTGCTCGGGAGGCTGAGGCAGGAGAATGGTGTGAACCCAGGAGACAGAGCTTGCAGTGAGCCGAGATCACACCACTGCACTCCAGCCTGGGCGACAGAGCGAGACTCCGTCTCAAAAAATAAAAAATAAATAAAAATTAAAAATAAAGTGTACAGGATCAGGCGCGGTGGCTCATGCCTGTAATCCCAGCACTTTGGGAGGCTGAGGTGGGCAGATCACGAGGTCAGGAGATCGAGACCATCCTGGCTAACACAGTGAAACCCCGTCTCTACTAAAAATACAAAAAATTAGCCGGGCGTGGTGGCGGGCGCCTGTAGTCCCAGCTACTCAGGAGGCTGAGGCAGGAGAATGGCGTGAACCCAGGAGGCGGAGCTTGCAGTGAGCTGAGATCGCGCCACTGCACTCCAGCCTGGGCGACAGAGTGAGACTCCCATCTCAAAAAAAAAAAAAAAAAGTAAAATAAAATACAGCGTACAATTCAATGGCTTTTAGTATATTCAGAGTTATGCAACCATCACCACGATCAATTTTAGAACATTTTCATCACTCCAGAAAGAAACCCTGCACCTCTTAGCCATCCCCAATCTCCCATCTTCCCTGTCTTCCCCCAGCCCCCGGCAGCCACTCATCTACTTTCTGTTTCTATAGATTTGCCTTTTTTTTTTTTTTTTTTTTGAGACGGAGTTTCGCTCTTGTTGCCCAGGCTGGAGTGCAATGATGCAATCTCAGCTCACTGCAACTTCTGCCTCCCGGGTTCAAGCGATTCTCCTGCCTCAGCCTCCTGAGTAGCTGGGATTACAGGCATGCACCACCATGCCCAGCTAACTTTGTATTTTTCGTAGAGACAGGATTTCTCCATGTTGGTCAGGCTGGTCTCAAACTCCCAACATCAGGTGATTTGCCCACCTCAGATCCCAAAGTGCTGGGATTACAGGCGTGAGCCACCACACCCGGCCTATTTTTATTTTTGAGACAGAGTCTCGCTCTGTTGCCCAGGCTGGAGTGCAATGGCACGATCATGGCTCACTGCAACCTCCGCCTCCCGGGTTCAAGCGATTCTCCTGTCTCAGCCTCCCCAGTAGCTGGGATTACAGGCATATGCCACCATGCCCGGCTAATTTTTTGTATTTTTAGTAGAGATGGGGTTTCACCATGTTGACCAGGCTGGTCTTGAAGTCCTGACCTCAGGTGATCCACCCGCCTCGGCCTCCCAAAGTGCTGGGATTACAGGCATGAGCCACCACATGCGGCCAAATTTGCCTATTTTGGACATTTCATATAAATGGCCCCTGTGATCTGTGGTTCTTTGTGACTAGCTTGTTTCCCGTAGCCTAACTGACTTGTATTTTGGTTGGACCCCTCAGGCTGCTGGTGGAAAAAGATACTGTCAGGGACAGGGGTGGAAGCAGAGAGCCCTCAGGGAGGCGATGACTGCAGTGGTCCTGGTGGGAGATACTGGTGGTTGGGCCAGGGTGGGGGACCAGGAAGAAAGAAGTTGTATGTATTTAATTTGAAGGCAGAGACGATAGCTTCTGTATGTGGATGGTGTCTTAGTAAACAAAACAGTGAAGGTGTTTAACCTGAGCAGCTGGGAGGATGGAGCTGCATCAGCTGAGATGGGGGTGGCTGAGGAAGGAGCAGGGTGGGGGAGGATCAGAAGCCCAGCTCCGAGCAAGTGAGTTTGGGGCGTTTTTCGACAATTGAGAGTACACAGCTGGAGACAGGAGTCTGGAGCCCAGGCGAGAGGTTCAGGCTGAGCCCAGGAAGCTGGGAGCCCCTGTATGCAAACTGTTCAAGCCCATGAGCATGAATGAGACCCCAGGTGAGTACAGACTGAGGAAACCTACCAGGCTGGGGGCTGAACTGGAAAATCCTGCTGTCCTGGTTGGAGAGAGTCTCAGGGAAGTGTCCACCAGTGCCCAGACACCCCAGCTCTCTCCCAGACCTCTCTCTCACTTCCTCAGGATCCAGCAGTGTGGTGCAGTATCCATATAGTTCAGAACCTCGTCAAATGTTGGCCCTTGTCCGAGCGCAGTGGCTCACACCTGTAATCCCAGAACTTTGGGAGGCCGAGGTGGGTGGATTGCTTGAGGTCAGGAGTTTGAGACCAACCTGGCCAACATGGCAAAACCCCATCTCTACTAAAAATACAAAAATTTAGCCAGGCGGGGTGGCGCCTGCCTGTAATCCCAGCTACTTAGGAGGCTGAGGCAGGATAATCGTTTGAAGCCGGAAGACAGAGGTTGCAGTGAGCCGAGATCACGCCACTGCACTCCAGCCTAGGCTACAAAGTGAGACTTTGTCTCAAAAAAAATTAAAAAAATAAAAAAACTGTTGGCTCTTACTGTGAGTGAGATGGGAGCTGCCTGGCCTAGCAAGGGACTTCCAGGACCTGTTTCCACTAAAGCTGGCAGGACTTTTTCTCCTCCGGGTACAAAGACTGGCCTGCCATGGAGCTTCTCTTCCAAGGCATGATCTGACTTAGGTTTTAAAAGGATCATTCTGGGGCCAGGCGCGGTGGCTCACACCTGGAATCCCAGCACTTTGGGAGGCCAAGGCGGGCGGATCGCCTGAGGTCAGGAGTCCGAGACCAGCCTGGCCAACATGGTGAAACCCTGTCTCTTATTAAAAATAGAAAAAGTAGCCGGGTGTGGTGGCGGTCACCTGAAATCCCAGCTACTCGGGAGGCTGAGGCAGGATAATCGCTTGAACCCAGGAGGTGGAAGGTGCAGTGAGCCAAGATTGCACCACTGCACTACAGCCTGGGTGACAGACCAAGACTGTCTTGGGGCTGGGGGGCGGGGGTGAGAAGGATAGTTCTGGGTTCGGGTAGGGGGGAGGTGAGGGAAGGAGTGGGAAAGGGGAAATCAAGGCAGCATCGAGGGTCGCTCACCCCTTACCTGTATTTCTCTCTCTACAGATACATCAGCCCACAGCAAGGCGGGCTCCAGCAGCCCGGAGCCATGGGCCCGGCCCTCCTGCACTCCCCAGGAAGGGGGCTGCCCACGGCCCAAGGAGCGTGAGTCACCACCCCCTTCGGCCCTGCAGCCGGTCCAGCTGCCTCGCCTGGCCTTGTCTCCACCACCCCCAGCCCCTCCACTGCCACCCCCACCGCCACTGGCCCAAGTGGCACCCTCACCCCCTAGCCCCCCACCCCCTCCTCGGCCTCCACCCACGCTCTCGGCCTCAGACCCCTCCCTGGACTTCCTGCGGGCCCAGCAGGAGACTGCCAACGCCATCCGGGAGCTGGCCGGCACCCTTCGACAGGGACTGGCCAAACTGAGCGAGGCCCTCAGCGCTCTGCTGCCCCTTCTGCCAGGAACCCCAGTTGACTCCCTGCCTCCACCTCTGCCCCCACCCCCACCCCCACCGCCACCTCCCAGGCCTGTCCTGCCCCCACCGGCCCCCAAGGTGGAGATCACCCCAGAGCCCGTGTCCGTGGTGGCTGCTGTGGTGGACGGGGCAGTGGTGGCAGCCAGGGGAGTGATCATTGCCCCAAGGAGCGAGGAGGGGGCACCCCGGCCCCCCCCAGCCCCGCTCCCTCCGCACGACTCCCCCCCACACAAGCGGAGAAAAGGTTTCCCTACACGGAAAAGGCGCGGCCGATGGAAATCTCCGTGAAATCTACTATCTATGATCCTGCCTGCAACCCCTCTCCCCAGCTTGGCGCAGTCGAGGGGGGCGATGCTCTCTGCCCATCCCAGCTGCACCCTAGCTCCCTGCTCCAGGGATGTGAGCACCCACTCCCTGTGCTAGTTAGTGCCTGATTCTCTGGGGGGGGCCTCAGTAATGGGCCCCCCCAACCCCTTTCTCTGGTACAGTGCTGTCTGCCTGGCTGCCTCCCTTAACCCTGACTTCTAAGCCATCAATTTCATGTTATTTATTATTGCCCTATGTGGGGTGGGGAGGGAACCTCTCGGGTCTGCACATCTCCCCTTCCCTAACAGTTCCTGTTCTTGACTTGAAGAGAATTGACCCGTGGGGGACTCCCCACCTCCCCAACCCAGACTTTGGAGCGGGTGGGAGTTGTAAGACAAATCAAAATACGGATGACAAAGAGGATATAGCCGTGTATACCCCAGGGAGAGGAGGCGCCGAGTTCTGATGGGAGAGGTACAGGTTGGGTTCTCTGCCTACCATTGCTGTCTCTGACTTCCAGAGCTCAACCCCCTCCTTTCTCCCAGTGGTGACAAGATATCAATAAACTTATTTTTAATACAATTACTTGAGGCTCTGTCTGAGACAGGCCTGGGGGACCAGCACCTACACCTGCCCCGCCCCCTCCACAGGCAGGCAATTGGGAGGCTGGTGGTTTTCCAGCTTTTTTTTTTTTTTAATTCTTAAAGCCATCAAGTCTTGTGTTTACATGAAATCTTATTCCTACTCTTCCTTTAGATACCAGTCTAAATGTCAACTCCAGGAGAAAGTCCTAGATTCCTTCCCCAAGGCTAACGTGGGTTTGCCTCTTAGAGTCTCTTTCAGTGTCCTGTGGTTCTTTTTCTTTTTCTTTTCCTTTCTTTTCTTTTCTTTCCGTTTTTTTGAGATAGGATCTCGTTCTGTTGCCCCAGCTGGAGTGCAGTGGCATGATCACAACTCACTGTAGCCTCGATCTCCCAGGCTGAAGCAATCCTTCTGCCTCAGCCTCCCAAGTAGCTGGGACCACAGGCATGTGCCACCATGCTCAGCTAATTGTTTTATTTTTCTAGAGATGGGGTTTTCTATGATGTCCAGGCTGATCTGGAACTCATGGGCTCAGGCAGTCCTCCCACCTCGGCCTCCCAAAGTGCTAGGATTACAAGCATGAGCCACCACACACAGCTGGGTTCTTTTTCATAGTGACTCTAAATGAACACAGGCCTTTATCTATTTAAGGCACATTTGCCCATAATGTCATGAAGGCAGGAACTGGTTCTTTTACTCTGCTGCAGGGCCAGGTAACAAAGTAGATAATCACCACCACTCTGGACTCAAGACGTGGCTCAAGTACTGGTGCTGCCCTGGCCAACTGTGTAACCATTGGCTTCCAGTGTCCTCATCTGTAGAATGGACATAAAGATGTCAGAGTCTTTCTTCCTATAATTAGATTATACTTTTCTTTTTTTTTTTTCTTTTTTTGAGGTAGAGTCTCCCTCTGTCGCCCAGGCTGGAGTGCAGTGGCGCGGTCTTGGCTCACTGCAACTTCTGCCTCTCGGGTTCAAGTGATTCTTCTGCCTCAGCCTCCCAAGTAGCCGGGACTACAGGCGTGTGCCACTACACCTGGCCAATTTTTGTATTTTTACTTATTTAGTTAGTTTTTTGTTTTTTTGTTGTTGTTTTTTGGTTTTTTTTGAGACGGAGTCTTGCATCTGTCCCCCAGGCTGGAGGTGCAGTGGTGTGAACTCATCTCCTGGGTTCATGGAATTCTCCTGCCTCAGCCTCCTGAGTAGCTGGGATTACAGGTGTGCGCCACCACACCTGGCTAATTTTTGTACTTTTTAGTAGAGATGGGGGTTTCACCGTGTTGGCCAGGCTGATCTCGAACCCCTGACCTCAAGTGATAGGGCTCCCAAAGTACTGGGATTATAGATGTGAGCCACTGCCACTGTCCGGCCTAATTTTATTTATTTATTTTTTTTTTATTTTTATTTTTTGAGATGGAGTCTCACTCTGTCGCCCAGGCTGGAGTGCAGTGGCTCGATCTTGGCTCACTGCAAGCTCCACCTTCCGGGTTCACACCATTCTCCTGCCTCAGCCTCCCGAGTAGCTGGGACTACAGGCGCCCACCACCACACCTGGCTAATTTTTTGTATTTTTAGTAGAGACGGGGTTTCACCGTGTTAGCCAGGATGGTCTCAATCTCCTGACTTTGTGATCTGCCTGCCTCGGCCTCCCAAAGTGCTGGGATTACAGGCGTGAGCCACCGCGCCCGGCCCCCTAATTTTTTAATTTTTAGTAGAGACAAGGTTTCACCATGTTGGCCAGTCTGGTCTCAAACTTCTGACCTCAAGTGATCCGCCCTCCTCGGCCTCCCAAAGTGCTGGAATTACAGGCATGAGCCACTATGGCCAGGAAAGCTTTTCCTGACACACATTCCCCACCGCAGTCATCACAAATTTTAGTTCATCATTTGAGTAAATTTACTATCTGCCTCCATCACCAGGCTGGGGCTTCTCAGGGGCAAGGCTTAAAGCCTGTCTCAGTCACTGCTATGTCCCCAGCATTGCCCAGCATGGAAGAGGGGTTGAATATTTGAATAACTGTCCAGCTTAAAAACAACTTCCATTTGTGGCACTTATTTTCTGTGCCAGGCACCAAGCTAAGCATTTATATGCATGTTTGCATTCAATCTGAAGGTACCCAAATAAAAGGAGACTGGAGGGGGTCTCCATTTTTTCCAAGAAGTTTAGAAACTGGCCCAAGGCCACAGCTGGTCAGAGGCCAATCCAGTCCACCTGAAGGCTGAATCTGGCCAGAAGCCTTAACTCCCATTAGTGTTTCGTAAATAATAGCCCAAAGGCAACTTTAAGTGACATATTAATGTCCTCTTGAATGAGTCGATAGTTTTCACTAATTTTTTTTAAGGTAACCACAGTACATGAAACCCATGATTGTGAACGTATTACCTAGGATGAGGCAAAAATAGATAAATCTTTTTATTTTTATTTATTTTTTTGAGACAGGATCTTGCTCTGTTGCCCAGGCTGGAGTGCAGTGACGCAATCATGGTTCACTGTAGCCTGTTATCTCCAGGCTCAAGCAATCCTCCCACTTCAGCCTGATAAATCTTTTTTTTAAGGGAGAAAAGTGTTCAAATACAGGTAGTAGACAAAATTGTGAAACCATTTTAAAATTGTGAGGTCTGGGTAACAGAATCAGAGCTGCTGCGGTTCCAGTGGGACGGGAGGAGAAGGGACAAGCAGCCCCTCACTAGACAAAACCAGGGCCAACTGGTACGTCATTCAAATATTTTTGAGCACCTAACACGGACCCAGGCCTAGAGAAAGGGGCTGTTGTGGGTTGGAACCTGGAGACCCGCCTCCGCCCTTCCCCAAAGACAGCCTCGTCCAGTTCCCAATGCCTGGGAAAGAAGAAGGGTCCTCACAGCCTGATTGGGCCTTCCAGGTAGTGAGCGCTCAAGGTTGGGGAAAGGTTGGTCTGGTGTTTGCCCTTCCCCAGCAACTCCCTCCTCTTGCCCGTCACTTCTTAACCCCTTACTCTTCCCTCAAACTGGGGAGCAACAGAAGATAAGGGTCCCCCAAACGCCACGCTCCGAATGCACGTAAAGAGCCCCCAGAAAAGTGGGGGGGCGGGGGGTAGCCGGGAAAGTAGCGTGAATCTGGAAGGCCTCCCCAAACCTCCCAGAGGGCGGAAGTGCGTCACTATGTCCGACCCGCAGTGCATTTTGGGAATTGTAGTGAAGCGGGTGGGGGACGCCGAGCCCCCGATGGTGTAACCCTTTAGAGACCAGAGCGCGCGGGCAGAGCTGGGACAGGGTTAGAGGGCGGCCAGTCGCCCCACTCTTTTAGCAGAGAAACAACTGAGACAAGGCTCTGGCTCGGAAGCCCTTAGTCCTCTCCCTTCTCTGGCTGTGGCGGGCCCCAGAAGCATATATCTAGGATTCCGGGGGGAGGACGAAGTGCCAGGTGGCCACCCCCACCCCCACCTAGTTGCCAGCTTCCCGTCCCTGCTCTGAAGCCAATCAGGGCTTCTCCGCCCCGCCCCAGAAGCTGCTACTTTCCTAATCCGTCATTGGCCCACCTTTGCTGGGCGGGGAAACTGAGGTTCAGAGAGGGCAAGACATTTTGCCTAAAGCTGCACAGCAAATCCGAGCAGAAGTTGGAAGCCCGGAAGCCTGTCCACCCACCCCCACAATTTCTGAATCCGGAGTAGCTCTGATCATTTGTATTGCATCCTCGCCTACCACCTTTGTGTCCCAGCATCTTGCGGCGCGCTGAACTCCGGCCCCACGGAGAAGGTTGTAAGGTTTGCGCCGGCAGAGGCGACAACCCCCCCAGCCCGCGTCTGCCCGCCGTTCCCTTTAAGAGCCGGCCCCGGCGGGACTACGTTTCCCAGAAGGCTTTGCAGGCGTGTTATGTAACTTTCCCTGCGAAGCGGCCTCTGGGGCAGAAGAAGGAGGTGGAGGCGGCGGCGGCCGTTGCAGCGGCGGCGGCGAGAGCGGCGGGAGCCCGAGGCGGCGGCGCTCGCGGCCCATCGTGGGGCCCGAGCTGTGCGCCTCGGCTCGGAGCCCGGACCGGGCGGGGGCGCCGACGTGCCTCAGCCTGCCTTCGCGAGGGAGGCGGGAGTGAGCAGAAAGGCTTAGGGCCCAGGGGGCGGGGAAGGGGGGCCGGGCCTGGATCCGGCGGGGAGGCCGAGCCGGAGGCCGGACCGTGGCTCGCGCTGTCCCCGGGACGCGGATCGAACGTTGGCGGCGCGGATCGCACGTCGGCGGCCGGTGGAACGCGGGAGCTGGGCGGCGCGCGGACTGGGGCCATGGCGTCTGTGCAGGCGTCCCGCCGCCAGTGGTGCTACCTGTGCGACCTGCCCAAGATGCCGTGGGCCATGGTGTGGGACTTCAGCGAGGCCGTGTGTCGCGGCTGCGTGAACTTCGAGGGCGCGGACCGCATCGAACTGCTCATCGATGCCGCCCGCCAGCTCAAGCGCAGCCACGTGCTCCCCGAGGGCCGCTCGCCCGGGCCCCCGGCCCTTAAGCACCCGGCCACCAAGGACCTGGCGGCGGCAGCCGCACAGGGGCCCCAGCTGCCGCCCCCGCAGGCCCAGCCCCAGCCGTCAGGGACCGGCGGCGGCGTGTCGGGCCAGGACCGCTATGACAGGGCCACATCATCAGGCCGCCTCCCCCTGCCCTCGCCCGCCCTGGAGTACACTCTGGGGTCCCGCCTGGCCAATGGGCTGGGCCGTGAGGAGGCCGTGGCTGAGGGGGCGCGAAGGGCCTTGCTTGGCTCCATGCCTGGCTTGATGCCCCCTGGGCTGCTGGCAGCTGCAGTGTCTGGCCTGGGAAGCCGAGGCCTGACGCTGGCACCCGGCTTGAGTCCTGCCCGTCCCCTCTTCGGCTCCGATTTCGAGAAAGAGAAGCAGCAGAGGAATGCGGACTGTCTGGCAGAACTGAACGAGGCCATGCGAGGCCGGGCAGAGGAATGGCACGGGCGCCCCAAAGCAGTGCGGGAACAGCTACTGGCGCTGTCCGCCTGCGCCCCGTTCAATGTGCGCTTCAAGAAGGATCACGGGCTGGTGGGGCGAGTGTTCGCCTTCGATGCTACTGCCCGTCCTCCAGGATACGAGTTCGAGCTGAAGCTCTTCACCGAATACCCCTGTGGTTCCGGCAATGTGTACGCCGGCGTCCTGGCAGTGGCTCGCCAGATGTTCCACGATGCTCTGCGGGAGCCGGGCAAGGCACTGGCTTCTTCGGGCTTCAAGTACCTCGAATATGAACGCCGGCATGGATCAGGAGAATGGCGGCAGCTGGGCGAGCTGCTTACCGACGGCGTCCGCAGCTTCCGCGAGCCAGCTCCCGCGGAGGCCCTGCCCCAGCAGTACCCAGAGCCGGCCCCTGCGGCTCTCTGTGGCCCACCCCCGCGAGCCCCATCCCGGAACCTGGCGCCCACGCCGCGCCGTCGCAAGGCATCCCCCGAGCCGGAGGGCGAGGCGGCTGGGAAGATGACCACCGAGGAGCAGCAGCAACGGCACTGGGTGGCACCCGGCGGCCCGTACTCCGCTGAGACCCCTGGTGTGCCCTCGCCCATTGCCGCCCTGAAGAATGTGGCCGAAGCCCTGGGCCACTCACCCAAGGACCCTGGCGGAGGCGGGGGGCCTGTGCGTGCAGGGGGCGCCAGCCCTGCAGCCTCCTCCACGGCCCAGCCGCCAACCCAGCATCGCCTTGTGGCCCGCAACGGCGAAGCAGAAGTCAGTCCCACAGCGGGGGCCGAAGCTGTCAGCGGGGGTGGCAGCGGCACTGGGGCGACCCCTGGGGCCCCCCTGTGCTGTACCCTGTGCAGGGAGCGGCTAGAAGACACCCACTTCGTCCAGTGCCCCTCGGTGCCCGGACACAAGTTCTGCTTTCCCTGCTCCCGGGAGTTCATCAAGGCGCAGGGCCCGGCCGGGGAGGTGTACTGCCCGAGCGGAGACAAGTGCCCGCTGGTCGGCTCCTCCGTGCCCTGGGCCTTCATGCAGGGCGAGATCGCCACCATCCTTGCTGGAGACATCAAAGTTAAGAAAGAACGGGACCCCTAGGCTACCACTGCCTCCAGGCTACTGCCCTCTGCCCCTTTGCCACCCACCGCTGCCGCGGATAAATTATTCCCTCCCCGACCCAGCCCAGTGCCACCTCTATCTGTGTACATACTCCCTTCTTCCACCCAGATGGGTCCCCTGGGGTAGATGCATTGTGGGTGGGGGGAGAAAGCTTGTGGCTCCTGTCCGAGGGGGTGTTTGGGGTCCCTTGGCCCCTCCAGTTTCCCTCTGTCCTCCTTGGCTTGGCTTTGCTGCTGCTTGTAGTTGGGGGAGAGGTGCCCCCCTCCTCCTTGAGAAGGGACCTCCTGAAAACTCGCTCTTTATAAACGAGGCAAAAGCATTTAATTCCCACCCCCCCACCCCCCGCTCCCTTCTGCTCCTTCAATAAACCGAAAGATGGGTTTTTTTTTTCCTTCTTGGTCCCTTAGTTGTGTGAGATGCTGCGCCCCCTTTGGGACTGAACTGGTCCTGCGAGGGCGAGGACGTTGCGCGGTAGCCTCCAGGTGGCGCCCTGCACCCAGGCGGTCCCGCCGGCCGACCTTCAACAAGTGCGACCCACTGGTCACGTTTCAGCCATCGGCCCGTTTTCCAGATAAAAGTACTGAGGCTCAGAGAGGGGATGGCTCCTGCAGGGGAGCCACAGACAGGCTTGGGAGTAGATTACCCTTCTGTAGCTGACCCATCCCCTATCTCTACCTGGAAGGTGGAGGACTCAGCGCCTACGTGGGGAGGGGAAAGAGGCAGCGGGAGGCTTCCTAGAAGACATGGGCAGTGGGTTCTTGCCGGGTAGAAGGGAGAATTTAGGGTAGACTGCTAGAGGGACTGCCCGAGGAAAGAGGAAATTTACCTCCACGGGGTAAACTAACAGGATGCCTAGAAACAACTTGGCTACTTCTTGCCTCTGGCGGTGCCCCAGAGGCGGACGTTTGGGAAGCCCCAGCTGGATTCCTCACCCTCGTCTTGGGAGACAAGCCCCTTTGGCGGCCACCCTAGAGAGCAGAGTGAAAGGCACTCGCTCCGCGGCTGCTTCTGATGTGCGCGGCCTTGTCCCGCACCTGTCCGGGTGGCTGATCATTAACCAGGACTTCCTGCTCGCTGGCGTCACGGGGCGGGGCCTGAGCGGGCTGCGGCAAAGCAGGGGTTAAGGGGAGGGGGCGGCCCCAAGAGCCCAGCCCCCACCCCTGCGGCCTCCCCGGCCAAGCTAAGGTGGAGATTCCGGGAAGGGGGAATGCGGGGCTCAGAGGCCCGCGGATGGACAGAGAGATAGGGAATGATTGTCCAACCACCACCCAGCACTGTCAGACAGCTCTGGGATCCAAGTTTGCCCCCAGATGTCCTCGGGAACCCAGGGTTCCCATCACCTGAATCTGGAGGCCCCTAAAGTCCTGACCCATCAGCTCGGTTACCCAGGGGTCCCACCCATACTTGCATACCTACATGTCCTAACTCCCAGATATTAGGGATCCTAGGGCTTCAACCTTCGCATCTGGAGGACCCTCTGTTCTTGGACTGAGGGGTCCCATCCTTCCCCACCCCCCAGCCGTCAGCTCTCAGGTGTTCTGCCACCCCTGGCACTGCCAGCCTGGGCTCAGGGCAGGGCTGGGAAAACCACCCCTGATTAAATACACCAGGTGATAAGCCTGGGGCAAGAGAGACCTGGATGGAGCTCCTGTGCCTGGGCTCCCCTCCCAGGCAAGCCTGTGGCTTCCCCTGACCCAGCTCTGCAGACCCAAGTGCCGGGTATCTCCCCCACCCCCAAATCTTTACAGCTGGAGGCCTCCAGACACCTGGCTCCTATGTCCCAGCGGGAGCTAAATTGCTGTGGAGGACACCTGGTCCTTTAAGAACAGCTGGTAGGTGGGTGGGGGGCAGGGGAGTCACCCCCAGCCTGGCTGGTGTGTATTCTAGATAGAGGTTGAGTTAACCATTAACAGAGCAGAAGGCCTGACCTGTGTGGGTGTGGGGGCTGGATCAGCCCCCCTTCCCCCAGTGCCAGGGTGGGGCCAGGGTGGAGGGGTTCTGGATTTATTTGGGAATCAGGAAGCAGGTAGAGAGACTTGGAGATAGGGGAAACGCAGAGAGACACTCAGGGAATGATGGGAGACAACAGAGGTGGGGAGGGAGAGATGCAGAGACCAGCTCACTGAACGAGACAAGGAGACGCAGAAGCCGGAGACCCAGTGAGACAGGGAGAGACTCCAGAGAGCCTCAGAGATGAGGCAGACACAGAGAAGGAGAGACAGAAAAGAAAAGGAAATGGACAATATTCTGATGGGTTGAGCGAGACTGAGATGTACGGATGAGCTGCCAACAACAGAGATGCAAAAGAGGGGAGACTGAGATGCAGAGAGAAGGCAATAAAGAGATGAAAAAAAAAGGAGAGATGAGAAAGACTGAAATCAGGAAAAGGCACAGGTGTGAACTAGAGTGATGACATCATCAAACTCGAAAGTTCTGTGAGACAGGCAGGGAACTGGAGGAAGTGCAAGGTTGGATCTGTTTGGGTCATTTAGTCCCCAGTCAAGGCACCTCCTCCAAGAAGCCTGACCCCCAGGCTGCATCAGCTGCCATTTCTGCACCCCACATATCCCTCTGTGCTCCCCCAATCCCAGCCCTGTCCATTCTGGAGTGTTGCTGTCTGGCAAGCAGACTGTGAGCCCCAAAAGGGCAAGGCCAGGGCTGTCTTGATCACCACTGCGTCCCCAGCATCACCCAGCACAGGGTCAGCTTAAGGGATGGATAGATTAATGGACTGCTTCTCTTCCTCAACAAGTGTTTATTCAGCATCCACCATGTGACAAGCACTGGGGGAGATAATGTGGATGGAGCAGGAAACAGAATCCAGCCCCTGCTCTCATGGAGCTGGCATTCAGGTAAGAGATGGAAACAGGACCATAAAATGTGACAGCCAGCCGGGCGCAGTGGCTCACGCCTGTAATCCCAGCACTTTGGGAGGCCAAGGCGGGCAGATCACGAGGTCAGGAGATCAAGACCATCCTGGCCAACACGGTGAAATCTCGTCTCTACCAAAATACAAACAATTAGCCAAGCGTGGTGGCACACGCCTGTAGTTCCAGCTACTTGGGAGGCTGAGGCAGGGGAATCACTTGAACCCGGGAGGCAGAGGTTGCAGTGAGCGGAGATCATGCCACTGCACTCCAGCCTGGTGACAGAGCAAGACTCTGTCTCAAAAAAAAAAAAAAAAAAAAAAAGACACTTAGAATGGTCAGTCCTAAGAAGAAAAAATAAACCAGGGAAAGGGGATAAAGAGTGATGGGGGTTTCTATTTTACTTTCTTTTTTTTTATCTTAATAGAGATGGGGTTTCACCATATTGGCCAGGCTGGTCTCAAACTCCTGAGCTCAAACGATCTGCCCGCCTCAGCCTCCCAAAGTGCTGGGATTACAGGTGTGAGCCACCGCACCCAGCCGGGGTTGCTATTTTATTTTATTATTTATTTATTTTGAGACAGAGCCTCGCTCTGTCGCCCAGGCTGGAGTGCAGTGGTGCGATCCCAGCTCACTGCAGCCTCCACCTCCCGGGTTCAAGCAATTCTCCTGCCTCAGCCTCCCGGGTAGCTGGGACTAGAGGCACGCACCACCATGCCTGGCTAATTTTTGTATCTTTAGTAGAGATGGGGTTTGACCATGTTGGCCAGGCTGATCTCAAACTCCTGACCTCATGTGATCTGCCTGCTTCAGCCTCCCAAAGTGCTGGGATTACAGGCATGAGATACCGTGTCCAGTTGGGGTTGCTATTTTAGAAAGGGATGTAGGGAAGAGCTCACTGAGCACGTGACACTAAGAACTGAAGGAGGGGAGGGAGTAAGCCAGCAGAAATCTGTGTAAATAGCACCTGCAAAGGTCCTGAGGTGGGAGCCTGCTTGGTTTGTCCCAGAAGCAACCAGGTGACCAGTGCTGGGGGACAGTAGTAGGAAATTGAATCAGAGGGATGGTGGGGGAGCAGTAAGAGGACCTGTACACTGTGATAAGGACTTTGAATTTTGTTTTTTATATTTTTTGAGACAGAGTCTTGCTCTCTGTCACCCAGGCTGGAGTGCAGTGGCACGACCTCAGCTCACTGCAACCTCCACCTCCAGGGTTCAAGCCATTCTCCTGATTCAGCCTTCTGAGTAGCTGGGATTACAGGCGCCCACCATCACACCCGGTTAATTTTTGTATTTTTAGTAGAGACGGGATTTCACCATGTTGGCCAGGCTGGTCTCGAACTCCTGACCTCAAGTGATCCGCCCGCCTTGGCCTCCCAAAGTGCTGGGATTGCAGGCGTGAGCCACTGCACCTGGCCTGAATTTTGTTTTAATAGGAAAAGGTGGGAGCTTTCAAGCAGAGGGTAAAGGGATGGAGCAAATGAGACAGAAACGGCATAGAACCCGCTGGGACCGACATTTATCTGTGTGTTCTCAACACGGAGCCCAACACAAATGCCCGATGACTGTGTGTGCATGTGTGAGTGAGACCCCAAACCAACAGAGAAAACGTCAGAATGGCAACTAGATGGACGAACAGGCTCAGAGACCCCCAGGGAGAGGCCAGCTCAGGGCCCGGGGACACTCAGGGACAGCAGATCCACACAGACCCACAGCAGCCCTGCTGAGAACTCCCATTCCTTCCAGAACCCTCCCCACCCGGAAAGCTTCCTGGGGCTGGAAAAATCCCCCAGGCCCTCCTGCCTGCCTCACCCGTGGCGTGCCCACTCACACCTCAGGCAGAGGAAGCTGGCAGGCCCCACAGGAACCTTTCTGTGCAGGGGGAGTGGAGGTGGGCGGGCGGCAGGGACGAAGGGAGAAGAGTGGCGGGCAGGAGGGCAGCGGCTACACAAAGGCCCCAGTGTCTTCCCCTCCTGCCTGGGTACAGATATAAATAATATGCACATATACATTTATATATATGTGTGTGTGTGTATACACACACACACACACACACCAGCACACTGGCTGGGGGAGACTGGGGGCTACACACTCCCCTAAGGGTCCAGGCATGGCAGTCTGCCCCTGTGGGGGCTGGGGACTCAGAGACCCACAGAGATAGTGCCCAAGACTAAGAGGCTCAGAGTAGACAGAGAGACGGTGGACAGAGAGAAGGTGGGGGAGAAACTTACAAAGTGGGACAGAAACAGACTTACGGAGACAGTGCCAGCATTAGATAGAAAGCAAGTGTCACGAAGCAGGCGGACTCAAATGGAGACACATCAGCTGAACATCCAGAGAAATGGAACCTATCTGCAGAGAGACAGAAAGAGCCACAGAAAGAGGGACAGTGACAGAATGAAGACAAGCGTCATTCCAGAGAGAGGCAGAGCCATAGAGAAGCCCAGGTGAGAGGAAGCAGGCACAAAAAGAAACAGAGAAATCGACATGCAGTGAGAGAGAGAGAGAAGCAGACAGACAGACAGAGAGTTGAGGCTGAAGGCTTGGGGAGGCTGGTGCCCAGGGTTAGGGGGAGGCTCAGGGCCCATTTCCAGTCTGGGGCACACTGTCTGCAGGGCTCTGGTCCAGCCCAGAACAGGCTGAGGGGCAGGAGCAGAGGTGAGGGAGGTGGCCCTTGGGTTCCGGATCTTGGTGTTTACCTGGGGCAGGATTGCAAATAGGCGCCCAGCCTGGCCCACGGTCAGCAAGGGTGGGAGGGGCTGGGCCACAGCCCTGGCACCAGTGGGCCCGACACACCCACCTGTGGCCTGGGCGATGAGTAACACATGCATGGTGACACCTGGGTAGATGGTGACACATAGAGGGACAGACACGGTGACACACAGTGACAGATATAGACAGAGCCACAGTGACAGGTCCAGAGTGACAGAGACGTAAACAGTCACAGAGACACACTGTCACAGACACGGTGACAGACACACTGATGCATGCTCACAGAAAACACAATGACAGGCAAATGTGTTGTCAGGCACAGAGGCATAGTGACAAAGCACACAGCGATGAACAGACATAGAGAACATGGTGACAGCCACAAAGAAGACAATGACAGAACAGTCACCTACACGTGTACACGGTGAGACAGTCAGTGACACCAACACAAACCCAGCAATGGACACCAACATAGAGGTGTCCAGGCACACACACTCATGCGCTCAACAGAGACACACCATGGAGTAACACACGAGCCCACAGACACAGTGACATTGAGACGCTGACAGCAAGACACGCGAATAAAGCCCAATGACAAACCGCTTAGACACACATGTCCTACCTAGCTGTGAACCGCCTGGTCACCAGTGAGTATGTGGCTTCTGGGAACCCACCTCCTGCCATATGGCAGGCTGTGGCAGAGAGGGGGGGTGCCTGCCAGGGAGGGCTTGGGACCCCAGGACTGTGCTGCACTGCCGCTATCCCTCCCATCCTGCAGAACAGCGGGGTGCTTAGAGGCACTGACTCTGGGCCCAGACTGCCTGGGTTCATGCCCTAGCACCCCACTCATTATCTGTGCAAGTTACTTCACCTCTCTGTGCCTCAGTTTCATTCAACAGTAAAGTTGGGGGGAGCGGGAGAGATGGAGCCCATCAGTTCTGTAAGGTGCTAACACAATCCCTGACTCATGGGAAGCCCTAGGATCTTTTAATTATCATCATCACCATCATCACCATCATCATCATCATCATCTGGTACCTCCTAATGCTGACAGCCCTCTGCCCACAGCTGCGACCCTGCCCCGGCCTCTGCTCCAACCCACAGGCCCCTCCCCTGGACCATGTCACCTTAGGCCCACAGCCCAGGGCCGCCTGTGTCCCCATGGCCACCCCACATCCCTGATTCGTGGCGTCCCGTGTCTGTCCATGCGTCCCATGTCTGACCGTGGTACTTTTCCACGCTGGACATCAGCCGGCTGTCCCTGGGGTGGGGGTCACACCTGCCCACGCCAGCAGAGCTGGTGGCCACCAGACACCCCGACGGATGGCCCCACCCTCCCCCGAGGACCCTACAACAACACCCCGCCCCTCCGGCCACCTGAGGTCCCCACTGGGGCGGCCTGAGGCCCGAGCCTGGGGACAGGAAGCCCCAGGCCTGGCCGCCCTGAAAGCCTCTTTCAGCCTGGGCCTCCTCCCGCCACCACCGACTCCTCCCGCGGAATAATATTTGGGCTGTTGGCCGGGGGGCGGGGGCCAGATCCGGAGGCCGCCTGGGAGAAGCCAGAAACCGCAGGGCTTCCTGCCTCGGGCTGGCCGACTCCGGGAGAGACCCCCAGGCCCGAGGGAGGGGGGCGGGTGCCTGGGGAGACTGAGGGCCTTTCTCTCGGCCCCAGTTGTTTTTTCCAGGAACCGGGAGGAATTCCCCGGCCTGCCCAGGACAGCAAGGCTGGTGGGACGGACGGGGAGCCAGCGCGGCAGGGGGCGGGGGTGACACGCAGCCGGCAAGGCGGGGCGCAGCGACAGGAATAGAGGGCCTGGCCTGCGAGGTGGCAGGTAGAGGCGGAAACCCAGAGAGCTGGGAGAGGGATGGAGGCCAGAGAAAGAGAGACCAGAGATCCAGGAAAGGAGTGGGGGGAGACGGACCCCAGGAAAGAGTCACTCTGAGAGAAGGAGGGAGAAACCCAGAGACCCAGGTGGAGGGAGGAGGGAAGTCAGAGCAGTAGAGAGAAAAGGCGGGGGCCGGGTGAGCGAGGGGGGAGAGAGAGAGAGAGCATGAGGTGAGCCATAGGAGAGACAGACACACACAGACAGCACCAGCAACTCAAACCAAGAAACACAGATAAAGGCACAGAAAGAGGGTGAGGGACAGATTGATACAGAAAGAAATGACACTGGTCAGGCGCAGTGGCTCATGTCTATAATCTCAGCACTTTGGGAGGCTGAGGCGGGAGGATTGCTTGAGGCCAGGAGTTCAAGAATAGCATGGGCAACACAGGGAGACCCCTTCTCTATAAAACATTAAAAAATTAGCCAGGCGTGGGGGTGCATACCTGTAGTCCTAGCTACTCGAGAGGCTGAGGAGGGAGGATAGCTTGAGCCCAGGAGGTCGACGCTGCAGTGAGCTGTGATTGCGCCACTGCACTCCAGCATGGGTGATAGAGCAAGACCCTGTCAAAAAAAAAAAAAAAAAGAAAAGAAAAGAAAAGAGGGAAGAAGGAAGGAAGGGAGGGAGGGAAAGAAAAAGAGGAAAAAAGGACACTAAGAGACAAGGAAAAAGATGGACCCACAGAAACTGAAAGACACGTCACACTGGTGTGCATGCATGCACGTGTGCGCTCATACACACACACACACACACACACACACACACACACACGTGGATTAGACAAAGTCTTTGGTCTTCAAATGACTGAATGGCTGGCTGGCTGACTGAATAAATGAATGAGCAACCAGAGAGCCAGCAACCAGGAAAGGCAGATGACAGGTAAGGAAAAGACAGAATCAGATCAACCTTGCCCACTCACTCCAGCCCCGCTGAATGACCTTAGCCCAGTCCCATCCCATCTGGGCCTCAGTTTCCATTCTGAAAGGAGAGGTGGGAGGTGCACAGTTGTGTTTCTGGGACAGCCAATCTGAGCAACAGACAGGCAGACTCAGAGTCACAGGAGAGACCTGGGGGACAGAAACACAGATCCCAAACCCAGAGGCTCACAGTGGCTGAAGGAGGACACGGTTCCTTCCCCGCACACTCTCCTGCAAAAGTGACAGACACCAGGCCAGCCTACTCTCCACACACGTTCAGATGCAAATGCAACAGTGACAAGTACACAGCAAAGGTAGCCACCAGACACACACAAACACACATGCTTTCTTCTTTTTTTTTTTTTCTTTGAGACAGTCTTGCTCTGTCGCCCAGGCTGGAGTGCAGCAGTGCAATCTCGGCTCACTGCAACCTTCGGCTCATTGCAACCTCTGCCTCCTGGGTTCAAGCAATTCTCCTGCCTCAGCCTCCTGAGTAGCTGGGACTACAGGTGTGAGCCACCATGCCCGGCTTAATTATTGTGTTTTAATAGAGTATTTTTAGGCCAACTTCGCCATGTTGGCCAGGCTGGTCTCGAACTCCTGACCTCAAGTGATCCGCCCACCTCGACCTCCCAAAGTGCTGGGGTTACAGGCATAAGCCGCCACACCCAGACTACATGTTTTCTTTTAAGCATGCAGACATACACGGACTCACAGAGACACACATAGAACACACAAGAACAGCCAGCCCTGCCATATGCATCTCGTTCCACACACGCACTCTCTGAGGCAGTGAGTTAGGTAGAGAATGGCATATAGACACACACGTAACACAGTGTGAGACCCAGAGAGACCCAGGGATAAGTGTACACAGAGAACCACACACACAACACAATAAAGACATACACAAAAGGCAGGGCACAGTGGCTCACGCCTGTAAACCCAGCACTTTGGGAGCCTGAGGTGGGCGGATCACTTGAGGTCAGGAATTTGAGACCAGCTTGGTCAACATGGTGAAACCCTGTCTCTACTAAAAATACAAAAATTAGCCAGGTGTCGTGGCGGGCACCTGTAATCCTAGCTACTCAGGAGGCTGAGGCAAGAGAATTACTTGAACCCAGGAGGTGGAGGTTGCCGTGAGCCAAGATTGTGCCACACACTCCAGCCTGGGCAACAGAGCGAGACCCTGTCTCAAAAAAACAAAAAAAAACATACACAAGAGTCTGATATTCCCAGCCACCCAGGGCAAGTAAGCATATACCCAGGGTATGAACAGACACAAAAACCTACACAATCAAGGGATACTGACAACAGACAACACCCTGCGGTAGACCATGAGGACCCCAATAGGCATAGTGCTATCCTATGACACACAGAGGACACACACACACACACACACACACACACACACACGCAGATAAACTCCAACATGTGCACGATCTCCAGTCATTGAATTGACACCTCATCTGTCCTTTTTCCTCCTCCCCAGCTTAGCCAAAGATTATTCGGCCATTAGGCTTGCAGAGCCTCAGAGGTAGAGGTCTGTGTGTATGTCTGAGAAGTGGGGGTGGGGAGATGGCCTTGGTCACTGCAGAGCCACCTCCCCCTGCTGCTCTGGCCCCACTGCTGCGGGGGCTGCTATCTGTGAGCAAACTGTCCTTGGGGTCAGGGACAGCAAAGAGCCAAAGGTCAGGTCGATGCCTCCCCCAACTCCTCCCCCAGAGGCAGCCAGCTCTTAGGGGCAGGAAGCAGAAGGGACAGAGGAGCAGAAATTCAGGTGTTCAAGCCCCACAGGGCCCACTGGCCAAGGAAAAGAGACATTCAGTAAGAGGCGGACACGGTACCTTTAATGATTAAACACAGCCAGTACCCCGCTTCCCGGGAAAGAATCAGACTTCAGTAGAAATTCCCCACACCCTAACCAGCCTTTTCTGGTTTCTCCTGGACCAGAGTTGGGGGAAAGGGTGGGCTTCAGAGAAAACCAAGGAGTATTCTCACCTCCATCCCCTACCCAACCCATGCCAGAGAGAATGGTGACGACATGGCCAACACGGGGCTGCAGCAGCCATCATGGCACATGGTGGCCCACTGACGTTGTCACCTACCCAGTATGATGTCCATCAAAGCACCCAATGGGCCAAAAAAGGTGTTACACAGAATGGTGGCCAACTTGGCACCTACTGTGCCAAGTACACCAAAAAAGAAGTGGGCACAGCACCTAATGGGGGGGGCCAAAGAAGATGTCACTGAAATGCTATCACCATCACACCCAAAGGGCCAACCGAGATGGTGGCCATCAAACCATGCAGTGGATTAGCCAATAACATCCATCAATGTAGCAGTCCTCACAGTACCCAGTGGGCCACCAAAATGTATCCATGGTGGTTATCACAGTACCCCGTGGATCAACACCATGCCCACTGAGACAGCAGTCATCACAGTAAGTAATAGACCCACCCAGATGTTAACCAATGGGACAAGTGAAGTGTCACCAGAAGGATCAGGCCCCAAGAGCTTCGTGGTGTGAGCTCCAGCCATACCCACCACCATGTTCCCAACCCCTGCTAGGATGCATTAAGCAAAGAGCGGGAATAGAGGCCCTGGTAGTAGACTCCAGGCTCCCCACCTTCAGCCCCGTAGCCCCCAAACCCCACGTCCAGTTTGGGAGGTGCTGGTGTCTGTTCTGACATTAGGTTGTTGATGGAGAAAGGGTGGTTGAAGTTGTAGGGCGCGTCCAGCTTCAGCTCCCCTGGGAGCTCCAGGCCAGTGAAATAGGGTGTGGAGGAAGCGGGTGAGCCACAGTCCAGAGCCCCCACATCTTCCCCGCCCTGGGCCTCAGGCTCAGGGGCTGGAGGCGGGGGCTGGGGCGGGGAGGTGACTGTGGCCGCGGGGGTGGTGGTCGAGGCAGCAGACCCTGTCCCGTTCCTGGTGGTGGTGGCAGCCCCGCTGCCCCCTTTTTTCACCTTCTCCTCCAGCTTGAAGCGTTTCTGGCGGCGCAGGTAGCAGCCATTCTCAAACATGTTCCCTGAGCTGGGGTGTAGGGCCCAGTAGGAGCCCTTGCCAGGCTTGTCTGGGGAACGCGCCACCTTGACGAAGCAGTCGTTGAAAGACAGCGAGTGGCGAATGGAGTTCTGCCAGCGCTGCTGATTCTCCCGGTAGTAAGGGAAGAGGTCCATGATCCACTGGTAGATTTCACTCAAGGTCAGCATCTTGCCCGGCGCCTGCTGGATGGCCATGGTGATGAGTGAGATATAGGAATACGGTGGCTTGGCGTGTGCCAGGGGCCGCCGATACCCCTTCGGCATCTCCTTCCCGTGCACCAGCCCAGGACCCGGGGCCCCGTACCCGGAGCTGCTGCTGCCACCGCTGACACCCAGGCCTGGGAAAGTGGGCCCCAGGGGGGCTGCAGGTGCTGGGGGTGCCAGGGGTCCTGAGGGCAGTGGGGAGGCAGGGAGCCCCCCAGGGGGATAGGGAGAGCTTAGAGGATTCAGGGTCATGTAGGAGTTGAGGGGGGCCATGGTGGGCACTGGGGTCACCGGCGAGTAGACCTAGGGGAAAGATGAAAGGAGGGGTCAGTGGGGCTCCACTCTGCTGGTCAGCAAAGGATCCCAGGACCCACTGAGTGTCCGTCTGTCTGTCCATCTTGCCTTCTCTACAAATCCCTTCCATCATTACCTCTATCTGTAGAAAGCAGTCTCTCAAGGTCTCTCCTCACTCCCTGGACACGCCCTTTCTGCCCCCTGCTTTCCCACCCACCATGCTCCCATACACTCAACATCATCCTTTAAGTGATTCTCCAGGGTTCGGGACTCCCAGGGCAGTCTCTGAAACCCTTTGAGGATGTCCACGAAGTCAAAACTATTTTCAAAATAATGCTATTTTTTTTTTCGAGGCAGAGTCTTGCTCTGTCGCCCAGGCTGGAGTGCAGTGGCGTGATCTCACCTCAATGCAACCTCCGCCTCCTGGGCTCAACCAATTCTCCTGCATCAGCCTCCAGAGCAGCTGGGATTACAGGTGTGTGCCACCACGCCAGCTTTTTTTTTTTTTTTTTTGTATTTTTAGTAGAGACAGGGTTTCTCCATGTTGGCCGGGCTGGTCTTGAACTCCTGACCTCGTGATCTGCCCGCCTCGGCCTCCCAAAGTGCTGAGATTACAGGCATGAGCCACCACACCCGCAATCCTAAGTTATTATTAGCCCTTTTCACTCTCTTTCTCATGAAGTGTACAGTGGAGTTTTCCAGGGGGTGTTGATATTCCAACAGAGAGAATGAAGAAGCAACCAGGAGAATCCAGCTGTCTTCCACTGGGCCAGACTTGATTTGCAAAAATGGAAAAAAACAGTGTCGCTCTTTTGACTAAATTTTTTGAAATTTGGTTTTTTTAATAAAAATCTTTTACACTAACAAATGATTGCTATTTTTAAATGAATACATGTTTGTAATATTTCTCAGTTTTAATTGTAAATACTGTAAACGTAGATAGACATAACCCACATCAACAGAAACTGTTTGGACTCCTAAATAATTTTTTTTTTCTACAGGGTCTCACTCTGTCACTCAGGCTGAAGTGCAGTGGTGCAATCGCAGCTCACTGTAGCCTCAAACTCTGGGGCTCAAGTGATCCTCCTGCCTCAGCCTCCCAAGTAGCTGGGATTATAGGCATGCACCGCACACCCAGCTAATTTTTTTGTATTTTTAGTAGAGACGGGGATTCACCATGTTGCCCAGGCTGTTTTCAAACTCCTGGCCTCGAGTAATCCTCCTGCCTCAGCCTCCCAAAGTAATCCCAGAACTTTGGGAGCCAAGGAGGGTGAATCACTTGAGGTCAGAAGTTCAAGACCAGCCTGGCAACGTGGCAAAACCCTGTTATCTACCAAAAATACAAAAATCAGCCGGCATCGTGGCACAGGACTGTAATCCCAGCTACTCGGGAGGTTGAGGCAGGAGGATCGCTTGAGCCCAGGAGTCTGAGGCTGCGGTGAGCTGAGATCATGCCACTGCACACTCCAGCCAGGACAACAGAGCAAGACTCCATCTCAAAAAAAAAAAAAAAAGAAGGGGGGTGGTCCTGAGACCAAAACATTTAATAACTGCTGGTTTATTAGGTAAATCAGCAGTTCTCAATTTTAGTAATCATAAAGAGTTATTATAGGCCGGGCACGGTGGCTCACACCTGTAATCCCAGCACTTTGGGAGGCCGAGGCAGGTGGATCACAAGGTCAGGAGATCGAGACCATCTTGGCTAACACGGTGAAACCCTGTCTCTACTAAAAATACAAAAACAAAATTAGCCGGGTGTGGTGGCGAACGCCTGTAGTCCCAGCTACTTGGGAGGCTGAGGCAGGAGAATGGCGTGAACCCGGAAGGTGGAGCTTGCAGTGAGCTGAGATCATGCCACTGCACTCCAGCCTGGGCGACAGTGAGATTCTGTCTCAAAAAAAAAAAAAAAAAGTTATTATAACTCTGTAATAATCTAACATATCTAACATATATGTGTAGCTCTCTTCAATCTTTTAGCTTATAAAATTACTGCATTTAGGCTGGGCACAGTGGCTCACACCTGTAATCCCAGCACTTTGGGAGGCCGAGGCAGGTGGATCACTTGAGGTCAGGAGTTCGAGACCAGCCTGGCCAACATGGCAAAACCCTGTCTCTACTAAAAACACAAAAAATAGCCAGGTATGGTGGCGGGCGCCTGTAGTCCCAGCTATTCAGGAGGCTGAGGCAGGAGAATTGCTTGCACCCAGAAGGTGGAGGTTGCAGTGAGCCGAGATTGCACCACTGCCCTCCAGCCTGGGCGACAGAGCAAGACTCTGTCTCAAAAAAAAAAAATAAATAAATAAAAATAAATTACTGTATTTATACATAAAAGTGTTTGAATATCAGAAATCACTTTTCAACCTAATAATATTATCCATTTACTATATATCTTCAAATCTAAGACTTCTCTGGAAGCTGCAGCATTACTTTATATATTAATACAAATGGGAAAAACACTCAGTTAAAATCATAGGACACTGTTGACTGTAAAATGCATCCCATTTTTGGAAATGTTCAAATGGGGGGAAAAGGTGCATCCTAGGTCAATGGAACACGGTAGATCTTGCAGTGCCTCCTAAGTAACCCTCTGTATATTCTTTCATTCATTCAACCAATATTTATCAGTTAGCTGCTCCAAGCACTTCACAAGAATGGTCTCCTTTAATCTTGACAACCATACTATGGGAGGAGGTGTTATGATGATGCCCATTTTACAGCTGAGCTAGCTGAGGCCCAGAGAGGTTGCTGGGGTCACACAGCAAGAATGGGGGCAGAACTGGGATTCTGCAACCAGGCAGTCTGGCTCCAGACCTGTTCCGGGTCACGCTATAAACGCAGTGACTAGGCCAGTTGCGGTGGCTCACGCCTGTAATCCCAGCACTTTGGGAGGCTGAGGTGGGGGGGGTGGGGGTGCGGATCGCTTGAGGTCGGGAGTTCGAGACCAGCCTGACCAACAGGGAGAAACCCCGTCTCCACTAAAAATACAAAATTAGCCGGGCATGGTGGCACATGCCTGCAATCCCAGCTACTAGGGAGGCTGAGGCAGGAGAATTGCTTGAACCCAGGAGGCAGAGGTTGTGGTGAGCCAAGATCGTGCCACTGCCTCCAGCCTGGGCAACAGAGCAAGACTCCATCTCAAAAAATAATAATCATAAAATAAAATAAAAGCAGTGACTAAGACAGACAGAAATGCCTGCCCTCGTGGTGCCAACAGTCTAGCAGGAACACAACAGTGAACAGAACACGCCAGGAAAACATAGGCATGCTGGAAGGTTGTTTCTTTCTTTGTATCTACTTATCCCTTCTCAACCACTGTCTCCCATCCTCTCTGCCCCATTCTCCACCTGGACCTTTCCCCACTGCCTCCTCCGAGGCCTGGGGTCTCATGGCACTGCGTGGGTGGGGGAATGCTGCTATATACAGCACTGGCTAGAGCCACCAAATGTGAGTTAACTGGATACCGCCTAGTCTCCTGCCACTGTAAGCTTTTTTTTTTTTTTTTTTTTAAGAGAGTCTCACTGTATCGCCCAGGCTGGAGTGCAGTGGTGCAATCTCAGCTCACTGCAACTTCTGCCTCCCAGGTTCAAGCGATTCTCCTGCCTCAGCCTCCCGAGCAGCTGGGATTACGGGCACGCACCACAACACTCAGCTAGTTTTTGTATTTTTAGTAAAGACAGGGTTTCACCATGTTGGTCAGGCTAGTCTCGAACTCCTGACCTCAGGTGATCCTCCTGCCTCGGCCTCCCAAAGTGTTGGGATTATAGCCATGAGCCACCATGTCTGGCCCTACCACTGTAAGCTTCTGCAGGTCACAAGGTCCGGAGAAACGAGTCTGGCCAGGGTGGCTTAGGGAATCAGAGAGTGGAGGCAACCAACTCAACCCTAAGTCTGAGTTCCAGTCGAGAAATCCTCTGCTCTTTCCTTTTCATGTCTCTCCAAGGAACTCTTTCATCATGTCTCTTTGAATCTCTGTTGGCTATTTTTGCCGTTGTGTTACCCGTCTCAGTACTAGTACCCATATTCCCCTCTCCCATCTCCCTCCCCACCCCCGCATTGTTTTCCCTTCTGTCTCCACCCTAACCTCTTTTGCTCTTCCTGCCCACCCTCGACCCCTCCCGAGTCCTCTCCCATCTTTCTTTCCCCTCCATCTCGGCCCCTGTCTCTCTCTCCATCCTTCCATCTCTTTCTCCCTTCCTGGGCACTCTCTCTCACTATCCGACTCTACCCCACTCCCCTCCCAACCCCAACTCCCACCTTTCTTCCTCCTTCAGCCCATCTTCTTGTCTTTTTTTTTTTTTTTTTTTGAGATAGAGTCTCACTCTGTCACCCAGGCTGGAGTGCAGTGGCTCCATCTCGGCTCACTGCAACCTCCGCCTCCTGGGTTCAAGCAATTCTCCTGTCTCAGCCTCCCAAGTAACTGGGATTATAGGCATGCACCACCATGCCCAGCTAAGTTTTGTATTTTTAGTAGAGATGGGGTTTCACCATGTTGGCCAGCCTGGTCTTGAACTCCTGACCTCAAGTGATCCACCCTCTTCGGCCTCCCAAAGTGCTGGGATTACAGTCATGAGCTACCATGACGAGCCACCATCTTCCTATCAATCTATCTATCCATCCATCCATGCATCTATCTATCTATCTATCTATCTATCTATCTATCTATCTATCTCCCTCCCTTCAACAAATCCATTCCCCCTCACCCCAAGTCTTACAGTGAAATTGCAGCCACAGTTACTCCCTTCCCCCATGCAGGCTCTCCCGCTGGTTGGTGGCTTCGGGTCCCCTCCCCAGAAAAAGAAAAGGGATGAGGTGAGAAGGTGATGGATTAGAGGGGTCCACAGAGTTTCCAAATCCCCCTATACCTCCACCCCCCATTTCTGCAACCCAGTCAGGCTCTCTGGTATTGCAGAGTAAGACAGACAGGGACCCCAGGGCCCTCCTTTCTGGCTCCCCACCCACCCGGAAGTCCTCCTTGAGGTCCGACCTCAAGCACTCCAGCTGCCCTAATCCACCCTAGGCTTTCCCACGCCCCGGGGCTGGGATGAACCCCTGGTGTCCGGGTCTGAGCCGGATCTCCCCTGACAGGGTGGGGCTGAGATTGGGGGGAAGCCCTTGGGGGACCCGCACCCCCACACCAGGAGACTGGAATTTCTCCTCTTTCATTTCCTTATTGTCTCTGGAGAAGGGTGTGACAGGGAGCAGAGGAAGGCAGTGTGAAGCCAGAAGCCAAGTTTCTAGTCCCAGACCCAACCCAGGACCCCAGTGTTCTGCGTGCGGGGCTTCAGAGTTAACCACCTCTAAAACAGGGGAGCAGCTGGACCAGCTGATCTGCAAGAACCTGAGGCCAACAGGGATATCCCAGGATGGTAACTTTCCAAGTTCTTTCCAGACAGCAAGCTGCCCTGAGTGTTAACGTCACCCCAAGCGGGAGGGTGCTATGGGCAAGAAGTGGTTTGGGGACCCTCTCAGCTCTCAGTTGCTGGCTGAGTGTAGGTATTTCTCTCCCCATTGTTCTGACCCAAGGGGAAGAGGTGGGCTTATCTGATGGGAAGGCTGGGGAGAGCCTCAGACAGTATCACCCAACCATTTCCATTCCTCCAAATACTGACTCTCCCAAAATATGCCCTGAAATGCTGATTACCTCCAGACTGTCCCTCTACTATTATTATTTTTTGAGATAGGGTCTCATTCTGTCACCCAGGCTGGAGTGCCGTGATACGATCACAGCTCCCGGCAGCTCGAACTCCCAGCCTCAAGTGATCCTCCCACCTCAGCCTCCCAACCAAGTAGCTTAGACTACAGGCATGCCTGACTAATTAAAAAAAAATTTTTTTTTTAAAGACAAGGTCTCCCTATGTTGCCCAGGCTGGCCTCAAACTCCTGGGCTCAAGAGATCCTCCCACTTCGACCTCCCAAAGTGCTGGGATTACAAGTGTGAGCCACTGTGCCGGCTTTCCTTCAATTTCTGACACAATTTCCATACAAATTGTCCCCTAAACTTGGATCTATTCAGACTGTGCCCCAAATATCAACTCCTCCTGCCTAGACCCCCATCATTTACTTAAGATGTGCCCCCAAAACAACTGTAGTTGGTTTGTACAATTGGTCTGTAGGTGGTTCCCTTAAATCAGGTCCCCAGACTGAGTTCTGCAGAGGTCCAGCTGGGATCACCCCCACTACCTGGAACCCTCCATTTCCCACCTGGGTCTCTGCCTTCCGCATCTCACAACTGATACCTCCAGCCACCCTGCCTCCACCTCTCAACACTCCCAGTCCCTTTCCCTGTTGGCCCTGCCCCACCCCACGTGCACCTCACACCTCCCCAAACCCAGGACTGGCCCTTCCCAGGCACCTTGCCCAGCCCTGAAGGCCTGGGGATCCAGGAGTCCCACCCTACAGTTTCGAGCCCCAGACCCAAGACTCAGGCACACTGGGGCCCCCGCAGTCACCAGATCTTGACTCCTTGGAGAACCTAGCCATTCCTGCCCCACACCCCACCTCAAGCCCACAGTCCCCTTCCAGGTTAGAAGTCCAAGTGTCCAGACCCCCATAATTCTCAGACCAAGAACCCAACCCCCAGCCCCAACAACCTCACAACGTTGATTACAGAGTGAGGTAGCTAAGGTGTAGGGGTCGTTGCAGCAAGACGAATGGGGGTCAGACTTGAGGAAGGACTTTCTGTCTGTCCAGGTGAGGGGATTAGAATATGCCGCCACCCCCCACTCCAGGGAAGCCTTGTCTGAGGTGAGACTGGATGGGAATTTTAGCAATAGCTGGAGGTTGCTGGACTGGCGGGGAGCAGGGGAAGGTGCACAATCTAAAACTCTCCATCTTCCGACTTGGGGAGTCCCTGCGGAGGGTCATGGGTAGGGATGGGGGGGTGGAGATCGGCCCCTCTCCTGCCAATGCTGATGGCTACATCTTCTGCTCCCAGATGCCCAACTCTAAGCCACCTGTTATTTCAGACTCCAAAAACGAAGCTTCATCTCTGAGCACCCCCATCTCTGACCCCTGAGCACCAATCCCTATGTCTGACCCTACCTTAGATTACCAGCTGATCCTTAGCCCCGAACCCCGGTTCTTTAACACTGTGTGCTGGCCCTGAGCTCCCACCTCAGTCTTCCCCTTAATGGTGACTCCTCCTCCATCTTTTAGTCTTTCTTTCCCTCCAACTTTGAACCTCACATCCTGAAACCCCCTAGTCTGTCCCCTACCCTGGAACTCTGATTCCTATCTTTGGTTTGTACATATAAATCCCTTGCTTTTTGGGGCTCCAACACCCGGCTCCCAAGTTTAAGGTGTGACCCGACCCTTGGCTAAATTTTCCTGACTTCCATTTTTAAGCCCTGGCCGCGGCGAGGCTGCCCAAACAGCGCTCCCATCCATGCCTCGTCCCCGGTCCCCGACTTCCACACCTGGTCTCCGTGTTCCCAGTTCCTCAGCTGCCCAAGTAGACGCCTTTGCCTCCATTTGAACCCACAACCAGTCCCTGCTCCATGTGAGCCCACACCCCGATACCTGCCCCCAACTTCCCGCTCCGCCATCCCCGAGGACACACCTCGCCCGCCTCCGGGTAGTAGCTCCACTCGGCCAGGTCATGGGCCTCCATCTTCACTGAGCCCAGCATCCCCCGGGCTTACGCCCCCACCCGCCCCCGCTCCGGCCCCGGGGGAACGGAGCGCTCTGGATCTCTCAGCGGGCACGGCCCGAGCTCCCACCGGCGCCCGCCCGTCCGACCGCCCGGGGTACGGCTGTCCCGAGCGCCGCGGGAGGCGGCCACGCTTTATAGCCGGGACACCCCCGCCCTCGCCCGCCCCGGGCTCCCCTCCCGCCTCCCCGAGGGCGGCGCGCTCGGACTGGGGCGCCCCCTGCGGGATCGCCAGGAGACAGACCTCAGGCGCCGGGGGCCGCAGCCCCAGGACGCGACAGCTGGGGGTGATTCAGGAGTGAGGGAGCTGCCCGCAGCGACGCTGCAGATACCAAGGGCCCCGAGGTCAGAACTCTGGAGCCTTTCTACCTCAGGGGGCTTCATCATCTCGGCAGGAGAGGACGAAGAGCCAGAGCCCTGCATGACCGTGGCGGAAGAAAGGGGAATCAGAACGCTAGGGCCACTATGCGACTACAAGGACCCGTAAAAGGTCCCCGAAATCACATCCCCATTGGACAGACAGGAAGACTGAGGCTTCCGACGGCTAGAAATGCTTAACTTGGCCGGGCGCGGTGGCTCACGCCTGTAATTCCAGCACTGCAGGAGGCCGAGGCGGGCGGACGAATCACTTGAGGTCAGGAGTTTGAGACCAGCCTGGCCAACAGGGTGAAACCCCATCTCTATTAAAAATACAACAACTAGCTAGGCGTGATGGTGCGTGCCTGTTATCCCAGCTATTCGGGAGGCTGAGGCAGGAGAATCGTTTGAACCTAGGAAGCGGAGGTTGCAGTGAGCCGAGATCGCGCCACTGCAGTCCAGCCTGGGAGAGAGAGCGGGACTCCGTTTCCAAAAAAAAAGAAAGAAAGAAAAGAAAAGAAAAAGAAATGCTTCAGACTGTTGAAAGGGTCAAGAACAAAGATGGAGGGGATCGGGGCCTCTCCGCAGACCCCACTAGGGCAACAGACCACCTCCCCTCCAAGACCCAGGAGCTTCGCTGCCCGAACTCCGCACTCTCCAAGACCAGCCAGCCGTCCAGGGACTCAGCACCACTGAGAACTCCATTTCCCAGAATGCTCTAGCTCCCTTTCCGCCCGGTGCCTCCGAAGGGACTACATTTCCCAGAAGGCCTAGCCGGACCCAGAGCCGGAAATGAAGGGTCTGCTCGCCGTAGTATGGAGGCGGGCAGAATGCCGCTCGCACGGGACGAGGCATGGGCGGGGTCGGGCTGTGCTCTGGACTCCATTTCCCGGCGGCCCTGGGTGTGTGGCGCGTGCGCACCGTTCCCGGCGACGAACGGAAGATGGCGGCGGCGGCGGCGGCGGAGTGTAGGAAGAGGCACTGCTGAGGGGGCGCGAGGGGAACGGAGGCCAGAGCTGCGGTGAGCGGGAGGCGGCGTTTGGGCCCGGAGACGAAAGGAGGAGGCTCCTAAAGAAGCAGGGGCTCGGGCGGGGAGGGCATCGCCGTGGGGAGAGGGGAACAGTGGCTTTCGCGACCCATGTTTCTTCCCTTGCTCAGGACCCTTCCTTGGCTCCCTAGTGCCCTCGAGGCAAAGTTCCAACGTGGCCCCCCGGGCGCCACCGCCCCGCAGACCTCGCTTGCTTCGACTCGGCCTCTTTGCTTTTTCCCCCACCTCTAACAGCCGCCCTGGCCTTTCGGTTCCTTAAACTTGCCATGCGCTTTCCCGCTTCGGGGATTTTGCACAGGCTGTCCCTTCTGCCTGCAACATCCTTTTACCCATTCGGCTTGGCTAACTCCCATTTCATCCTTCGGGTCTCGGCACCAACGTCACTTCCTCTGCGAAGCCCTCCTTCCCTGCCCTCCATCCAGAAATCCGCCTGTTAAATGCTTTTGTCGGTCCGTGTTCCTTCATGTCACGTGTGGTCTAATTTGTTATCCGACTCTTATCTGTGTGCTGTTTTATGATGTCTATGACCGTGTGTTCCATGAAGGTAGGGACTAGGTTTGTCTCTGTCGCCACTGTGTTCTCAGCACAGCGCCAATCACGCCGGAGACGCCCAGCTAATGTTCGTTGAAGGAATAAAAGATACTCCTAGAGCCAGTTTGGGGAAACAGGGTAGTCATCAGATTCCTAGGTAGCAGTGGGGCAGGGTACCACTTCTTAACGAGTACATCGAGAGGGAAGGGGAAACAGTGATACTGTTCATCATAGCAAAAGGCTACACGCATCCCAAATGTTCTTAAATAAGAAGATTGGCTGAAAGAAACTATAATACATCCACATAAAAAATACTATGCAACTCTAAAAAGGAATGAGGTAGATAAAAGGAAATGATGAAAATCTCTATACACTGATATAGTGGCCTCCAACATATATTAAGGGAAAACAAGTGAAGTGGAGGTTGGTGTTTATTGTATATGCTTTTTCTTTTTTTTTTTTTTTGAGACAGGGTCTCACTCTGTCGCCCAGGCTGGCACGATCCCAGTTCACTGCAACCTCCACCTCCCTGGTTCAAGTGATTCTCCCACCCCAGCCTCTCGAGTAGCTGGGATTACAAACGTGCCCCACCACACCCAGGTAATTTTTATATTTTTAGTAGAGACGGGGTTTCTCTGTGTTGGCCAGGCTGGTCTTGAACTCCTGACCTCAAGTGATCTGCCCACCTCAGCCTTCCAAAGTGCAGGGATTACAGGCCTGAGCCACCAAACTCGGCCTGTGTAGGCTCCTTTTTTTTTTTTTTGAGACAGAGTCTCACTCTGTCACCCAGGCTGGAGTGCAGTGGCGTGATCTCGGCTCACTGCAACCTCTGCCTTCCAGGTTCAAGCAATTCGCCTGCCTCAGCCTCCCAGGTAGCTGGGATTACAGGCACACCACCACGCCTGGCTAATTTTTGTATTTTTAGTAGAGATGGGGTTTCACCATGTTGGTCAGGCTGGTCTTGAACTCCTGACCTCGTGATCCACCTGCCTCCGCCTCCCGAAGTGCTGGGATTACAGGCGTGAGTCACCGCTCCCGGCCCTGTGTATGCTCTTTTTGTAAATGAAAGGGAAATATGTATATATGGGTTTTTTTATTTTCATTTTTTTTCCTTTTTTTGCATAAAATCTAGCTCCTGCAGGAGAATTTTGTGTATGTGTGTTTAAAAAAGAACAAAACAAAACTGAAAGCATAAACCAAAAAGCAGAAGAAGAATGAAACAGGGTAAAATATTTTGGTTGATCTGAATGTATTATCATGAAAAAAGTGGAAATGTTTATTATGGGGTTTTATTTTATTTTATTTTATTTTTTGAGGCAGAGTCTCATTCTGTCGCCCAGGCTGGAGTGCAGTGGTGTTGGGATTACAGGTGTGAGCCACCATGCCCGGCCTGTTTTTTTTATGTTTTGACTGGGGACGGCATGCCATGCCGGTTGTCTGGTGGCCAGGATCCTTGGCTTACGTAAACAGACCTGGGGGTAAAAAACAATTCCTTTCAGATAAACAGTACTGTAGCATAGTGGTAAGGAAGATATGCAGCCATGCTGCTGACTCTGCCTCTTACAAGCTATATGCCTTTGGTCAGGTCACTTTACCTCCCTGGTCTTCAGTTTCCTCATCTGTAAAATGAAAATTAAAAATACTAACTCCCAGCCTGGGCAACATGGCGAAACCCTTCTCTACAGAAAGTACAAAAATTAAATGGGGATTCGCCTGTAGTCTCAGCTACTTGGGAAAATGAGGTAGGAGGATCGCCTGAGCCCGGGAGGCAGAGATTGCGGTGAGCTGAGATTGCGGCACTGCACTCCAGCTTGGGCAACAGAGTGACACCCTGTCTCAAAAAAACAAAAAATGTAAACCTAACTCATGTATATTAATTCTAATATATACATATTAATTCATTTAAACCTTGGTGTCTGAGGTTTAAATGAGTTAATATGTATATCTTAGAATTGTGCTTAGCACATATTAAGTGTTCTCTCTCTCTCTTTCTCTTTCTCTCTCTGTGTGTGTGGGTTTTTTTTCTTTTTTTTTTTAATTTGAAACGCAGTTTCACTCTTGTTGCCCACGCTGGAGTGCAATGATGTGACCTCGGCTCACTGCAACCTCCTCCTCCCAAATTCAAGCGATTCTCCTGCCTCAGCCTCCCGAGTAGCTAGGATTACATGTGCCTGCCACCATGCCTGGCTAATTTTTTTGTATTTTTAGTAGAGATGAGGTTTCACCATGTTGGCCAGACTGGTCTCAAACTGCTAACCTCGGGTGATCCACCCGCCTTGGCCTCCCAAAGTGCTGGCATTATAGGCTTGAGCCACCGTGCCCGGCCGTGTTCAATATATATTAACTGATTATTTTTTCTTTTTTTTTTTTGGAAACAGGTTCATCAGGTTCATGCTCTGTTGCCCAGGTTGGACTACGGTGGCCCAATCATACTTCACTACAACCAGGCTCAAACAATCCTCCCACCTTAGCCTCCAGAGTAGCTGGGACTAAAGGTTCATGGCACCATGCCTGGCTAATTTTTTTTTTTTTTTTTTTTTTTTTTTAGATGGAGTCTTACCGTGTCTCCCAGGCTGGAGAGCAGTGGCATGATATCGATGCCCAGCTAATTGTGCATATGTCTAGAGATGGTGTGTCGCTGTGTTGCCCAGGCTGGTTTCAAACTCCTGGCCTCAAGTACTCTTCCTGCTTCAGCCTCCCAAAATGTTGGGATTATAGGCATGAACCCCTGCACCTGGCCTTCTTTTTTAGTTTTTAGGCCTAGGCTAGTCCTGAACTCCTGGCCTCAAGCCATCCTCCCACCTAGACCTACCAAAATGCTGGGTTTACAATTGTGAGCCACTATACCCGTCCTATTTTTGTTTTCTTTCCTTTCTTTGTTTTTGTTTTGTTTTATTTTTGAGACAGAGTCTTGCTCTGTCATCCAGGCTGGAGTGCAGTGGCGCAATCTCGGCTCGCTGCAACGTCTGCCTCCCAGGCTCAGGTAATTCTCATGCCTCAGCCTCCCAAGTAGCTGGGATTACAGGCATCCATCTCCATGCCCAAGTAATTTTTTTGTATTTTTAGCAGAGACTGGGTTTTGCCATGTTGGCCAGGCTGGTCTTGAACTCCTGGCCTCAAGTGATCTGTCCACTTTGGCCTCCCAAAGTGCTGGGATTACAGGAGTGAGCCACCACACCATGCCCTTTTTTTTTTTTTTTTTTAAAGACTTGTCAAGTGCAGTAGTGAGAAAGGGGGAAAAAGTAGAACAAGTATAGCTATTAGGATTCAAGAGTGAAAGGGCAGGAATACTGAACCCAGTGATTGGGGAGGCCGTTTGGCAGTAGTGTTCACTCATTCAGCAGATGTTTATTGAGCTCCTGCTAGGTGCCAAGCACTCTTCCGTGCTGGGAATATAAAAAGTGAAGGAACAAAATCCCTGTTCTAGGCCGGGGGCGATGGCTGAGACTTGTGATCCCAAGCACTTTGGGAGGCCAAGGAGGGTGGATTGCTTGAGTGCAGGAGTTCAAGACCAGCCTGGGCAACATGGCGAAACTCTGCTTCTACCAAAAAATGATTTCAAATAAATAAATCACTGTCCTCGTGGAACTTATAAATATGTAGTGTGTGATGATGATAAATGCTATGGAGAAAAAGCAACACAGATGGGGATCGAGAGGAAGTTAAAATTTGAAATATGGTCGTCGGCCGGGCGCGGTGGCTCATGCCTGTAATCCCAGCACTTTGGGAGGCCAAGGCGGGCGAATCACCTGAGGTCGGGAGTTCGAGATCAGCCTGACCAACATGGAGAAACCCCGTCTCTACTAAAAATACAAAATTAGCCAGGCGTGGTGGCACATGCCTGTAATCCCAGCTACTAGGGAGGCTGAGGCAGGAGAATCGCTTGAACTTGGGAGGCAGAGGTTGCTGTGAGCTGAGATCACGCCATTGCACTCCAGCCTGGGCAATAAGAGGGAAACTCCGTCTCAAAAAAAAAAGAAACATAGTCGTCAGGGAAGACCTTACTGCAGAGACATGTGAGTGGAGACCTGAAGGAAATGAAGAGGGAAGGAGTTGTGCTGATATCTAGGAGGAGGAATATTCCAGGCAGACGGAAGAGAGGCACAAAGTCTTTGAGGAAGGGGCATGTTGGGCATGTTCACAGGACAGCGAGGAGGCCAGAGTGGGTGGAGCAAAGAGCCCAGGGGGAGAGGCAGTCAGAGGAAGAACAGGCCAGATGCCATAAAATCTTGTAGGCCTTGATGGGGACATTGGCCCTGACCCTGAGCAAGATAGGGGGTGACAGGCAGCAGGGAAACTAGGGAGGAGGCTGTGGCTCGTCATTCATTGAGGAGACCCCTATCATGTGATACTACTGTGAATAGCTATTGGGTAGTTCCTTTTAAAAAACGTGTCATTTTCGGCTGGGCGCTGTGGCTCACACCTGTAATCCCAGCAATTTGGGAGGCCAAGGTGGGCAGATCACCTGAGGTCAGGAGTTCGAGACCAGCCTGACCAACATGGTAAAACTTCGTCTCTACTAAAAATACAAAAATTAGCTGGATGTGGTGGCACATACCTGTAATCCCAGCTACTTGGGAGATGAGGCAGGAGAATTGCTTGAACCTGGGAGGGTGGAGGTTGCGGTGAGCTGAGATTGTGCCATTACACTCCAGCCTGGGAAACAAGAGTGAAATTCCATCTAAAAAAAAAAAAAAAAAAGTATTTTCGGCTGGTTGCGGTGGCTCACGCCTGTAATCCCAGCACTTTGGGAGGCCAAGGCGGGCGGATCACGAGGTCAGGAGATCGAGACCATCCTGGCTAACATGGTGAAACCCCGTCTCTACTAAAAATACAAAAAATTAGCCGGGCGTGGTGGCAGGCGCCTGTAGTCCCAGCTACTGGGGAGGCTGAGGCAGGAGAATGGTGTGAACCCAGGAGGCGGAGCTTGCAGTGAGCCACGATCACGCCACTGCACTCCAGCCTGGGCGACAGTGCAAGACTCCATCTCAAAAAAAGAAAAAAGTATCATTTTCACCGTCCTCAGATTATTGTTTTTTTGGCATGTTTGTTTGTTTAGTGTGTGTTTTTTTTTTTTTTTTTTTTTTTTTGAGACAGAGTCTCACTCTGTCGCCCAGGCTCGAGTACAGTGTTGTGATCTCAGCTCACTGCAAGTTCCGCTTCCCGGGTTCATGCCATTCTCCTGCCTCAGCCTCCCGAGTAGCTGGGAATACAGGCGCCCGCCACCATGCCCGGCATATTTTTTTGTATTTTTAGAAGAGACGGGGTTTCACCTTGTTAGCCAGGATGGTCTCGATCTCCTGACCTCCGTGATCCGTCCGCCTTGGCCTCCCAAAGTGCTGGGATTACACGTGTGAGCCACCGCACCCAGCCTTGTTTTGTTTTTAAGACAGTCTCATTCTCGTCCAGGCTGGAGTGCAGTGGCGTGATCTCAGCTCACTGCAGCCTCTGCCTCCCAGGTTCAAGTGATTCTCCCACCTCAGCCTCCCAAGTAGGTGGGATTATAGGTATGCGCCACCATGCCTGTCTAATTTGTATGTTTTTAGTAGGGAACAGTGTTTCTCCATGTTGGCCAGTCTGGTCTCGAACTCCTGACCTCAGGTGTTCTGCCTACCTCAGCCTCCCAAGGTGCTGGGATTACAGATGTGAGCCACTGCACCTGGCCTGTTTGTTTCTGAGACAGGGTGTTGCTCTGTCCGCAGGCTGGAATGCAGTGGTAGGGATCACAGCTCACTGCATCCTCCACCTCCTGAGCTCAATTGATCCTCCCACCTTAGCCTCCCAAAATCCTGGGATTACAGGCGTGAGCTGGCCAAATTATTATTAATTATCATAATTGTTGTTAGCAGTTTATGCAGTAGCCTTCAGATCTTTTCCCATGTACATAAAAATAATAGTATACTTAGCCAATGTTTACTGTATATACTAACTCATTTAATCCTCAAAATAGTCTTGGGAGGTAAGCCCTGTTACTATCCCTGTTTCCTAGAAGAGGAAACTGAGAGCCAGAGAAGTTAAATGTCTTGCCTCAGGTCATTCTGCGTATACATAAACACATACTTGACAAAAATGGCTTGAACTGCATGTATTGTCCTCTGATGCAACAGGCTGTCAGGGACCTCTTTTCAGGATAATATACTGAGATTCACCTTTTTTTTTTGAGATGGAGTCTGTCTTTATGTCCCAGACTGGAGTGCAGTGGCATGATCTCGGCTCACTGCAACCTCCGCCTCCTGGGTTCAAGCGATTCTTCTGCCTCAGCCTCCTGAGTAGCTGGGATTATAGGCTCAGCTAACTGTTGTATTTTTACTAGAGATGGGGTTTCACCATGTTGGCCAGGCTGGTCTCAAACTCCTAACCTCAGACGATCCACCCGTTTCGGCCTCCCAAAGTGTTGGGATTACAGGCGTGAGCCACCGCGCCCGGCTTCACCAATTTTTTTTACCCTGTTTCCTCTGCTGGTTTTTGGTTTATCCTTTCAGATTTTTTTCCTTTTTTAACATATATATTTTTTCCCCTTTCTTTTTTTTGAGTCAAGTTCTCACTCTGCTGCCCAGGCTGGAGGGCAGTGGCCCGATCTTGGCTCACTACAGCCTCTGCCTTCACCTCCCTGAGTAGCTGGGACTACCAGGCACGCCACCATGCCCAGCTAATTTTTATATTTTCTGTAGAGATAGGGTTACACCATGTTGCCCAGGCTGCTCTCCGACTCCTAGGCTCAAGCGATCTGCCTGCCTCAGCCTCCCAAAGTGTTGGGAGTACAGGCATGAGCCACTGCACCTGGCCTCATTTTTCTTTTTTTTTTGTAAAACAGAAACATACAGTCAACACTGTCTTCAGCTTTGCTTGTTTTCACTTAATGTATGCACTCTCTATCAGTGTCTAGAGATTGTTCTCATTTTTTTGTTTTTTTCTTCCTTTCTTGTTACAGTTCCATAGTCTTTTTCCTTTATTTATATTTATATGTTTTTCACTTACTTTCACAGGTGTTGAAGCCCCATGGCCTTTGATTATGTATGAACTTTTTTTCAGCCAGTCTCCCTATTTGAGAACACTTGAGTTGCTTCTAGTCTTTTGCTATTATGAATAGTTGTGTAATTGACATATACTGCTACGTTAATCATTCCATAATTTTGCCTGTGTGACTGTGATGGATGCCTGAAAGCCCCCTTCCTCCCTTTTAAAAACAGCTTCATGATATTCCAGAGAGTGGCTGAAACATAATTATTGAAGCAGGCCTTTTGTGATGTATTGAGTGCCTACTATGTGCCGGACTCTGTGCCTGATATTCCTCAGAGCTGTGTTTTTAAAAGTTTACTCTGGGCCAGGCACTGTGGTTCACGCCTGTAATCCCTGCACTTTGGGAGGCCGAGGCAGGTGGAACACCTGAGGTCAGGAGTTTGACACCAGCCTGGCCAACATGGTGAAACCCTGTCTCTACTGAAAATACAAAAATTAGCTGGGCATGGTGGCATGTGCCCGTAATCCCAGTTACTTGGGAGGCTGAGGCAGGAGAATCACTTGAACCTGGGAGGCAGAGGTTGCAGTGAGCTGAGATCGCACCACCACACTCCAACCTGGGTGACAGAGCAAGACTTCATCTCAAAAAAAAAAAAAAAAGAAAGTTTGCTGTGGTGCCCAGTCCAAAGCATATCCCAGATGGAGAGAGGGGACACACGGAGACCTGCAAGGTGGCTGTTGCACGTTCATGTGGCCCATCGTTCAGCAGCTGTTTGTGGTTGGCCCACTTGAGGCTGAGACTTCTGGCTCTGCCTTGGGAGATGTCAGTCTCCCCCAAGTTACAGGCCCCGTGCACATATCCATAAGCCAGAGACAGACCCTGGAGGGGAGAGGGACTTGAGAAGGCCTGACTGGGGAGGAACAGCCTGGGAAGGAGGCTTGGGCCCTTTGTAGGTGTTCGGGTGACAATCCAGCCCAGCCCATCCGCTGGTTCCCTGAGCTTGATCCATCCTCTTCTTTCCTGGGGACAAGCTGACAGCAGCCATGGCGAGCGGCAGTGGAGACAGCGTCACCCGTCGGAGCGTGGCATCACAGTTTTTCACTCAAGAGGAGGGGCCGGGCATCGATGGCATGACCACCTCAGAGAGGGTGAGCGTGGCGGGTAGGGCTTGGAGTGAGGAAGCATAGCCCCTGGCTTTGGCAATCCCTGTTTAGGTGGCAGAGCCCTGGGAGTGCCGAGGGGGCTGCACTGGGCTGGACTGGGCTGGCACTATCCCCTGCCACTCCCCCTCCTTCCAGGTGGTGGATCTTCTGAACCAGGCGGCGCTGATCACCAATGACTCAAAGATCACAGTGCTCAAACAGGTGAGGGCCCGGGGGGCATCCTGGGCTGAGCAGGTGAAAGGGAGGAGGCTGGGAACCTGAGAAAGACACTTGCAGTAACACCAGTGTCCACATTTACACACTCAGTGTGTGCCGGCCACAGTGCTCAGTGCAGGCCTCTGCTCTTCTAGTTCTCATGAAAGCTCTGTAAGGCAGGGTAGTTTCATCCCTGTTTTATACAGAAAGAAGCAGACCCCGGGGCTTAAATTATTAGCCCAGGGTCACTCTGCTGGGAGCTGGCTGAACTAGTAATTGAATCCTGGATTCCAGCTCCAAATCCTACACTCTTCATCATTGCATTTCTTCTCTGCCAGTGTCCAGTCCAGTGGGGCAGACATTCCTGTCACCAGGCAATGATGACCCAGTGTGGGCAGGGCTGGGATGGAGAAGGGAGCCCAGGGGGGCTCTGGGAGCCCAGAGGGAGCTCCTGACCCAGCCTAGGGATGGGGAGTCAGGGAGGACTTTTGAACCAAGCCATGGAGGATAAAAGGAGAGAAGTGTACCAAATGAGAGAGGCAGAGCATCTCTTTTTTTTTTTTTTTTGAGGCAGAGTCTTGCTCTGTTGCCCAGGCTGGAGTGCCATGGCACGATCCTGGCTCTCACTGCAACTCCTGCCTCAGCCTCTTGAGTAGCTGAGATTACAGGCACCTGCCACCATGCCTGGCTAATTTTTGTATTTTTAGTAGAGACGCGTTTCACCATGTTGACCAGGCTGGTCTCAAACTCGTGAGCTCAAGTGGTCCACCCTCCTTGGCCCCCGCAAACTGCTGGGATTACAGGCACGAGCCACCGTGCCCAGCCAAGAGAGGGAGAGCATGTCAAGCTGAGGGCACAGAAGTGTGTGCAAAGGCAGAAGACGACATGGGACACTTGGGCTGGGCATGGTTCAGAGCAGGAGGCAGTTGGAGTTCAGAGACTGGCAGGGTTAGCATTCCTGTGTGAGAACCCGTTCGGCTCCTTCATCAGCCTGTAGCCTTGTGGAGTAGCCCCACCTCCGAGGTGGAGTGGATGCACCTGGTGCCTCCCCCATGGGTGGTCATGAGGCCGTTTAGCAATAGTAGCTTGAGTTGTAGCAGCCAGGTCCTGTGCCAGCTCTTTGCTTATTGGAGGATGTCCATGGGAAGGGCTTACTCCAAAGAGCCTGGCAGGCACAAGGGCTTCAGGAATTGGGTTCTCACTGTGAAGATGTTTGCTGAATCATGGCAATGTGAAGTAGGGAGCAGAAGCAGAAGGAGAGTGGGGAGAACTGATGGACAGGTGAATGGAGGCCAAACCTCAGGAAGGCCTGAGCCTTGGGGCACTTTCCTCTTTTTTTCAGCCCCCTCCTGTGTCATGTCCTCACTATCTACCAGGACCTGTGCCTTGTAGGATCTCATTGTAGCCTCCTAACATCCCTTTTGAGTTGATGTTTAAGAGTCTCATTTTATAGAAGAGCAAACTGAGGTTCAGAGACCATGCCCAGAGCATAGCACCCTTGGTAGGGAGAAGCAGAGCCAGGCATTGAAATGAGTGTATCTGCTGCCTAGCCCTCTGCTGTCTTCCCCTCTACTCTCCTGTCTGCATTGATTGGCCCCTCGTTTTATATGGGTATTCCTCCTCCCCACCCCCAATCTCCTTCCAGGTCCAGGAGCTGATCATCAACAAAGACCCCACACTACTGGACAACTTCCTGGATGTGAGTGACTGACAGAAGAGAAAGGGGTGTGGTGTAGGGGAAAGGGGATGTGGATCCTTGTGTAGCCCTGATCCACTTTCTCTCTAACATTGGCAGGAGATCATCGCATTCCAAGCAGACAAGTCAATCGAAGTGCGAAAATTTGTCATCGGCTTCATCGAGGAGGCATGGTATGGGGCGAGGCACGGAGCCCCGGGAGCATTCTCACTGGTGGCAGCCTTCAGCTCGTGGCCTGGCCTGGAGGCCACCACTGAGAGGCCTGCCCTCTGCTTCCCAGACCCTTTCTCTCTCTCATACACACTGATTCCCCAGCAAATACTTAATAAGATGGAAACCCTGGGGTCATCTGTGATTCCTCTGCTTCTTCCACACTTCACATCTACATTATCACTAAGGACTGTGGGCTCCACTTTGAGAATATCTGTAGCATCTGACCGTTTGTCAATCACTTCCTCTGCCACTATGCAGGCCCAAGCCACCCTTTCCTCCTACCTGATGACTTCAGTGGTCTCTCTCTGGCTCCCTTCTTTTTCTTTTTAGTTAAATTGAAATTCATATAACAAAATTAGCTTTTTTTTTTAATCTTTTGTTTGTTTGTTTGTTTTGAGACGGAGTCTCGCTCAACTGTTGTCCAGGCTTGAGTGCAGTGGCGCAATCTCGGCTCACTGCAACCTCCGACTTCCGGGTTCAAGCTATTCTCCTGCCTCAGCCTCCCAAGTAGCTGGGATTACAGGCATGCGCCACCACATCCGGCTTATTTTTGTATTTTTAGTAGAGAAGGGGTTTTGCAATGTTGGCCAGGCTGGTCTCAAACTCCTGACCTCAGGTGATCTGCCCGCCTTGGCCTCCCAAAGTGTTGGGATTACAGGTGTGAGTCACTGTGCCTGGCCTTTTTTTTTTTTTTGAGACTGAGTTTTGCTCTGTTGTCCAGGCTGGAGTACAGTGGCGCAATCTTGGCTCATTACAACCTCCACCTCCCAGGCTCAAGAGATTCTTGTGCCTCAGCCTCCTTGAATAGCTGGGATTACAGGTGCGTGCCACCATGCCTGGCTAATTTTTGTATTTTTAGTAGAGATGGGGTTTCTGCCATGTTGGCCAGGCCAGTCTTGAACTCCTGACCTCAAGTGATTGGCCCACCTTGGCCTCCCAAAGTGCGGGGATTACAGGCATGAGCCACGACGCCCAGCAAAAATCAGCTATTTTAAAGTGAACAAGTGAGTGGCATTTAGCACGTTCACAATCTCGTTCCAGGGCATTTCATCCCCCAAAGAGGAATCACCGCACTCATTTCCCGCTTCCACTCTTGCACTCAGCAGCCAGAGTGACGCTGTTAAATGTAAATCAGTCTTGGCACACCCCTGCTCTCAGACCCCAGCTGGCTCATCAGCTTACTTAGGTGGAAACCCAAACTCTCACTTCGGCTTCATCTCACTTCTGATCCTCTCTGTCTCCCCTGCTCCTCAGAAGTCACAGTTGGATTTCGCAGCCTGTCTGCTTGCTGTTCCTGCTAGGGGCCCTCGTCCCCAGGTTGCCACCTGGCTCTCCCCTCCCTTCCCTCAGGTCTCTTCCTCAGAAATTCCTTCCTGCCCGCTCCCATGCAGCCCCATGTCTCAGGCACCCCACCTTCACTGTTCTTTACAGTGTTCCTCACTCATTGAAATAACCTTGATTCTTCCCGCAAAATATCAGCTCTGTGAGGACGGGGCTTGACTTTTTCTGTCTTGCTGGCCACTTTGTCCCCAGTACCTGCCTGGAGCAGTGTTGTCACCTAGTAGGGGCTGACTACGTATTTGTTGCACACGTGAATGAGTTGAACATAACAGTCACCACATGGAACACGTACTGTGCCCTGCGCTGTGTCAGGTCCTTTCCCGTGTTATCTCCGTAATTATGGCAGCCTCGATGGATACTGTGGTTATCCTCTTTTTACAGAAAGGGAAACAGGCTCAGAATGGTCAAGTGACTTGTTCAAGCTGGTCACTTGCTCATTTGTTTATTAAAGCTTTACTGGATGCTTTGTGACTGGGAGGAAGTAGACTAGCTACTGTGTATTAAATATTTGTTTGTAAGGCACTGTATTAAATGCTTGAGCAGCTTCATTATTCGTAATACTATGGATCAGTTGTTTGACCCTTTAACTGAAGAGAAAACAGTCTCAGAGAGGTGAAGTGAATTTTCTTAAGGTCACACAGCCAGAATGTGGCAAGGCTGGGATTTTATTTATTTATTATTTTTTTGAGATGGAATCTCACTCTGTCGGCCAGACTGGGGTGCAGTGGTGCAATCTCGGCTGACTACAACCTCTGCCTCCTGAGTCAAGTGATTGTCCTCCCTCAGCCCCCCCGAGTATCTGGGATTACAGGTGCCTGCCACCACACCCAGCTAATTTTGTTTTCTGTTGTTGTTTTTTTTTGTTTTTGTTTTTGTTTTTGTTTTGAGATGGAGTTTCGCTCTTGTTGCCCAGGCTGGAGTGCAATGGTGCGATCTCGGCTAACTGCAACCTCCACCACACAGGTTCAAGTGATTCTCCTGCCTCAGCCTCCCAAGTAGCTGGAGTTACAGGTGCCCGCCACCATGCCCGGCCAATTTTGTATTTTTAGTAGAGATGGGGTTTCACCACGTTGGTCAAGCTGGTCTCAAACTCCTGACCTCAGGTGACCCACCTGCCTCAGCCTCCCAAAGTGCTGGGATTACAGGCGTGAGCCACTGCGCCTGGCCAAGGCTGGGATTTTAACTCATGTCTGCAATGCCAGAACCCAAATATCCTATCTCCCCATTTACTGGGAGAATTTGTGGTAAATTTTCTGAATTTGTAAAAAGTCCATTCAGCAAATACATACCATGTGACTGCTGTCGTACCAGGCATCCATGTTAGGCTGTAGTATAGCAGTGAGCAAAAACGTATTATTCCTGCCTTCATGTAGCTGACAGCTAAGTTTCATATTTTTTGACTGATTTAATTAATATTTCAGATTGTAATGTATGCTGTGAAAATTCTGTGCTGAGCTCCTATTTATTCATTGAACATTTGTTGGAGGCCCTTCATTTTTTTCTTCAATGAAAATGACCCTGCTGGGGTTATTGCCAAGCTAGGAAAGGGTCCCTACTTTTTGAGCCCTCAGACTGAGGCAAGCAAAACTAGTGATTACAGAAAACAAAGTGCTTTAAAGTAGCAATGGCTGGTGTTTACCGAATGCTTTTTGGTGTTTACTGAATGCTTTCTGCATGTCAGGCACTCTTCTAAGCACTTTACAAGTATTGTTGCAATTTTCCCAAAAAATTGCATAAACAATTGGATAGATACTATTATTCTAAATGAGGTGAAGTCGCTTGTCCAAATTCACACAGTTGTCTGCCCCTACTGTCCCTTATGTGAACAGCAGGGCCCTGAGAGAGCAAAGGAGTTGGTGTTACAGGACCAGTCTAGATAGAGGGTTCAGGGGCGGCTCAGTCTGGAGGCACCAAGCACTGTTCCCAGCTTCTGGATGTGCCATTCCGGTCCCCTGAGACAGGTCCCTGATTTCCCTTCCCTCCTGGACCTCAGGCTCCTCCTACTTGCTCTAAGACCACACCTTGACCTCGCCCCTTTTTTCTCCATCCCTCAGCAAGCGAGACATTGAGTTGCTGCTGAAACTCATTGCAAACCTCAACATGCTCTTGAGGGACGAGAATGTGAACGTGGTGAAGAAGGCTATCCTCACCATGACCCAGCTCTACAAGGTGGCCCTGCAGGTGAGAGCGCCCTCCCCACCCAGGGCCATCCTGCCTGATATGTCTCGTTGACAAACTAATATGTTGGGGTTCAAAACCAGCATCCGAGCATACTCTTTATGGGCAAGATGTGCCACTGGTCTGTGGGAACAGATAACATGGAGAGCTAACGTTGTCTCCTAGGTCAGGAAGTTGCACTTAACCTTCATTCCTTCCATTGACCATCCGTTTATTCACTCAACAGACATTCCCTGAGTATGTCCTCTGTGCTTAGCCCTGGGCTAGGTGATGCTGGGGACACAGCAGTGACCAAGACAGCTTACTGCCTTCACAGTGCTCATAACCCAAGGAGGGAGGTAGACCTTAATTAATGAATCACATAAATATTGATTATGGAGTGTGATAGGAAAAGAACACTCTATGGTGTGATGTACATTAGCATTAATAAAACGAATGAATCCATTTAATCACCACCACCTTGTGAAGTCAGCACTGTTAGTCCTTTACCCTGAAGATGTGTGCCTTCATCACACTGAGTGGTCACTCTCTGCATCCCCATGAGGGCAGGGCGAGGCCTGGCCACTACTCAGTCCTGTCTCCAGCATCACCGAGCACTGGGCTGGGGCAGAGTTGGAACTCAGTAACTGTTAACCAAATGAATGTATTCATCATTCATGGTTCTCTGGGTATTGGCAGAGGGTGTTGGTGATTGATGCGTTGTCTTCACCTCTTTGTGTGTCTCTTCCATTCCTTCCTGGCCTGCTGGCAGTGGATGGTAAAGTCACGGGTCATTAGCGAGCTACAGGAGGCCTGCTGGGACATGGTATCTGCCATGGCGGGGGACATCATCCTGCTATTGGACTCTGACAATGACGGCATCCGCACCCACGCCATCAAGTTTGTGGAGGGCCTCATTGTCACCCTGTCACCCCGCATGGCTGACTCAGAGATACCCCGACGCCAGGAGCATGATATCAGCCTGGACCGCATCCCTCGTGACCACCCCTACATCCAGTACAGTGAGTACTGCCTTCAGCTGCCACCCCTGACAGCCCTGCACCAGTTTCCTCTCCTTCACGCCCCTCCCTCTCTCCCCCTTGTCTTTTTTGGTTTTAAATTTCTGGAACAGTGTGTGCAGTAGTTAAGATCCCTGGTGCTAGGTTCAGATCCCAGCTGCACTGCTTACTCATCATGAACTTGGGCAAGTTACCTGTCTCTGTACTTCATTTTCTTTTTTGTAAATTGGAGACGATAACATAGTACCACTCTCACAGGTTTGTAGTGAAGTTCCATGAGTGTGAGCCAGTCGATGCTAGCTAGTTTTATGGTTTTCTTTTTTTTTTTTTTGAGATGGAGTCTTCCTCTGTCGCCCAGGCTGGAGTGCAATGGCACAATCTCAGCTCACTGCAACCTCCGCCTTCCGGGTTCAAGAGATTCTTCTGCCTCAGCCTCCAAAGTAGCTGGGGCTACAGGCTCCCGCCACCATACCTGGCCAATTTTTTTAAAAATTATTTTTAGTAGAAGCAGGGTTTCACCATATTGGCCAAGCTGGTATCGAACTCCTGACCTTGTGATCCGCCCGCCTTGGCCTCCCAAAGTGCTGGGATTACGGGCTTGAGCCACCGCGCCGGGCAGTTTTACAGTTTTCTTAACTGCAAATTATAAAAGTAGGACATAGGCCAGGTGTGGTGGCTCATGCTTATAGTCCCAGCATTTTGAGAGGCCAAGGCAGGCAGATCACTTGGGGTCAGGAGTTCGAGACCACCCTGGCCAACATGGTGAAACCCCTTATCTACTGAAAATACAAAAATTAGCCGGGCATGGTGGCGGGCACCTGTAATCCCAGCTACTTGGGAGGCTGAGGCACGAGAATCGCTTGAACCCAGGAGGCAGAGGTTGCAGTGAGCTGAGACTGTGCCACTGCACTCCAGCCTGGGTGACAGAATGAGACTGTCTCAAAAAAAAAAAAAGTACTATATATACACTTGGTGTCAAGCAATATGGGTGAATCAAAAGGAATAATGTCCCCTCCCTCAGTCCTGCTTTCCAGAGATAAACACTGTTAAGAGTATTATGTTTCCTTTCAGATCTTTCCTGTGCACATGTAGGTATTTGTATGTGTATATGCATAGTGTCTGCATTTGTTTGCTTTTCTGTTTGCAAAAATGAGGCCATGCTTTGTGTTTTCATCTCAGAGACATTATAGTAGCTTGTGTCTGACACACAGCCTATTTTCCCTTGTCTCTGAGCCTGATTCCTCATTGGTAAATTGGGGATCGTTATTATGGCATCTAATTTAGGATGTAGGTATGAGCATTTGGTGTATTAATATGGCTGGAATAGTAAACATTCCATAAATATTAACTATTCTTATGTATTGTTTGACAGCCTTTTTGACTTAATAGTATCAGTGACGTCCTTCCCTGTGAGAATCATATAGTTGCTATACCATATTCCATAGTATAGTTACATTACATTCTATTAAGCAATGCTCTGTTGATGGTCATTTAGATTTTTAATTCACTTTTATTTTTTGAGACGGAGTCTCGCTCTTTCACCCAGGCTGGAGTGCAGTAGCGCTATCTCGGCTCACTGCATGCTCCGCCTCCCGTGTTCACGCCATTCTCCTGCCTCAGCCTCCCGAGTAGCTGGGACCACAGGTGCCCGCCACCACGCCCGGCTAATTTTTTGTATTTTTAGTAGAGACAGGGTTTCACTGTGTTAGCCAGGATGGTCTTGATCTCCTGACCTCGTGATCTGCCCACCTCGGCCTCCCAAAGTGCTGGGATTACAGGCGTGAGCCACCGCGCCCGGCCTAATTCACTATTTTAAATAATGTGGCGTTCAAGTCAAAACTACAATGAAATGTCTCACCCCAGTTAAAGTGACTTTTATCAAAAAGACAACAAATGCTGGCGAGGATGTGGAGAAAGGGAAACACTTGTACACTGTTGGTGAGAATGTCACTTACTACAGCCTAAAAATTGTTTGGAGTTTTGAGGTTCCTCAAAAAATTAAAAATTGAGCTACCATATGATTCAGCAATCCCACTGCTGGATATGTAACCGAAATAAAGGAAATCACTGTATCAAAAAGATAACCCGCACTTCCATATTCATTGCAGCACTAGTCAGAATAGCCAAGACTTCGGAGCAAACTAAGTATTCATCAACAGAGTAATAGATAAAGAAAATGTGGTACTCATACACAATTGAATACTATTCAGCCATAAAAAAGAAGGAGATCCTGTCATTTGCAACAACATGGATGGAAGTGGAAGTCATTAAGTGAAATAAGCCAGGCACCGAAAGACAACTTTGCATGTTCTCACTTATTTGTGAGAGCTAGAAATGAAAACAATTGAACTCATGGAGACAGACGGTAGAATGATGGTTACCAGAGGCTGAAAAGGGTAATGGGCGGTTGGGGAGGAAGTGGGAATGGTTAATGGGTACAAAAAAATAGTTAGAACAAATAAGATCTAGTATTTGATAGCCAAGCATGGTGGCATGTGCCTGTGGTCTCAGCAGCTCAGGAGGCTGAGTTGAGAGGATCACCTGAGTCTGGGTGGTGGAGGTTGCAGTGAGCCGAGATCACGCCACTGCTTTCCACTCTGGGTGACAGAGTGAGACCCCATCTCAGGGAAAAAAAAAAAGATCCAGTATTTGATAGCACAGCAGGGTAACTATACTAAAAAATAATCATACATTTTAAAATAATTGAAATAGTATAATTGGATTGTGTGTAACAAAACGGATAAATGCTTGTGATGGAGACCCCATTTACCCTGATGGTGATAATTATGCATTGCATGCCTGTATCAAAATCTCATGTACCCCATAATTATTTACACCTACTATATACCCATTAAAATTTTTTAAGTTAAAAACATATATATGGCATTCGTTATGTTTCTGTATAGGAAAGGTCTGGAAAGATATCCACCAAAGTTTTAAGCATTAATTTTGGGGACTGTATTGAGGGGAGTGGTGTCACAAGGGACTTTGAGTTGTGTGTATATACACATGTATTCTAGTCTTTCACTATTGCAAGCCCATGCTTTGAACATCTTTATAACTAAATTTTTTTTTTTTTTAATATGGAGTCCAACTCTGTCACCCAGGCTGGAGTGCAGTGGCGCGATCTCGGCTCACTGCAACCTCTGCCTCCTGGGTTCAAGCGATTCTCCTGCCTCAGCCTCCCAAGTAGCTGGGATTACAGGCACAGGCCTTCACACCTGGGCTAATTTCTTGTATTTTTAGTAGAGACGGGGTTTTACCATGTTGGCCAGGCTGGTCTTGAACTCCTGACCTCAAGTGATCTGCCTGCCTTGGCCTCCCAAAGTGCTGGGATTACAGGCATGAGCCACTGCGTCTAGCCCCTTATAACTAAATTTTTATACTCATTAATAGTCTCATAGAACTAATCAACCACCACATTTTCTGTTTTTCCCGCCATTCATAGACATCTAGGTACCAGGATCTGTCCTTCCTTTTAGTCCCAAAAGCTGCTGTCTCCAGAGGCCTGGGAAAACGGATCCCACTGACTGGTTCTCCTCTCTGTCTCTTAGACGTGCTATGGGAAGAGGGCAAGGCAGCCTTGGAGCAGCTGCTTAAGTTCATGGTGCACCCTGCCATCTCCTCCATCAACCTGACCACAGCGCTGGGCTCCCTTGCCAATATCGCCCGCCAGAGACCCATGTTCATGTCTGAGGTGATCCAGGCCTATGAAACTCTGCATGGTAGGTCATTGTCCTCCCCCCTCCCCCTGCCTTCTCTTCACTGGCCAGTCTGCTCTTTCTTTTTTTTTTTTTTTTTTTTTTTTTTTTGAGACAGAGTCTCGCTCTGTCACCAGGCTGGAGTGCAGTGGTGCAATCTTGGCTCACTGCAACCTCTGCCTCCCCAGTTCAAGTGATTCTCCTGCCTCAGCCTCCCGAGTAGCTGGGATTACAGGACACACCACCACACCCAGCTAATTTGTTTACTTTTAGTAGAGACGGGGTTTCACCGTGTTGGCCAGGATGATCTCTATCTCTTGACCTTGTGATTCGCCTGCCTCGGCCTCCTAAAGTGCTGGGATTACAGGTGTGAGCCACTGCACCCGGCCTCAGCCTGCTCATTCTTAAAGAAATGTAGCTCCGTGGTGGACCCCGAGCGCTAGTCATCCATCTGGCAGGCCTGAGATTCTCTACATTAGACAGGAATCTTTTGGCATGTGACAGAAACTTGATTCAGGACTGGCTTTAATATTGAGGTATGTGGGGGTGAAATGACATGATGTCTGTGAAATACTTTCAAATATTCCAGTCCTCTCCCCCCACCAAAAGGGAGGATAGATGTTCCAAGATTAGCGAAATGTTGATGGGTACACAGAGACTCATACCATTTTCTCTGTTTTGTGAAACGAAAACCGAGAAGTCTGGGGTTGGGGTATGAATGCGTACAGGTCGTGGATCTGCATTTCTCCATCTCTCAGCTCTTTGTTTCTCCATTTTAGTTTCACTCTCTGGCCCTTTCCTTAGGGTAGCAAAGATGGCCCCCCATAGTTCATGGCTCCCATTCCGTTCACTTAGCAACACCATGGGAAAGAGAGTGTCTCCTTCCCAACCATTCCAGCAGAAGTCCAAGGGCTGACGGTCATTGTTTCTGATTGGCTGAGCAGAGATTATGAGCCAGTCTCTGAGCCAATTACAGTGGCCAAGGGAATGTGGTATTCTCACTGGCCCCAGGTCTCATGCCCACTCGGAAGGAGACTGGAGAAGGGGGGTCTCCCTTAACGGAGAGTGGGTTGTGTTGTTGGCTGAGGAAGGGGCAGTGGATGCTAGGCAGGCAGAATTACAGGCATCCTTTTTCACTGTGGAACAGGGGAGGCTCACTTATCAGGGTGACCATTAGAAAGTCATCCTGGCGTCAGGGAGACTAGCAGTGAGCTGTTGCAGCAGTTCAGTTGGGGGTTTCTGGAGGCAAAAGTGGTGATTATAACCCTCCCCAAGCGAAGCATATGTGAATTTCCAGACCAGAGATGGAGGAGGACGAAATTGTATGTATTTACTAAAAGAGAGGGTGAGTTTTTCTCTTTAAGATTGACTGATACTGATGGAGACCCCCAGGGTTTGAAGCATCAGCTTGTAAGGCGGAAAGCCACACGTTAGATCTGAGGGTGAAGGAACTTTTCTAGTAGATGCCTGCAAGACCACTGCCCAAGTTTGGGGTTGAGAATTAAGACTGGCAGCATGCCATGAGATCTTCCACAAGACACAGCTCCTGCCACTTTCCTCACAGCCAACCTGCCCCCGACGCTGGCCAAATCGCAGGTGAGCAGTGTGCGTAAGAATCTGAAGCTGCACCTGTTGAGTGTGCTGAAGCACCCGGCTTCCTTGGAGTTCCAGGCCCAGATCACCACCCTGCTGGTGGACCTGGGCACACCTCAGGCCGAGATCGCCCGCAACATGCCGAGCAGCAAGGACACCCGCAAGCGGCCCCGCGATGACTCGGACTCCACACTCAAGAAGATGAAGCTGGGTGAGAGGGGCTGGTGGGGTGGGGCAGGCAGACCATGCTGAAATGTTTCATTATTTACCTTAAACTATGCTGAATTTGTATTTACTAAGATTATATTATAGATTATGTTATGTGGGCCAGGCACAGTGGCTCACACCTGTATTCCCAGCACTTTGGGAAGCTGAGGCGGGCAGATCACTTGAGGCCGGGGTTCAAGACCAACCTAGGCAACATGGCAAAACCCTGTCTCTAATTTTAAAAAATTATAAAATAATTATAAAAATAAATTACAGTATTTAATATGATATATAAATTACAATAGAATTATCAAAATATACGTTTAATAAATTATGCATTATTTAAATTTTACAGAAAGGAATAAAATGAAAATAGTATCCCTCTTATCCCTCTCCCAAGAAGTAACCACTCCCCAGGTGTGAACACTTCTTTATGTTTTCCTCCAGAAGTGCTTTATGTAGAGTGTGGAGCTCTTCTTTCATTCCTTTGTTTTAGTTATCAGATAATTTTCTTTCTGAAGTAATTTTCTAGTGGTTGTATTATTTATCAATAGTGTCAACTATGGCTTTTCTTAACTTTAAGATTTTTTTCTTAAATCACACTTTTTTTCTAGAGCATTTACGAAAGATTTATTTTTTCATTTTAAAAAATAAGGAATTAGGCTGGGCGCAGTGGCTCACGCCTGTAATCCCAGCACTTTGGGAGGCCAAGGCATGTGAATCACCTGAGGTTAGGAGTTTGACACCAGCCTGGCCAACATGGAAAAACCCCGTCTCTACTAATAATACAAAAATTAGCTGGGTGTAGTGGTGCATGCCTGTAATCCCAGATACTCTGGAGGCTGAGGCAGGAGAATCACTTGAACCCAGGAGGCAGAAGTTGCAGTAAGCCGAGATCATGCCATTGCACTCCAGTCTGGGTGACAAGAGTGAAACTCTGTCTCAAAAAAAAAAAAGGTGGGGGGGGAATTGCCAGGCACAGTGGCTCATGCCTGTAATCCCAGCATTTTGGAAGGCCAAGTTGAGGGGATCACCTGAGGTCAGGAGTTCGAAATTAGCCTGGCTAACATGGTGAAACCCTGTCTCTACTAAAAATACAAAAATTAGCCAGGCGTGGTGGTGCACACCTGTAGTTGCTGCTACTTGGGAGGCTGAGGCAGAAGAATTGCTTGAACTGGGGGCAGTGGTTGCAGTGAGCCAAGATTGCACCATTGCACTCCATCCTGGGTGACAGAGCAAGACTCCGTCTCAAAAAAAAAAAAGGAATTTATCTAAGGAGTGAGGTAGGGATCTTACTATGTTTTTTCATAATTAAGTATACTAAGCAGAGTATTCTGTACCTTGTTTTCATTTAGTTTCATTTACTTTCATCTTGGAGTTCTTTATAGAAATCTACCTCATCCTTTTTTTTTTGAGACAGTCTTGCTCTGTTGCCCAGATTGGAGTGCAGTGGTGTAATCTGGGCTCACTGCAGCCTCTGTCTCCCGGGTTCAAGCAATTCTCATACCTCTGCTTCCTGAGTAACTGGAATTACAGGCGAATGCCACCACACCGGGCTAATTTTTGTATTTGTTTGTTTTTTTTTTTTTAAAGATGGAGTTTCACTCTTGTTGCCCAGGCTGGAGTGCAGTGGTGGGATCTTGGCTCACTACAAGCTCTGCCTCCCAGATTCAGGCAATTCTCCTGCCTCAGCCTCCCAAGTAGCTGGGATTACAGGCATGTGCCACCATGCCCAGCTAATTTTGTCTTTTTAGTAGAGACGGGGCTTCACCATGTTGGTCAGGCTGGTCTTGAACTCCTGACCTCAAGTGATCTGCCTGCCTTCGCCTCCTAAAGTGTTGAGATTACAGGCGTGAGCCACTGCACCTGGCCAGGGTTTGTATATTTAAAGTTATATTTTACCCACCAAATTTGTCTTTTTTTTTTTTTTTTTTTTTTTTTGAGACAGTCTCGCTCTGTCACCCAGGCTGGAGTACAGTGGCCTGATCTTGGCTCACTGCAACCTCCGCCTCCCAGGTTTAAGAGATTCTCCCTCCTCAGCCTCCCGAGTAGCTGGGGCTACTGGTGCGCGCCATCATATCTGACCAATTTTTTTGCATTTTTAGTAGAGCCAGGGTTTCACCATGTTGGCCAGGCTGGTCTCAAACTCCTGACCTCAGGTAATCCACCCGCCTCAGGTGATCCCCTGGTTGCCTCAGTACATGGGATCAGGAGGCACATGGTGTCCCATTGTTGGAGATATTAACTTTTGAACGCTTGGTTAACACAGTTTCAACCAGCTTTCTCTAGTGTCAAGTGCCATTTTTATCTTTGTCAGTAATAAGCTGGGGGAGATATTTGAAACTATGTAAAATACATGTTTCTCTTTAAACGTTCACCCAGTGGTTTTTTTGTGTTTTTTTGTTTTGTTTTGTTTTGTTTTGAGACAGAGTCTCGCTCTGTTGCCCAGGCTGGAGTGCAGTGGTGCAATCTTGGCTCACTGCAAGCTCCGCCTCCTGGGTTCACACCATTCTCCTGCCTCAGCCTCCCGAGTAGCTGGGACTACAGGTGCCCGCCATCTGCCCGGCTAATTTTTTGTATTTTTTTTAGTAGAGACGGGGTTTCACCGTGTTAGCCAGTATGGTCTCGATCTCCTGACCTCATGATCCCAAAGTGCTGGGATTACAGGTGTGAGCCACTGCGCCCAGCCTCACCCAGTGGTTTTAACATCCAGTGATGATTGTTGCCTGAGTCTATTATTCTATACTGGCTCCAAAGAGATTTTCCTTCTACATTTATCAGTTGACATTCTGCTGTAAGGAAGAACTTTCTCTTCTTCTTCCCACTTACTATCAGGAATTTGTTTTGAGCATTTCACTTACTTACTAGCATGACAAGATGTTCTAGACTCCTCTTGTACTGTCCTTGCCCCAGCCCTGGAATCAGTCTTTCTTTTTAAGGAACCCTGGTTTCCTTTAAGTGGGGAATAGTTTCAGAAATCAAGGTCTGAGCCCAGGTGTGCCCTTAGGTACCGAGTGTACATTCTTGATAGCCATTACCAAAGTGCCTTCTAAAAAACTGCACCAGGCTGGGCGTGGTGGCTCATGCCTGTAATCCTAGCACTTTGGGAGGCTGAGACAGGTGGATCACCTGAGGTCAGAAATTTGAGACCAGCCTGGCCAACATGGTGAAACCCCATCTCTACTAAAAATACAAAAAAATTAGCTGGGCCTGGTGGCGCATGCCTATAATCCCAGTTACTTGGGAGGCTGAGGCAGGAGAATCACTTGAACCTGGGAGGCGGAGGTTACAATGAGCCGAAATCATGCCATTGTACTGCAGCCTCGGTGACGAGCAAGACTGTCTCAAAAAATAGTAATAATAATAATCTCTTCTTAGAGCTTATGATAAGCTGCAGGGGTGTGGCTTACTCCCATTTCCCAGATCAGGAGATCTGAGGTTCAGAACGAGTCAGGTAGTTGCCCAGGGTCATAAAGTGGTTTGGCACCAGAGGCAGAGCTGCAGCCTGGATCTTCATCCGCTGTTTGCTCCTGTTTGCTGAGGCTGACTAGAGGCAGGGACCACCCGGGCACCCCGGAAGGATGGAGGGCCTGCAGCTCTCTCTATAGCCAGCATCTTGTTCTTTTCCCTCATCCCAGAGCCCAACCTGGGGGAGGACGATGAGGACAAAGACTTGGAGCCAGGCCCGTCGGGGACCTCGAAGGCCTCAGCGCAGATCTCCGGCCAGTCAGACACGGACATCACAGCTGAGTTCCTGCAGCCTCTGCTGACGCCTGATAATGTGGCTAATCTGGTGAGGATGGGTGGGGAGCGTTTTCCCCCTGGGCAGGAAGGAAGGATCTCCTCGGTCTTTCACCTGCCTCCACTTCACACCATCCACCTCCTCCAGAGTACCCTCCTAATTAATAAAGAAAAGGGGTTTAATTGGCTTACAGTTCTGCAGGCTGTATAGGAAGCGTGGTGCTGGCATCTGCTTAGCTTCTGGGGAAACCTCAGGAAGCTTCCAATCATAGTGAAAGGTGAAGGGGGAGCAGGCATCTCGTGTGGCAGAGCAGGAGCAGGAGAAAGGGAGTGTTGGGGAGCAGGGAGGTGCCACACACTTTTAAATGACCAGATCTTGTGACAACTCGCTATCCTGAAGACAGCACCAAGCCATGAGGGATCTGCCCCCATGATCCAAACACCCCCGACCAGGCCCCACCTCCCACATCGGGGATTGTAATTCAACATGAGATTCGGGAAGGAACAAATATCCAGACTACATCAGTGAGCCTCAGGCCTGGGTATGCAACCCGCTTCTGATCATCCTCCTTTTGGACGTCCCAGGAGCACCTCAGACTCATGTGGCAGAACTACACTTTTCCACTTTCTCCCCACGCTCCTCTCCAGGCCCCTCCCAGTTCCCAAACCAGAAACCTGGGAGTGAACCTCTTTTCCTTCTCTCCCTAATCCTTGCCCTCTTTTCCACCCCTGTAGCACTTACCCTGGGCCAGGCCCACCCTTTTCACCTGAAGCCCAACCCTCACTTGCTACCTGGCTCCAACTTCCTTCAAGTAAAATTTAAGTTCCACTTGCCTTAGTCAGCCATCTTTGATCTGGCTTCTGTTAACTTGTCTTTTTTTTTTTTTTTTTTTTTTGAGGCAGAGTCTCGCTTTGTTACCCAGACTGGAGTGCAGTGGCGCGATCTCAGCTCACTGTAATCTCCGCCTCCCGGGTTCAAGTGATTCTCTTGCCTCAGCCTCCCGAATAGCTGGGATTACCAGCGCCCACCACTGCACCCAGCTAATTTTTGTGTTTTTAGCAGAGACAGGGTTTCACCATGTTGGTCATGCTGGTCTGAACTCCTGACCTCTGGTGATCCGCCCACCATGGCCTCCCAAAGTGCTGGGATTACAGGCATGAGCCACCATGCCCGGCCATTCTACCTTTTGTCTTATCACACACTAGGAATTGACCTTTTCAGTTTTGCCATGAAGTTGCTCATCAACATTTATAAAAATGCCTGCTATTCATAGTATAAAATACCATATGTTTGTAATGTGCCCCTTTTCTGTTGCTACTACTATGTCCAATCTTGCAAAATATTTGCTTGTTTTCAGTCATCTCAAATAACTAGCTCTTTGTTTTGTTCATATTCTTTTGGCACTTTTTCTGTTTTATTTCTGTTGCCTTTATTTCTTTCCTGCTACTTTCTTTGAATGTTTGTTCCCACGGTTTTAAGTGATTGGCTCATTAATCTTTAGTTATCTTTTCCAATGTAAGCAAGCATTTAAGGATTTGATTTTCCATCTGAGTACTATTTTAGCTGTATTCCACAATTTTAATTTATAGCAGTTTCATTATCTTTCTGTTCTAATTAGTTATTACTTAGTGTGTGCATTTAAAGTTCACTGTGTAGCCTTGGCAACATAGCGAGACCCTGTCTCTACAAAAAGAAAAATAAAAAAATTAGCCGGGCATGGTGGCATGTACCTGTGATCCCAGCCACTGGAGAGGCTGAAGCAGGAGGATTGCTTAAGCCCAGGAATTTGAGGCTGTAGTGAACTCTGATGGCGCCACTGCACTCCAGCCTGGACAATAGAGTAAGACCCTGTCTCTAAGAAAAATAATACATTTTTTTTTTGAGACAGAGTCTTGCTCTGTTGCCCAGGCTGGAGTGTAGTGGCGCAGTCTCAGCTCACTGTAAGCTCCGCCTCCCGGGTTCACGCCATTCTCCTGCCTCAGCCTCCCGAGTAGCTGGGACTACAGGTGCCTGCCACCACGCCCAGCTAAGTTTTTTGTATTTTTAGTAGAGATGAGGTTTCGCTGTGTTAGCCAAGATGGTCTTGATCTCCTGACCTCGTGATCCGCCCACCTCAGCCTCCCAAAGTGCTATGATTACAGGCATGAGCCACCGTGCCCAGTATAAATTTTTTTTAAAGCTTCAAATGTATAGGAAGTTTGAAATTATCCTTTTCCAGCCTGGGCAAGATGGTGAAACCCCATCTCTACTAAACATACAAAAATTAGCCAGGTGCGGTGGCAGGCACCTGTAATCCCCGCTACTTGGGAGGCTGAGGCAGGAGAATTGCTTGAACCCAGGCGGCAGAGGTTGCAGTGAGCTGAGATCGTGCCACTGCACTCCAGCCTGGGGGACAGAGTGAGATTCCGTCCCAAAAAATAAATAAATAAATAAAAAGGAAATTATCTTTTGTTACTAATTCCTGACATCCATGGATGTTCTCTGTTAGGATTCTGGGGGGTTTCTTGTTTGCTTGTTATTTGAAGTCAATTCCCAGTCCTAACACTCTTCACTGAACCTCTTTTTGCTTTCTTTCTTTCTTTCTTTCTTTCTTTATGAATGAGATGGAGTCTTGCTCTGTCACCCAGGCTGGAGTGCAGTAGCGCGATCTCGGCTCACTGCAACTGCTGCCGCCTGGATTCAAGCAATTATCCTGCCTCAGCCTCCCGAGTAGCTGGGATTACAGGCACATGCTGCTGCGCCAGGCTAATTTTTGTATTTTTAGTAGAGACAGGGTTTCACCATGTTGGCCAGGCTGGTCTTGGGCTCCTGACCTCAAGTGATCTACCTGCCTTAGCCTCTCAAAGTGCTGGGATTGCAGGCATGACCCACTGCACCTGGCCTCTTTTGTTCTCTGGACAGGGTGCCAGCTCTGCTGCTTCTTAGCCTTCTCCCATGGTGTTTCTCTACGGGGAATACACACCCCTCCCACCTCAAAACCTTGTCCTGTATTATGCTGACTCCTGCCCTCCCCTCAGTTCTCAGCCTAGGTGCTTCTTGCACAGGGAGCCCTTGCCTTGCCTGGCTCCTGCTGTGGCTCACAGTGCCCTTCATGTTACCCTCTCAAGCACTACACTATATAATTATTTGTTTTCTCTGTGACTTCCAGAAGAGGCTGGGCCCCAGGAGAGCAGGCCCAAGTCGGTCTTAGGCACTGCCATTTCCCCAGTATTGGCATGGGCATGGAAAGAATGCTTCTTGAGTTAATGATTAAGGAGAGGCTCTCTTCCTGGGCATCCCACAGGTCCTCATCAGCATGGTGTACCTACCCGAGGCCATGCCAGCCTCCTTCCAGGCCATCTACACCCCCGTGGAGTCAGCAGGCACGGAAGCCCAGATCAAGCACCTGGCTCGGCTCATGGCCACACAGATGACAGCTGCCGGACTGGGACCAGGTGAGTGTGTCCTGGCCCTAACCTGGGCCAGGGATTGGCACTTGTGGCTTCTGGGTTCTCCTTACTGGAAGAGCAACTTCTCGTGGTGCAGTTGAAAATCATGTGGGAGCTAAGGTGTAGATAATGACAGGTACCACAGATAGATGGCTCAGTGTTTTTAAGTCCTGGGCTTTGGAATCCAACAGACCTGGGTTTGAAGTTTGAGTTGAATCAGATCTCATCCACTTAATATCTGTATGACTTTGGTCAAGTTAGTTAACCTCTCTGAGCTTCATAGTTTTACCCTGTTTTAACAGTACTATTAATGTGTGATACACATAAGTGAAATGCAGAACTCTTAATTATAGACCTTAGTGAATTTTCACAAAGTGAACACACCAGTGTAACCATCACCCAGATCAAGATACAGGTTAAATATCCCTTATCCAAAATGCTTGGGACCAGAAGTGTTTCAGATTTCAGACCTTTGGATTTGGAGTATTTGCATATACATAATGAGGTATCTTAGGGATGGGATCCAAGTCTAAACATGAAATTCATTTATGTTTAGCTCATAATGAGCTAAACATAGCTCAAAGGTAATTATATACGATATTTCTTTTTCTTTTTTTTTTTTTTTGAGACAAAGTCTCGCTCTGTTGCCCAGGCTGGAGTGCAGTGGTGCAATCTCGGCTTACTGCAACCTCTGCCTCCCAAGTTCAAATGATTCTCCTGCCTCAGCCTCCCGAGTAGCTGGGACTACAGGCACATGCCACCACGCCTGGCTAGCTTTTGTTTTGTTTTGTTTTTTGAGACACAGTCTTGCAGTGTCACCCAGGTTGGAGTGCAATAGCATGATCTCGGCTCACTGCAAGCTCCGCTTCTCGGGTTCACGCCATTCTCCTGCCTCAGCCTCCCGAGTAGCTGGGACTACAGGCGCCTGCCACCACGCCCGGCTAATTTTTTGTATTTTTAGTAGAGACGGGGGTTTCACCGTCTTAGCCAGGATGGTCTCCACCTCCTGATCTTGTGATCCACCCGCCTTGGCCTCCCAAAGTGCTGGGATTACAGGTGTGAGCCAGTGCACCCGGCCCTAGTTTTTTGTATTTTTAGTAGAGACGGGGTTTCACCGTGTTAGCAAGGATGGTCTCAATCTCCTGACCTTGTGATCCGCCCACCTTGGCTTCCCAAAGTGCTGGGATTACAGGCGTGAGCCACCGCACTGGACCTGTAATATTTCTTAATAATTTTGTTCATGAAATGATGTTTTGACTGCCATCTATCCACACGAGGTCAGGTGTGGAATTTTACCCTTGTGTTTTGTTGAGACTCAGAAAGTTTCGGATTTATAGACCATTGCCACTGTAGAAATTTCCTCCTTGTTCTTCCAGAGATGCCTCAGGGCATTGAACTCCAGAGAAAACCAGTGTTCTGATTTCTGCCTCCATAGACTAGTTTTACCTATTCTTTATTTTTTTATTTTTTATTTTTTGAGACAGATTCTCACTCTGTTGCCCAGGCTGGAGTGCAGTGCAATGGCACGATCTCAGCTCACTGCAAGCTCCACCTCCTGGGTTCACGCCATTCTCATGCCTCAGCCTCCTGAGTAGCTGGAATTACAGGTGCCCGGCACCATGCCCAGCTAATTTTATTGTATTTTTAGTAGAGACGGGGTTTCACCGTGTTAGCCAGGTTGGTCTTGATCTCCTGACCTTGTGATCTGTCCGTCTTGGCCTCCGAAAGTCCTGGGATTTCGGGTGTGAGCCACCGCGCCCGGCCCTAGTTTTACCTATTCTTGAACAAAACTAAATAGGATCACAAAGTCTGGTTTCTCTGGCTTGCCATATGGTTTTTTGTGTTTTTTTGTTTGTTTATTTTTATTTATTTATTTTTTTGAGATGGAGTTTTGCTCTTGTGGCCCAGGCTGGAGTGCAGCAGAACTTTCTTGGCTTACTGCAACCTCTGTCTCCTGGATTCAAGCGATTCTCCTGCATCAGCCTCCCGAGTAGTTGAGATTACAGGCACCCGCTGCCACCATTCCCAGCTAATTTTTTGTTTTTCACGGTTTTTTTTTTTTTTTGAGATGGAGTCCTACTCTGTCGCCCAGGCTGGAGTGCAATGGCATGATCTCGGCTCACCGCAACTTCTGCCTCCTGGGTTCAAGTGATTCTCCTGCCTTCCAAGTAGCTGGGATTATAGGCATGTGCCACCATGCCTGGCTGATTTTTTTTTTTTTTTTTTTTGTATTTTTAGTAGAGATGGGGTTTCACCATGTTGGCCAGGCTGGTCTCGAACTCCTGACCTCAGGTGATCCACTCTCCTCGGCCTGTTAAAGTGCTGGGATTACAGGTGTGAGCCACCACGCCCAGCCTGCTGTACATTTTTGAGATTCTTCATTGTTGTCGTGTGAGGTACTAGTTGGTTTTTTATTGCTCAGTAGTATTCTGTCATATGAATATACAATCATTTGTTTATCCACACCGGTATTGATGGACCTGTGGCTTCTTTCCAGTTTTTGGCCATTGGGAATAAAGCTGCTGTGAATATTTGTGTCCAACTCTCTTCATGTACACATGCTGTCATCTGTCTTGAGCATATACCAAGGAGTGGAACCGTTGGGTCATAGGGTGTGATCAGTGCTATTAAAAACTGCTACAGGCTGGGTGTGGTGGCTCACACCTGTAGTCCCAGCACTTTGGGAGGCTGAGGCGGGTGGATCACCTGAGGTCAGCAGTTCAAGACCAGCCTGGCCAATGTGGTGAAACCCCGTCTCTACTGAAAACAAAAAAATTAGCTGGGTGTGGCAGTGGGTGTCTATAATCCCAGCTACTCCAGAAGCTGAGGTGGGAAAATGGCTTGGACCCAGGAGGTGGAGGCTGCAGCGAGTCAGGATCAAGCCACTGCACTCCAGCCTTGGTGATGGAGTGAGACTCCGTCTCCAAAAAAAACAGCTGAGGGCTGGGCACAGTGGCTCATACCTGTAATCCCAGCACTTTGGAAGTCCAAGGCGGGAGGATCGCTTGAGCCCAGGAGTTCAAGACTAAGCTGGGCAACATATGGAGACCTCATCTCTACAAAAAAATACAAAAATTAGCTAGGTATGTTGGCATGCGCCTGTAGTCCCAGCTAGTTGGGAGGCTGAGAGGCTGAGGCAGGAGGATTGCTTGAGCCCAGGAGGTCAAGACTGCAGTGAGCCCTGATTGCACCACCGTACTCCAGCCTGGGTGACAGAGTGACACCCAGTCTAAAAAACAAAAACTGCTCATCATGTTTCCAAAGTGGCTGTAGCATTTGCTGCTCCCCCCAGCAATGAATGGCATTTCTAGTTTGAGCCTCAGTTGTATTGAAAAGTGGGGATAAAAAGAGTACCCACTCCAGGACAGTGTTGTGTGGATTTAAACGAGGTTTTGTGTGTACAGGGCTCAGAACAGAGCCAGGCACACAGGAGGTCCTCGGGTTGGAGCAGGTGGGTCTGACGCACTGGGTGTCTGTTTGCTGCCTCCCCCTCAGGTGTAGAGCAGACCAAACAGTGCAAGGAGGAGCCCAAGGAGGAGAAGGTGGTGAAGACAGAGAGCGTCCTGATCAAGCGGCGCCTGTCAGCCCAGGGCCAAGCCATCTCGGTGGTGGGTTCCCTGAGCTCCATGTCCCCCCTGGAGGAAGAGGCACCGCAGGCCAAGAGGAGGCCAGAGCCCATTATCCCTGTCACTCAGCCCCGGTGAGTCCTCTTCTGGGTGCTAGGGCAGGACAGGAGCCCTACCCTGAAGGTCTGGTTCTCAGCTCGTGTGCGTGTGCGTGTGCGTGTGCGTGTGTGTGTGTAACTGAGATGCAGACAGAAGGAAGTCTGGAATAGGTTCTCTCTGACTCCCGAGTCAGTGCCATAACCACTAAGCCTTTGCTGTTCTCTTTCCTGTAAAAAAAAAAAAAAAAAATCCTTTTTTATGTCTAAAATTAGGATAATGATAGTATCTTTCTCATAAGGATCAAAGAAGAATTAAATTAGTTCGTGGTAATGGTGATGGTTAGGTAACTAGATACTCGAGTGAAAAGTGATTGTGATTGTCAAGCATTTCGCGTGGTTCCTGTTGTGTAGTAAATGCTACTGGCTGTCATCATCATTGTCCCCATTATTACCTCCCTTACACACCACAAAATCCAGCCAGTCCCGGCCACCCAAGTCTTTTTATTATTTATTTATTTATTATTTTTTTTTGAGTCGGAGTCTCACTCTGTCTCCCAGGCTGGAGTGCAGTGGCGCGATCTCAGCTCACTGCAAGCTCCGCCTCCCGAGTTCATGCCATTCTCCTGCCTCAGCCTCCCGATTAGCTGGGACTACAGGCGCCCGCCACCACGCCTGGCTAATTTTTTGTATTTTTAGTAGAGACGGGGTTTCACCGTGTTAACCAGGATGGTCTCGATCTCCTGACCTCGTGATCCGCCTGCCTCAGCCTCCCAAAGTGTTGGGATTACAGGCGTGAGCCACCGTGCCCAGCCCCAAGTCTTACTAACACAGCTGAGCGGGATCTGCTACCCTCCGAGCTCTCTTCTGCTACCCTCACCCCTCCTCCACTCGTGCCCACAAGTCTGTTCCCACCTAAGGGCCTTTGCCTGGAGAGCTGGTCCCCCAGACATTTGTGTATCTTGTCCCTGCCTCCGTTCAGATCCCCACTCACAGAAGCCTTCCGTAAGACGCCCTCTGCAAAACCAAAATAACATCCTCTTCCTTCCTCTTACCCACCGCCACACCGTGCCTCAGAGACACAGAGGAACTGGAGAGGCAGCAGGGGGATGGGGGCCATCTCTGTTGCCTACCTAGTCCTTGAAGTTGGGAGAGTCACCAGACAGGCCTTTGCTGCAGTCTGGGTCACTGCATCTCTGTCACTGCTCTTCCACACAGGCTGGCAGGCGCTGGTGGGCGCAAGAAAATTTTCCGTCTCAGCGACGTGCTGAAGCCCCTTACCGATGCCCAGGTGGAAGCCATGAAGCTGGGCGCTGTGAAGCGGATCCTGCGGGCTGAGAAGGCTGTGGCCTGCAGCGGGGCAGCCCAGGTGTGCGCCTGCCACCCCCCACCCCATCCTTCCAGTCCCTCTACCCAAACGTCTACCTCACATCCAGCGAAGAGTCTGGCCCTGGCGTCAAACCTCCCTGGCTGCGGACCCCAGCTCTGCTGCCCACAGCCGCTTCTCCAGATCACTCCCATCCTCCATAAAACAGAGACAGTAGCAGCAGCTCCTCCTGGGTGACGAGGAGGAAATGTGCAATGAGCACAGGCACTCAGGTGCACAGGGCAGGTGCTGGGAGGCCTCTGCAAGTGAGGGCTGCTCTTGTGGTCTTGGTTCTTCACGGTTGTTAACGTTCTTACTGTTACTATTTAGCTTTAGAAATATACCTGGTTCTCTGTCCTGATTCTGCCACTTGCTGGCACTGTTACCTTCAAAGAATGGGGAAAAGTGACTTTTTCCCCATTCTGTGAAGTTAATTGTTGATTAGCCAGTAGTATAGGAACATACTCCCTGAGCTGAAAAATATTTCCGGGGAATCCAGATCCAGTACTCTTCCGTGGCCATCACCTGCACCCCATCCCTCTCTTCAAAGGTGACAAAGGCACAAATGAGGGGAATCTTTGAGGATCTTTTTCTGTGCACTTAAGTACATGGGTGCTGCTCCTAGAAACTCATTTTTATTCTGTGATGATCGATCCCCACCCTGGTACCCCCACCCCCCAACACACAAACGGGACCTTCCTAGGCATAAGGGTCCTCGGCTGGCCTTCCTCGCTTCACTCCTTGTCTGCTCTGAGAGTTCCTGCGTCTGGGTGGGAGAAGTCGCAGGGCACGATTGCGGAGTCCCTGGATTGCCCACCCTACACTGACATGCTGGCTCACCCTCCCACCAGGTCCGCATAAAGATCCTGGCCAGCCTGGTGACACAGTTCAACTCGGGCCTGAAGGCGGAGGTCCTGTCCTTCATCCTGGAGGATGTGCGGGCCCGCCTGGACCTGGCCTTCGCCTGGCTCTACCAGGAGTACAACGCCTACCTGGCCGCAGGTGCCTCGGGCTCCCTGGACAAGTATGAGGACTGCCTCATCCGCCTGTTGTCTGGCCTGCAGGAGAAACCAGACCAGAAGGATGGGTGAGGGGGCTGACCCTGCACCCTCCTGTCCCCGAGAGGCTTCCTCTCCTGGTGCTGCCCTCCCTTTCTGATTGCGACCACCTCCCTCTTCGTCACCCCCCGAGTCAGTCCTCCTCGCACCCATCCCAAGTCTCCTCTCCTCCTCCCCCTCTGGAGGCACGTTCAAGGTTGTAGTTTTGCATGTGGGCTCCAGGTCGCACTCCCTGAGCTGTTCCTCAGCTCTGCCACTTGCTCTGAGCTTGCTCTGCGTGGCTTTGTCACTCCCTCTCTCTGCCATTTTCCCATCTGTAAATAACAGTGCTCACCCATGGGCCTGGAGATAGACTTCTCTACACCCCATTCACTACCTGAGTTGGTTCTGTAGCTTCCTCCCTATCCGTGGCCTCCAGCTTACTCGTCTATCCTCCACACAGCAGCTCCAGGAACATTTTATTATATAAATCCTTTTATTACTTCCCCACAAGGAACCTTCCATGGTTCTCCATTGGTCTTGGGATAAAACACAGCCTCCTTACTGTGACCAGTGAGGCCTTATGTGACCCAATCTCTTTGGCTTTACCCCCCGAACATTAGCCACATTGGCCTTCTGTCTGTTCCTCGAACATGTCAAATTCAGGGCGCTGGTGCTTCCTGTTCTGTCCACCTGGAATGCTCTTCCCTCAACTCTATGTGTGGGTGGCTCCTTCTCATCCACCAGTGTACTCAACTGTAACTTCAAAGCGGCCTTTTGAGGCCACCATATCTAAAATACCCACACCCTTCTCCACCCGCCATCATTCCCTCCCGTTCTTATGTTCAGTGAATAAAGTTAGGAATCCCTGTTTGACAAACGGAAGAAATGAGTTTCAGAGAGGTGCAGTCTCTGCCCAGATCATCCAGCCGCCAGCTTTTGAACCCTGTTCTGTTCACCTCCAAAGCTTTATAAGCAGGGGCTTGAACAAGCAGCCCCTGAGGGAGGGCCTGCTGGCCCTGAGCTCCTACAATTCAGCAGGGCCCGGGAGCCAGGCGGCCTCTTCCTCTGCAGCCATGGCCCTCCCTCCATCTCTGGCAGGATCTTCACCAAGGTTGTGCTGGAGGCGCCACTCATCACAGAGAGTGCCCTGGAGGTGGTCCGCAAGTACTGCGAGGATGAGGTGAGGACAGGCCCTGGTCAGTGCAGCCCGGGGCAGGGGACAGGGCCCTGCCCTGAGGGGTCTGAAGGGCACACAGTCTAAACCTTGTGGCCGGGGGTTTTGTGAGGGACCGGGCCCTTTTGTCCAGGTACCTGATCAGAGGCAGGCAGGAAAGACAGAGCCCAGAGGCACACTCAGGTGGGCTGAGCTCGGGTCCCTTTCCTTTTGCTGCAGAGTCGCACCTATCTGGGCATGTCCACACTTCGAGACCTGATCTTCAAGCGCCCGTCCCGCCAGTTCCAGTACCTGCATGTCCTCCTCGACCTCAGCTCCCATGAGAAGGACAAGGTGATCCCCTCCTCCACTTCCTGGCTGCCCTCAGCCTGCAGCTTGCAGAGGCCGCCTCTATCCTGAGTAACCAGCCCACGTCTTCCACACTCCCTTGCAAGTTTCTCTGGGCCCATTCCCTTCTTTCAGTGGTTTTTTGGCTATTTCTGTCTGTTTTATTTTCATTTTCAGTGGCATCAAGCTGCCTAGAAACCAGGGTTACCGTGCCTGAGTCTGCCTGTAGTGTGTACACACACACACGTGCGCTTGCCCTCCTGGGAAGGGCAGTCCCACTCTCGCTCTTAGTCCACCCGTGGTGGCCAGCACAGGCTCCTCGTGCAGCCCAGTCCTGTGCCGGGGCCTGAGGGCATTGCCCAGCCCAGCAGGGGAGCCGGTGTGGCCTCAGCCAGCAGTGAGGACACAGCGTGCTCAGCAGCTGAGCAGAGCAGTGTGTGGCTGCCCTGGGGAGGGAGGGGCCGACCATCTGGTTGTGGGGTGGGCAGGGGAGGTGTTTCAAGGAAGGCTTCTTTCAAGGAGGGGACTTGTACGCTGAGACCTGGAAAATCAGTAGCTGGGTGTGCTCTAGACAGAGGGGACAGATGTGCACGTGCTGTGGTTGAGAGCGCCCTTGACCCATCGTTGCCTGCAGCCTTTTGCCCCAGCCCTTGCTGGGTAGCGTTTTCATTCATTCAGCAGACCTTCATCTCACACCCCTGGCCCTGGCCCTGGCCATGGCCATGTGCTGCTGCTGGGGTCAGAGTGCCCAGGACCAGACCCTTCCCTCACGGCTCCTGGCAGATGATATCTGAGTGAAACAGGGTTTAGCTGGCAGTAGACGTTCTAGGGAGACTTGGCAGGGAGTGGCACTTTTAAGGAACTGAGGAGCTCTCCCTCTGCTTGGAGCTTAGTGAGCAAGGCAAGAAGCAGTGATGGGCAGATGGGCTGGAGAGGCAGGCAGTGAGGTGGTGCTGCGGGTCCGGCCCTGGCCAGGATATCTGCCTCCTGCACTGGGGACCAGCCCTGGGCCCTGGTAACAGCTGGGCTGCCCCTTCTCAGCCTCGGGCTTGTTTTCACGTGAGTGTTGCCATGCTCGCAGGAATAGCTGTTCTTCCTCTTACCTCTTCCCTGACCCTGCCCTTCTCCATCTTCCTCCTCAGGTGCGCTCCCAGGCCCTGCTGTTCATCAAACGCATGTATGAGAAGGAGCAGCTGCGGGAGTATGTGGAGAAATTTGCCCTCAACTACCTGCAGCTCCTGGTGCACCCCAACCCACCGTCTGTGCTGTTTGGAGCTGACAAGGACACAGGTTGGGCACAGGTCATCAGATGCATACTGAGCGCTGCTGTGTCCGCGCTCTGGGCCCTGCGAGCAGAGGGGATGAGTGGGGAAGCCACTCGGACACGAGTGACGGGAATGGGCAGGACTGGGACAGCCACCTGGGGGCTGTGGGAGTCAGGGTAGGGGGCATCTGGCCCAGCCTGGGGGGTCAGGGAGAGAGATCTGGAGGACGAGGAGAGCCAGCCATCGGTGGGGCCTGAGGAAGGACCAGGCAGGGCCATCTCAGGCAGGTTCCCTCAGCAGAGCCCTGGATTACAGACAGGTAGACTCAGACCCCGAGTAAATGGACCATTAAATGGGAAGGCTTGGGCCATGATAGGGCAGCACGGGAGGCCTGGCCCAGGTGCCAGGAAGCATTCCCAGGAGATGCACAGCCTTCGGGAGGCCCAGAAGCTGAGCAGGTGCCGTGGACCAGGCAAAGAGGAGGGTGGATGCAAAGGCAAAGAGACCAGGGCCCTCGGGACTGTTAGAATGGGTATGTGACCAACATGGAGGGCAGCAGAGCAGCAGCGGGCCGGGGCCACCCCATACAACACCTGGCAGACAGTGTGAGGCAGGGAGCTGGGGGTTTATTCTGAGGCCACAGGGCAGGCATGGCTGGGATTGGAGCCAGAGAGGGACAGGGTCAGGATCGCACTTTAGAAAGATCCTTCTAGTTGCCTTGTGTGTTGGCAGTCACGGGAGGCTGGAGGTGGGAAGTCCTGGTCCCCGCCATTTCCCTGCCCTAGAACAATTAGCTCCCCAGCCCCGGCTCCCTTCTCTGCCCTCCCCGGCTCCACTGCCCAAGAAGGGACATTCCTGAGGGTCCGAGGGGGTTGGAGAAGAGTGTGGGCCAATCTGATGCCCGCTCCTGCCCTGTCAGAGGTGGCAGCACCCTGGACGGAGGAGACAGTGAAGCAGTGTCTGTACCTCTACCTGGCCCTCCTGCCTCAGAACCACAAGCTGATCCACGAACTGGCGGCCGTGTACACTGAAGCCATCGCCGACATCAAGCGGACGGTGCTGAGGGTCATTGAGCAGCCGGTGAGGCCCCTGAGCCCACCAGGCCCTGCCCACCCACGGGCAAGGCTGTGTCCCCAGCTCCAGCTCTTCCCCAACCTGCTCCACCTCAGAGTGTGCCAAGCCCGAAGGGTGGTCACCCCGGGCCGACCCAGGCTGTGTAGCTTGCAGGCGGTCCGCATGTCACTCCTGAGGAAACGTCAAGTGGCCCGGCAGTTAGGAGCCTGGAGCTGATAGACCTGGGTTCGCGTTCACTTCTCGCTTTCTCACTGCGACCTTGGGCCCGTCAGTAAAAATGGGGAAGACGTTCCAGTCCCTCCACGCTGATGCAAGGAGTCCATGAACTCAGGCACATAAACCTCTGTGTTACTGTCACTTTATGAGCTGGCCTTCCCAGTGTTGCTAACGGGACTCTTTAGCTGTCATTACATAAACATAAGTCCTTCCTGCCCCTCTCTCTAGAGGCACAGGTCTGCCCACATGAGAAGCAGCTCAGTGACAGACTAGCACCTGAGATTAGAAGGTCTGCTCTTCCAGTTTGCAGCAGGATTTGAAACCACTTTTTTTCTTTCTGCCCCTGACATTTTTGGATTACAGAACATTTTCGTGATAAACGGGAGAGAGAAGTGTATGTTAATCCCCACCTATCTGCCATTTGGGTTCAGTGGGGCCCTTACCTGGAAAATGGGGATAACAGGCTTGTAGTTGGGAGGAAACAGATTTTTAGCCCCATTCTCAAGGTGGTCCAGCTGTGGAAAAGTGATCTCACTTTGCAGAAAAGTTATCTGGCAGGGCTGTGAGCTTCTCGAGGGCAGAGACAGTCGGTTTTAGTCAGGAGCGTAAACGTTACTGGGCAGAGGTGGAGCCTGGCCCTGGCTCCTGTTTGGCATTCACCGCAGAGCAGGCTCAGGAAGCAGCAGCAGGTGGAGCCTGGTCTGGGCTCGCAGCCAAGCCAGCTGCGCCTGAGAAACCGAGTCACGAAGCAGGTGGGTGGAGCCAGAAACATCTTCACCAGTGAACGAAGCACAGGGTGGGCATTCGAGGTCAGGTCAAGTCTGAGCCACAGAGGAGTGGCCCGCAGGAGGACAGCCCAGCCAGGGCTGGGAGCTGGAGCAGGCCCATGTCTGGAGGAGCTGCAGGGAGATGCCAAGGTTCTTCTGACTCTCCTGCCCTTCCCCACCTTTCCCCCGCCCTCCAAACCCTGTCACCTCAGTCTCACCCTGGGCGCCAGCATGCCCCGCAAGCCACCCTGCCGGGCAACACCTGACCCTCCCCTAAGCTCTCACCCTGGGTCTGGTCATCCCTGTCTCTGCCTCTAGATCCGAGGAATGGGCATGAACTCCCCGGAGCTGCTCCTGCTGGTGGAAAATTGTCCCAAGGGAGCAGAGACACTGGTCACGAGATGTCTGCACAGCCTCACAGACAAAGGTGACCCTGGAGACCCCCACCTTTCATGGCTTTCCTCCCTCTCCTTAGCCTTCCCCGGGCCCTGGGGATCTGAGCTGCTGGGTCCCCAGATGGTCGTACCTCTTGCGGGTCTGTGCCTGTCCTAGGGCCTCAGTTTCTCCATTTGGAACAGTGTGGTGCTAATTGCACGTGAGCAGCCAAGGGTGAAGTTGCCATCCCTTCCTGCACACCTGCCTGCTTCTCTTTCCTGGGTGCCCACCCTTTCCCACGCTCCCCTCCGCCTCCAACTTGGTGCCTCCTGCTGCTTCCATGCAGTCCCACCCTCCCCAGAGCTGGTGAAGCGGGTCCGGGATCTCTACCACAAGCGACTGCCAGACGTCCGCTTCCTCATCCCGGTGCTCAATGGGCTGGAGAAGGTATGGAGCTGGAGGCCTGTTTGTCCCTGCTACCTGGGACATGTGGGACTGGGAGGGGCAGGGCAGCACGTTGCTTCAGCAGCAGTTGAGCCAGAGGCACATAGCAGAGGGCAGAAGGCACCTTGCCTGTGGTCAGAAGTCATGGAAGCCGCCGACACCTGGGTACCCTGGAAATGCGGAGCAGCTCCTGGCCTCATTTGCATGGGCACCCGGGTGCCAATGGCTCTGCTGCTTCCTCCTCTACCTCAAGCAGGTCCCTTCCCCTCTTTGAGACTCGCTTTTCTCCTCTGTCAGACAAGGATCAGGATGCCTCTTGGGGGCACACACATGTGACATGCAGGGGGCTCAGATGGGGTGAGAGCTGGGGAGAAAGCTCCGCCCTGAGGGTGTGGTGAGGGTAGGAGGGGCTCAGTGAGCCAGAGCTTGCCCTCAGCTCCCCAGGGCGAGCAGAAGGGGTGGCTTGTCTAGAAGGGAAATGAGGGTGTATGTGACTCAACTCCCACCCCCACCACCTTCTCCCTGTAGAAAGAGGTGATCCAGGCCCTGCCTAAACTCATCAAACTCAACCCCATCGTGGTGAAGGAAGTCTTCAACCGCCTGCTGGGCACCCAGCATGGTAGGTGATGCAGCCTCATCCCCACCAAGAGGCCCACCCACCCCAGGTGCTGGGGCAGAAGGCAAGGTGCAGGCACCCCCCTCAGGGAGAGAGGGCACATCCTGCTCCCTGGGACACCAGCTGTACTGGACATCTCCATGTGTCCCGGAGCTCCCAGGCCACCCTCTGGGATATTTTTATGATGGTTTCATTCACAGCAGGGGCAAGACCGTGGAGCTAGGGGCGGAGGCTCCAGCAGCATCTTCCCTTTTAGGATCTGGCCACACACCAGCCCCTCTCAGGCCCGGCTCCAGTCTGGCCCCTCCTCAGATCTTGCCCGAATCCCTCAAGCTGTGGGCCAGGGGCATTTCGTTTTGACACAGTCAAAAAGAAACAAAACTTGAGGCGAGGCGGGCGGATCACAAGGTCAGGAGATCGAGACCATCCTGGCTAACACAGTGAAACCCCGTCTCTACTAAAAATACAAAAAATTAGCCAGGCGTGGTGGCGGGCGCCTGTAGTCCCAGCTACTCGGGAGGCTGAGGCAGGAGAATGGCATGAACCCGGGAGGCGGAGCTTGCAGTGAGCGGAGATCGTGCCAGTGCACTCCAGCCTGGATGACAGAGTGAGACTCCATCTCAAAAAAAAAAAAAAAAAAAAAGAAGCAAAACTTTCAACTTAGAAAAACTAGCAAGGGATTGTTCACCCTTACCCCAGTGGTTGGTGCTAGAGAAAAAATGGAGGATGTCTGTTCCACGCAGACCCTGGTGGTTTAAAACACACATATAGATGGCTCTGGGACCATCAAAATAGCAGCAGCAAAGAGCCACTCCACCAGCCTCCCCTCCACTCCCCCAGGCCCCACACAGCAGAAGGCTCCAGCCACTTTTTGGAAGCCTGTAGCCTGGCTCCATCTTGCCCTGTGCCACAAATGCCCATGACCCCCTGTGCCGCGGTGGAGTCTGTGTTGGGGACCACACGAGGAGGTGGTCCTACCCTGCCCTCGGGGGTGCACAGCCCAGGGGCAGAGAGACCCAGCCGTGCCACACGCTACCCAGGGTGGGAGCCCAGGATGGGGAGGAGCACACAGTGGCAACCTCACGCTGCCTGAGGGCTGCTGCTGCCTTCGGTGTCCCCTTTTTATGTTGTCAGTCGCTTCCCCTGTTCCAGCCCTGAAAGCAGAGGGCACCTCATCTTTGCTCGCAGCTCCCCCGATCTGGGGAACTCAGACCCATCTCTTCACTTATGCGTCCGCACTGTCTTCCCCCACCCTTCCTCCCGCCTGCTGCAGGTGAGGGAAACTCAGCCTTGTCCCCGCTGAACCCTGGAGAGCTCCTGATCGCATTACACAACATTGACTCCGTGAAGTGCGACATGAAATCCATCATCAAAGGTGAGGCGCTTCCCCCCCACTCCAGTGGCCTGGCCCCTGCGACGCCAGGGCAGGACCTCAGTCACCCACATGCCCCCACTGGAATCTGCCAAGTCAAAGACTGTCACTCACAGCCCCACCTCAGAGCTCTGGAGAGCCACCTCCCTCCCTCCCTCCTTTTCTTGCCTCCTCTTCCCTCCCTCCCTCCCTCCCTCCTCCTTCCTTCCTCCCAGGTTTTACCCTTTACAACCCACCTTTTTCTGCCTCTGATGTACCTGCTGTGCCCTGGCACAGAGTGGGCCTAAAGCAGTTGGGTAGCCCCACCCCTAGCCCCGAGGAACAGAAGGAAGCAGGGCACACCGTGAGTGGTAGAGGCGCAGCAGCAGGGCAGACCCAGGGCTCCAGGGCACTTGTGGGCCAGGGTAGGTGAGGCAGGAGAGCTTGCCTGCAGGGCGGCAGGGTTGGTGACGAACTGGCCGCCTCACGATGGCCCCCACTCACTGAGCACTCTGCGCTGGGCTCTCCCTGAACGCCTACAGGCCTGAGCCTGCTGGTCCGCCACTTGGTGGGTATGTTCACTTCCATTGTGTAGACAGGAAATGGAGGCTCCAGAGAGGTTAGGTGACTTACTCAGGGCCAAGCAGAAGCTAAGTGGTGTGGTAGAAGAAACAGAATCTGAAGTGAAACGGACCTGGGTGGGAATCCCAGCTCTGCCGGTTCCGCGTCTAAGGACCACCTCCCCTGAGAGCGCCCACCCCTCCATCCCTCCTGAGCAAGGTTTCTGGGCCAGGAGCCATCCTGTCCCACGGAGCTGGACACCCTCACTGTCGCCCTCTATACTCAGAAGACTGCTGTCCTTTGATTTCTCTTCTCACCCTCAGACGGGAAGGGGCTTCCTCTCTGTGCTGCTTACTTTCGTGTTCTAGCTTGAAACAGCTTTTCAGTGACTTACTTCCTAACCTTCCTCTGCAAGTTCTCTGAGAAACGTTTAAGGTCAAGAGAGCAGCTTATGGAAATGTCAAACCCACATTATAAAACCCAGGAGGCACCAAGGCCTCTCGTGGGAGACCAGCAGGGAGGAAAGATCTCCAGGCTCATAGGCCAGGGCTGTGGTCTTCACATTCCCCGACCCCTTTGGTGATCTGAGGAAAGTTCTAGCCCATTCCCAGGACAGTATGCTCATATTATTTGCATACAGTTTGAGGGGGTTCACACATACACACACACACCCCAAGGCCATTTGTGGACCCAGATTAGAAGCCCTGAGGATCCTAGGTCCAGAAGAAAGGGCCTTGTCGGAGGCCACACAGGCCACCAGGAGCCAGGCCCCTGAAGATCCTTGGCCCAGGAGAAAGGGCCTTGCCAGAGGCCACACAGGCCACCAGGAGTGAGGCCCCCAGAGGGGTCAGCAGGGCCTACCCTACACCACCCCACCCTTCAACACGCCCAGGCGTGCACGCTGCAGGCCAGACAACCCTCCAGCTGGTGTCCCCAGCACCCAACCCAAGTTTTTCTCCTGCTCAGGCACCAGCAGTCTTCCTGGTTGCACTCTAAGCTCCAGATCACAAAGTCGAGTCCTTTTGTTGTGCACTGTTCACTCCCCCGTAGACCACCCTGTTCCTCTGGGGAGCTTGTCTATAACTAGACCCACTCCTGGTAGTCCAGCATTAAGAAAAGTCAGCACCTCTGCTCACCCATATCCATCCTGGGTAGTGCTGGGGACACAGGAAAGACAGCCCTAGCCCTGTCCTTCCAGGGCTTACAGTCCAGGGAGAGACAAGAAGTCCCTGGCCAGTAACAACTGAGAGGGGTGGCCTGGGACTGGGCAGCCCAGAGGGGCCATGTAACCCAGCCTGGGTGTGGGACATCAGGGAAGACTTCCCGAAAAAGGGGACACTCAGGCTGAGACCAAGGAAGGATGAGTAGGCGGCAGCAGCAGGAGACTGCAGGGACCGAGGGAGGTGCTTGCTGGCTGGTTCTGGACCTAGGGGACGAAGGAGGGGGCCTGGTCAAGGGAGGAGGTCAGGCTGTCGCCATTGGGAAAGGTGCCCCTGGGGCCTGCCCACACAGGAGTCTCGCAGGCCGAGGTGGGAATTTGACCTTGTTTCTTGAGGGTCTCTGGGAGGCAAGTCAGGTCTGAGCTTTCCAAAACACCCTTCAGGCTGCTATATGGAGAATGGATCGGAGGCTCGGGGGAGGCCCAGGTGGGGGGCTGGGGCAAAGCCGACAGGGAAGGAAGAGGGGAGGGGTGATTCTGGAGCCTTGGGGTGGCTGAGCAGGCAGGACCAGTGACCACCTGGCCCTGACGAGGAGCAGGGGCTTCCTCGGTTTCTGGCAGGTCCTCACCTCCACTGTCTGCTCTGCCCATTCAGCCTCCTCCCCACCTGTCTACGCCCCCCCCCTTAGAGACCCCACCCCTGTTCTCCATTAGCCTCTCAAGGATTTGGGGGGTTGGGGTGCTCTTCTGGCTCAATAAAGACTTCCTGGTTGACACTCACATGGCAAGTGGTGTTTGGGGAAGGGCTTCAAAGGCAGCTCCTGGGGCCTCCCATTAGCACTGTGGATTGGGGCATGGCCACCCACTCGGGGAACAGACCCCAGGGCCTGCCTTCATGGGTGCTTGTGCTGTGCCAACCCTCTGGGTCCTACTGGTACTGGCACTGGGTGTTGAGTCGGGGGGTCATCGTATGCCCCGGCCCCAGCCTTCTCTTGTCCCTCCCTTCGCTATTACTCTGATTGTGCCCATATGCCCAACACAGCCCTTAGCCTGGCACCCCCCATCTTCCCAGCACCAGCGCAAGCCCTGTATCCTTGTCAGGACTGGGTGGGCAGTCCCTTGGCCCTCTGACAAGCTGGTCTGTGGACTGCTGTTCTCTCTGGAGGGGCTGGTAGAAACCAATAGCTGCCTTCCCTCCCTAGCAGGGGTGGGGGGCCCTGCCACTCCCCCAGGGCTTGGCAACACATCTTTCCCAAGGTCGTCCTTAAAGTGAGGGGCCACGGGTTCCCTGTTCCACCCATTTTGGGGCTTCCTGGAGTTGGATGTCTTCTCCCTTGAACCAAGCCTGCAGGTTTTCCAAGGGCGGGGCTTGCAGTGTGCCTTCTGCTGGGTCGGGGGAGTCTCCTCTCTCCCGCAGGGGCTTTAGAAGTCAGGGCTTTAGAAGTCTTCCCCTCACATGGGCAGACAGCAGAGGCCGGGACTCCCACCTCCCAGGGGGCAGCTGGGCAGAGAGGACAGGCCCACTCTCCGCCTCCTCGCAGCCACCAACCTGTGCTTTGCGGAGCGGAACGTGTACACGTCAGAGGTGCTGGCCGTGGTGATGCAGCAGCTGATGGAGCAGAGCCCCCTGCCCATGCTGCTCATGAGGACCGTCATCCAGTCCCTGACCATGTACCCCCGCCTGGGGGGCTTCGTCATGAACATCCTGTCCCGCCTCATCATGAAGCAGGTAACCCATCCCCGGCCACCCCGCCTCCAGGCTGCAGACAGCAGCTTCTAGCCTGCTTGCCCTCCCCTTCCCCCGTCTGACCCCGGAGGGAGCCCGGTGGAGGACAGCAGGCTCTGCTCTGCCTCCTGCCAAGAAAATAGCAGTGCTCCAGGGTGTATGACTGGGCCAGCTCCCAGGTGATGAGGGAGGGCAGCTGGGTGGTAGGAGCTGTGGTAACCCTCAAGGGGTGTGCACCCGGGAGAGGCATGGCTGCTCCTCACCCTCCACCGCTGTGTGCCCGGCCAGGATGCATCCCAGAGCTGAAAAATGGCCCAGTTTTTTAAGAGGTGCTAGAAATTTGGGCTTTAGAAATACCACGATAAGGCCAGGTGTGATGGTTCACACCTGTAATGCCAACTCTTTGGGAGGCCGAGACAGGAGGACTGCTTGAGCCCAGGAGTTTGGGGCTGCAGTGAGGAAGAAACGCGCCACTCACTGCACTCTAGCCTGGGCGGCAGAGTAAGACCATCTCTCAAAAAAAAAAAAAAAAAAAAAAAAAAAAGAGAACAAAAAAACCAAACCCCGCAGGACTAATGTCGCCCCCTGGAGGCTGCGGTGAGAATGTACATGTGACCCAGGACAGGTCCCGGCACCGGCACGGACCTCCGCTGTTTAGCAGGGGTAATTTCGCCCCCTGGAGGCTGCCGTGAGAATGTCATGAGAGGTGCTCCCGCAGCACTTAGCCTGGGCCTGGCCCAGGGGGAGCTCTGGTAAAAGGCGGCTGAGTTTTCTTCCACCCCCTTCCCAAGTTGCCCTCGTGGTCCAGCCGCCTGGATCGGGAAGACAAAGGCCTCTGGAGGGAGGTCGGGGCTGCTTGTTGCCCATCCAGAGGAATCTTGGATGGTGGGATTTGGGCATGGTCTTGGCAAGGTCTTTCTCCCAGTGTCAAGGCTCGGGGGGATGCCTGTGTGCCTCTCCCGACGGCTCCCTCCCTCCCTGGTTCAGGTGTGGAAGTACCCCAAGGTGTGGGAGGGCTTCATCAAGTGCTGCCAGCGCACAAAGCCCCAGAGCTTCCAGGTCATCCTGCAGCTGCCGCCCCAGCAGCTGGGAGCCGTCTTTGACAAGTGCCCAGAGCTCCGGGAGCCCCTGCTGGCCCATGTCCGCTCCTTCACCCCCCACCAGGTACCCCTTCCCCCCACCAGGTACCCTTTCCCCCCACCCAGGGTGTGCGGTGGGCGGCCCCCTGGGTCCCTCTGGTTGGTGGGGACTGGATGGAGGCGGACACAAGAAGGCCCTGCACTGCTGGGAGTTCTGGAGGGTTAGGGCCCCCGGACCTGAGGTGTGCAAATGGGGTCTCTGTGCCAGAGCTGCCCCCAGCGCCCCCTTCCTGCTCTCCACCCAGCAAGCTCACATCCCTAACTCCATCATGACCATCTTGGAGGCCAGCGGCAAGCAGGAGCCAGAGGCCAAGGAGGCGCCTGCGGGGCCCTTGGAGGAGGTGAGGGCCCTGCAGCCCACCCATCTGGATCCCCAGACTCCCACCCCCTACCCCAAGCCAGCAAGGCTCACCATGGCCTCCTCCTGACCCCGAGAGACTCAGGCCACCCCTGCCTCTGGGCCACCCGTCTCCCAGGGGATGCTCCTGCTGGGAGTTGGGGGTCTGGGGGACAACTGCCCCTTCCTCCCCATGCTCTTGGTGAAGAACTCAAAGACCACCTCAGGGTGGTTCCTTCTCTTTCCGGCCGTCCTCTGAGCCACCCACCTCTGAGCTTCTGTGTGGCCCTCCCTATCCCCAGGATGATCTGGAGCCCCTGACCTTGGCCCCGGCCCCAGCACCCCGGCCCCCTCAGGACCTCATCGGCCTGCGACTGGCCCAGGAGAAGGCCTTAAAGCGGCAGCTGGAGGAGGAACAGAAGCTGAAGCCGGGAGGAGTGGGAGCCCCCTCCTCTTCCTCCCCCTCTCCCTCTCCGTCGGCCCGGCCAGGCCCGCCCCCGTCTGAGGAAGCCATGGATTTCCGGGAGGAGGGGCCTGAGTGCGAGACCCCGGGCATCTTCATCAGCATGGATGACGACTCGGGGCTGACCGAGGCCGCGCTGTTGGACTCTAGTCTCGAGGGCCCCCTACCCAAGGTAGGGAGAGCAGCCTCCGCTGCGAAGGAAGAAGCCGGATCTGGGCCGGGGTGAAGGTGGGGGAGGAGGGGCCATCAGGGGGCAGGGCCTGAAGGGGAGCGTGGAGGTGACCGCGCCCTCCACCCGGCTGCCCTTTCCTTCCCCGGTCACCAGGAGACGGCAGCGGGCGGGCTGACCTTGAAGGAGGAGCGGAGCCCCCAGACCCTCGCACCTGTTGGAGAAGATGCTATGAAGACTCCCAGCCCGGCTGCCGAGGACGCCAGGGAACCCGAGGCCAAGGGGAACAGCTGACGGGGCTCGAGGGGGAAAGGGGGTGGGACAGGGACTCGGGGCTGGGGGACGGGGCGGGGCTTGACCTGCGGGTGCTTTGCCTTAAAAAGAAATAAAAGATGTGAACTTGGGCAAGTTACTGAAAAGAAAAAAAAAAAGGGATGGCGGGCCTGGGGCGCGGGTGCCGTCTCGAGTCTGGCGCGACGTCCACCGTGGGGCTGCGCGGGATCGGGAGTGCGCGCCCAGAGCCTGCGCGGAACCCACCCTGGCCCGCTCCCCGCGCCCTCCACGGGTAACGGCCCCCTCTCTCGGTGCTCAGAAACCGGCGGTGTCGACAGGTGGCTCTCGCTTGGCCTCCTTGTCTGCAAGCCTTTCTCCTAGAGATCTGTGCCTCCTGGCGAACCATGGGAGACCTGCCGCCCTACCCTGAGCGCCCTGCCCAGCAGCCTCCGGGCCGGAGGACTTCTCAGGCCTCCCAGAGGCGGCACAGTCGGGACCAAGCTCAGGCCCTGGCAGCGGACCCCGAGGAGAGGCAGCAGATACCTCCAGACGCCCAGCGAAACGCCCCTGGTTGGTCACAGAGGGGCAGCCTGTCCCAACAGGAGAACTTGCTGATGCCCCAGGTCTTCCAGGCTGAGGAAGCCCGGCTGGGTGGCATGGAGTACCCATCTGTGAACACGGGCTTTCCCTCAGAGTTCCAGCCTCAGCCTTACTCTGATGAAAGCAGGATGCAGGTCGCCGAGCTCACCACCAGCCTAATGCTGCAGCGGCTCCAGCAGGGCCAAAGCAGCCTGTTCCAGCAACTGGACCCCACCTTCCAGGAGCCCCCAGTCAACCCCTTGGGCCAGTTCAACCTCTACCAGACAGACCAGTTCTCTGAAGGTGCCCAGCACGGGCCTTACATAAGGGATGACCCTGCCCTTCAGTTCTTGCCCTCTGAGCTGGGCTTCCCACACTACAGTGCCCAGGTGCCTGAGCCCGAGCCTCTGGAGCTGGCCGTGCAGAACGCCAAGGCCTACCTGCTGCAGACCAGCATCAATTGCGACCTCAGCCTGTGAGCAGGGGCTAGGAGTGGGGCGGGTGGGGGACCCAGGCAGGGAGGGGCCCCACCCGAAGTGCCTGCCTCAGTCAGTCAGACAAGGGATCATCCCTCATGGAAAACCAGTGACTCTAATTCAGCTGAGTCGGAATCAATGCCAACAACAGCTAGCATTCACTTCCCAGACATGTGCTGGCACTGCACACACTCACCTAATTCTCACCGGAGATGAGCACATCAGCTCATCCTACTTTACAGAGGAGGAGACCGAGACACAGAGAAGTTGGGTCGCTTACCCAAAACTACACAGCTAGGATATGGCAGAGTCAGGATTCCAGAACACGTGATTTGGCTCCCCAAGCCCTCTTGCTTTTTTTTTCCCCCAGACATAGTCTCACCCTGTCACCCAGGCTGGAGCACAGTGGCGTGGTCTTGGCTTAGGGCAACCTCTCCTTCCCAAGTTCAAGTGATTCTTCTGCTTCAGCCTCCCGAGTAGTTGGGGTTACAGGCGCGCTCCACTTCACCCAGCTAATTTTTGTATTTTTAGTAGAGGCAAGATTTCACCATGTTGCCCAGGCTAGTCTCAAACTCGACCTCAAGTGATCCGCCCATCTCAGCCTCCCAAAGTGCTAGGATTGCAGGCATGAACCACCGTGCCCAGCCCTCCTGAGACCCTCTTATCCTGCAACTAAACCTCCCTGCCTGAGGAAGATACTTGCCAAAGCCACTTAGCTACAGTCACAAAACACTGCTCTCAGCCTCCATTAGATACCCAGGATGCTCTCATTCTAGGAGAGTGGACAAGAAACAGAAAAAGTGATAAACTGAAGCTAAGGACTCAGGTGAAAAATAAGGGAGGCTAAGAGGGCTAGGGAACACATGAAATAGTGGGGGTCCAACCAGGTGCGGTGGCTCACGCCTGTTATCCCAGCACTTGAGGAGGCCAAGACGGGCGGATCACCTGAGGTCAGGAGTTCGAGACCAGCCTTGCCAACATGGCGAAACCCTGTCTCTACTAAAAAATACAAAAATTATCAGGGCATGGTAGCATGGGCCTGTAATCCCAGCTCCTCGGGAGGTTGAGGCAGGAGAATCACTTGAACCCGGGCGGCAGAGGTTGCAGTGAGCCGAGATCGTGCCACTGCACTCCAGCCTGGGCAACAGAGCGAGACTCCATCTCAAAAAAATAAATTGTGTGGGTCAGTGAAGGCCTGTCCAAGGAGGTGACATTTGATTAGGGCCCTGAAGGAGTCGAGGGAGAGCATCTTGCAGATGACCGGAGGAAGAGTGAGCCAGGCAGAGCACACTGCAAATGCAAAGGCTCTGAGGCTTGCTGTTTTTGAGGAGCAGTAAGGAGGGGCTGGTGTGTCTGGAACCAAGGGAGGAAGAGGGAGAGCGGGAGAAATGAGGTTGATGAAGTAATGGTTCTTATTAAAGCACAAAGCTGGCCGTGTCCCTCCAATGCTCAGAACCTGCTATGGCTCCCCATTGCCCACAGGGGGAAGCTCAGACTCCTCACCACAACCTTCAAGGCTCCTGGCCTGAGACATATAAGGCCTTGCTCATGCCTGTGATCCCAGCACTTTGGGAGGCTGAGGCAGACAGATAACTCGAAGTCAGGAGTTCAAGACCAGCCTGGCCAACATGGCAAAACCCTGTCTCTACTAAAAATACAAAAAGTTAGCCAGGCGTGGTGGCACACGCCTGTGATCTCAGCTACTCGGGAGGCTGAGGCAGGAGAATCACTTGAACCGGGAGGCAGAGGCTGCAGTGAGCCAAGATCGTGCCAGTGCACTCCAGCCTGAGCAACAGAGCGAGACTCTGTCTCAAACAAACCAACAAACAAAAGGCCTTACGTGGTTCAGCCCCTGGCCGCTGACCAAACTTGATTTCTAGTCACTACCTGCTCCTTCCTCGGATCCTAGAATCTAGTCAGAATTAACCTCTGGCTATTCCCCAAGTGCCAGCTCTTCAGAGCTTCAGGCTCTCTTCCTGAGAAGCCCTAGCCAAAGTCTCACCTCTTCTTACCCTTCCCAACTTCCATGATGGCCCAACACCACACCCAAGACTGCCAACAAAACAGCTTCCGCAAAGCAAAAGGTGACACATACATGCTTGGAAATCAGACCAACTTGGTTTCAAAGGCTGACTGTGGCCGGGCCTGGTGGCTCACGCCTGTAATCCCAGCAGTTGGGGAGGCTGAGGCAGGCAGATCACTTGAGTCCAGGAGTTTGAGACCAGCCTGGGCAACATGGCAAAACCCCATCTCTACAAAAAGTACAAAAATTAGCCAGGCATGTTGGCACACGTGTAATCCCAGCTCTGGGGAGTCTGAGGTGGGAGAATCACTTGAACCCGGGAACCAGAGGTTGCAGTGAGCCAAGACCGAGCCACTGCACTCCAGCCTGAGTGACAAAGTGAGACCCTGTCTCAAAAAAAAAATACAAAAAATACAAATGTTGGCCAGGCACGGTGGTTCACACCTGTTAACCCAGCACTTTAGGAGGCCAAGACGGGCGGATCACCTGAGGTCAGGAGTTCGAGACCAGCCTGGCCAACATAGTGAAACCCCGTCTCTACTAAAAATACAAAAATTAGCCGGGGATGGTGGTGTGCACCTGTAGTCCCAGCTACTCAGGAGGCCGAGGCAGGAGAATCACTTGAACCCAGGAACCCAGGAGGCAGAGGTTGTGGTGAGCCGAAATCACACCACTGCACTCCAGCCTGGGCAACAAAGCAAAACTCTGTCTCTAATAATAATAATAATAATAATAATAATAATAATAATAATAATAATACAAATGTTGGCCAGGTGCGGTGGCTCACGCCTGTAATCCCAACACTTTGGGAGGCGGAAGAAGGTGGATCACCTGAGGTCAGGAGTTTGAGACCAGCCTGGCCACCATGGCGAAACCCTCTACAAAAAATACAAAAAAATTAGCGGGACATGGTGGTGCATGCCTGTAATCCCAGCTACTTGGGAGGCTGAGGCAGGAAAATCGCTTGAACCCAGGAGACAGAGACTGCAGCGAGCTGAGGTCGTGCCACTGCACTCCAGCCTGGGCAACACAGCGAGACCTCCTCTGAAAAATAAATTAAAAAAATAAAATTGCAAACCTTCTCCCATCCCTGGCACCCCCAGGCCCCATTCAGTACTATATGTGTCACCCTAAAAATTACCACCCCATGCCTGACACACTGTATATATTTTGCTCGTTTGATTAGTGTCTGTTTCCACCATAAGAATGTCGGCAAGGCGCGGTGGCTCACGCCTGTAATCCCAGCACTTTGGGAGGCTGAGGCGGGCAGATCACGAGGTCAGGAGTTCGAGACCAGCCTGACCAACATGGTGAAACCCTGTCTCTACTAAAAATCCAAAAAGTAACCAGGCGTGGTGGCGGGCGCCTATAATCCCAGCTACTCGGGAGGCTGAGGCAGGAGAATTATTTGAACCCGGGAGGCAGAGGTTGCAGTGAGCCGAGATGAACCACTGCATTCCAGCCTGAGCAACAGAGCAAGACTCCATCTCAAAAACTAAATAAATAAAAATAAATAAATAAATGTCAGCTACACCTGGGCAGGGACCTTTTCAGTTCCCTACTGTGTCCCCAGCACCAGGCACAGGGCCAGGCACATGGGAGCCAGCTCAGTGAGCTGAGTGAGTGAGGTCCCTCTCCTCCCACTCCTCCTGCGGGAGGCAGGTACGAGCACCTGGTGAATCTGCTGACCAAGATCCTGAACCAGCGGCCTGAGGACCCCTTGTCTGTCCTGGAGTCTCTGAACCGCACCACGCAGTGGGAGTGGTTCCACCCCAAGCTGGACACGCTGCGGGACGACCCCGAGATGCAGCCCACCTACAAGATGGCGGAGAAACAGAAGGCGCTGTTCACCCGGAGTGGAGGCGGCACTGAAGGCGAACAGGAGATGGAGGAGGAGGTGGTGAGTGAGCCAGTCAGGAGAGGTGGGCATCAGGGTCAGTGGGGGCCCAAGCATACTTAGGGCACAGCCTGTGCCAAGGCCTGGAGGCGAAAGACAGCATTGCACAATCCAGTCACAAAACAACTTCAGTCTTGGCAGGATGGGGTGGCTTACATCTGTAACCTCAGCACTTTGGGAGGCCGAGGTGGGCAGATCACGAGGTCAGGAGATCAAGACCATCTTTGCTAACATGATGAAACCCCGTCTCTACTAAAAATATAAGAAATTAGCCAAGCGTGGCAGCAGGCACATGCAGTCCCAGCTACTCCGGAGGCTGAGGCAGGAGAATGGCATGAACCCAGGAGGCGGAGCTTGGCAGTGAGCCGAGATCACACCACTGCACTCCAGCCTGGGCAACAGAGCGAGACTCTGTCTCAAAAAAATAAATAAATAAAAATAAATAAATAAATAAAAATAATTGAGATGGGGGTCTTGCTATGTTGGCCGGGTTGGTCTTGAACTCTTGGCCTCAAGCCATCCTCCTGCCTCGGCCTCCCAAAGTATTAGGATTACAGGCGTGAGCCACCACTCCCAGCCAAGAGCTGGAGTTCTTAATGTGGGGTCTGTGGAAGGGCAAAACTGGGGGCTTTTGTGGCCTGTACATGCTTCTAGGAAATGACTCATAAAAAATGCATGATTCAGCATTTTGTGTTTCTTTTTCTGTCAAGGCAAGGCTCTTATTTCTCTCGTTTTCTGTCTTCCAGACGGCTAGCCAGGACCTTGAATGGCATTTATGCAATAAACCATTCCTTCCTGCCCCCCCACTGCTTTGAAATGCCACCTGCACCATCTGCTCCCCACACAGGGTCCTGCAGGAGTCTCTGCTCCCGGCCTTTGCTCTGTGGATGGCTTCCTGCTCTAGGACTCTCCTGTTTACTGCTGACAGCAGCTGCACGGCAGGTGTTGCTGTTTTGGTAGCATAATTCTCCCCATCACTGAACCTCTGTTTTGAAAAGTTTTGACTAGCCGGGCACGGTGGCTCACGCCTGTAATCCCAGCACTTTGGGAGGCTGAGGCGGGTGGTTCACGAGGTCAGGAGATCAAGACCATCCTGGCTAAGTGAAACCCTGTCTCTACTAAGAATACAAAAAATTAGCCGGGCATGGTGGCGGGCACCTGTAGTCCCAGCTACTAGGGAGGCTGAGGCAGGAGAATGGCGTGAAACTGGGAGGTGGACATTGCAGTGAGGGGAGGTCGCACCACTACACTCCAGCCTGGGCGACAGAGCGAGACTCCATCTCAAAAAAAAAAAAAAAAAAAAAAGGCCAGGCGCAGTGGCTCACACCTGTAATCCTAGCACTTTGGGAGGCCGAGGCGGGTGGATCACGAGGTCAGGAGATCGAGACCATCCTGGTTAACACAGTGAAACCCCATCTCTTGTAAAAATACAAAAAATTAGCCAGGCGTGGAGGCAGGCGCCTGTAGTCCCAGCTACTGGGGAGGCTGAGGCAGGAGAATGGCGTGAACCTGGTGGGCGGAGCTTGCAGTGAGCTGAGATTGCACCACTGCACTCTGGCCTGGGCAAAAGAGCGAGACTCCGTCTCAAAAAAAAAAAAAAAAGCAAAAAACAAAAAAAAGAAAAGTTTTGACTATTCTCGGCCGGGCTTGATGGCTCACGCCTATAATCCCAGCACTTTGGGAGGCCGAGGCAGGTGGATCACCTGAGGTCAGGAGATCGAGACCATCCTGGCTAACACGGTGAAACCCCGTCTCTACTAAAAATACAAAAACAAAATTAGCCAGGCGTGGTGGCGGTCACCTGTAGTCCCAGCTACTCAGGAGGCTGAGGCGGGAGAATGGCATGGACCCAGGAGGCGGAGCTTGCAGTGGGCTGAGATTGAGCCTCTGTACTCCAGCCTGGGCAACATAGTGAGAGTCTGTCTAAAAAAAAAAAAAAAAAAAAAAAGATAAGTTTTGACTATTCTCACATCTATAATTTTATTTTATTATTTTATTTTTTCCATTTTTTTTGAGATGGAGTCTCATTCTGTCACGCAGGCTGGAATACAGTGGTGTGAACTCAGCTCACTGCAACCTCCACCTCCCAGGTTCAAGTGATTCTCCTGCCTCAGCCTCCCGAGTAGCTGGGATTACAGGTGCCCGCCACCATGCCTGGCTAATTTTTGTTCTTGTTTTTGAGACGGAGTCTTGCTCTGTCGCCCAGGCTGGAGTGCAGTGGCACGATCTCAGCTCACTGCAACCTCTGCCTCCAGGGTTCAAGCTATTCTCCTGCCTCAGCCTCCCGAGTAGCTGGGACTACAGGCTGTGCCACCACGCCTGGCTAATTTGTTGTATTTTTAGTAGAGACAGGATTTTGCCACGTTGACCAGGCTAGTCTCGAACACTTGACCTCAGGTGATCTGTCCGCCTCGGCCTCCCAAAGTGCTGGGATTACAGGCGTGAGCCATGGCGCCCGCCCACATCTATAATTTTAGACTAACTTTAGGATTATTTTGGCACATTCCAAAAACTAACACCTTATTTTACTTGTTTGACAACATAGGTCCCTTTAAGTTAGGATATAGATGATGTCAGATAAATAGAAATAAGTGACTTGGATGAGTTGGTCATTTTTCTCACACAGAATCGTCAGGTGTAGTCTAGGACTGGTAAGGTCCTAGTCTTGCAAGGTGGCTCTGCAGTGAAGGGCACTGAGAGCTGCCTATTCCCCACACTCCCAGGCTCCCTAGCTGTCCCTAAACAAAGAGAGCTGTTTTCAGCATCACAGTATCTTGGTTATAAATCCCATCACTGGTTGGGTGCAGTGGCTCACGCCTGTTATGTCAGCACTTTGGGAGGCCAAAGCGGGCAGATCACCTGAGGTCAGGAGTTCGAGACCAGCATGGCCAACATGGTGAAACCCTGTCTCTACTAAAAATACAAAAATTAGCCTGGCGTGGTGGTGTGCACCTGTAGTCCCGACTACTCAGGAGGCTGAGGCAGAAGAATCGCTTGAATCCTGGAGGCAGAGGTTGCAGTGAGCCGAGATTGTGCCACTGCACTCCAGCCTGGGCAACAGAGCGAGACTCCGTCTCAAAAAATAGTAATGGGCCGGGCGCAGTGGCTCACGCTTGTAATCCCAGCACTTTGGGAGGCCAAGGTGGGTGGATCACAAGATCAGGAGATCAAGACCATCCTGGCTAACATGGTGAAACCCTGTCTCCACTTAAAATACAAAAAATTAGCCGGGCATGGTGGTGGGCGCCTGTAGTCCCAGCTACTTGGGAGGCTGAGGCAGGAGAATGGCGTGAACCCGGGAGGCGGAGCTTGCAGTGAGTTGAGATTGCGCCACTGCACTCCAGCCTGGGCGACAGAGCAAGACTCTGTATCAAAAATAATAATAATAATAATTTTTAAAAAATAATAATAATATGCCAGGCACAGTGGCTCAGGCCTGTAATCCCAGCATTTTGGGAGGCCAAGACGGGCGGATCACGAGGTCAGGAGTTCGAGACCAGCCTGGCCAACATGGTGAAACCCCATCTCTACTAAAAATACAAAAATTAGCTGGGTGTGGTGGTGCACGCCTATAATCCCAGCTACTGGGGAGGCTGAGGCAGGAGAATGGCTTGAACCCAGGAGTGGAGGTTGCAGTGAGCTGAGATCAGATCACTGCACTCCAGCCTGGGTGACAGAGCAAGACTCTGTCTCAAAAATAATGATAATAAATAAATAAATAATAAAGATTTTGGGACTGGTTGAATAATAAAGTGTTGGGGACAGCCTTGTGGCCACATGGATAGGGGCTGGCAGGCATTTCCCTGGGAGAAGGAAGAGCATTGGTGTGTGGCCCGTGCAGATGTACATTACACTTCTTCTTTCTCTGGCTTCTGAGCCAAAACTTGGCCGGCCTCCTTTTTTTTTTTTTTTTTTTTTTTTTTTTTTTTTTTTTTGAGACAGAGTCTCACTCTGTCACCCAGGCTGGAGTGCAGTGGTGCAATCTCCACTCACTGCAAGCTCCACCTCCCAGGTTCATGCCATTCTCCTGCCTCAGCCTTCCGAGTAGCTGGGACTACAGGCGCCCACCACCACACCCAGCTAATTTTTGTATTTTTAGTAGAGACCAGATTTCACCATGTTGGCCAGGATGGTCTCGATCTCCTGACCTTGTGATTTCCCTGCCTTGGCCTCCCAAAGTGCTGGGATTACAGGCGTGAATCACTGCGCCCAGCCATAAACTTTGCTGGCTTCTAGTTTCAGCCTGCTTGCCTTCAGTCCCTTTCTGAGCCTCTGTCTTTCTGTCTTTCTCTTTCTTTCCTTCTTCCTCTTTTTCCTCCTCCTCCTCTCCTTCTTTCTTCTCCTCCACCCCACCCATCCTCTGGCTGTGTGAATCAAGCACACGGTATAGATGGAGGCAGTGAAGACAGGACTTATTACCATCCTCTAACATCACTGACTCCTCCGTTCGAGACCTGTCTTCTCCCTTAACTTTCTGTGAAACATGGAGTATGTGTTAGGAGTGCATTGGGCCTCAAGTCACAGAAATCATGAATAAAAGTGGCTTCTTTGTTACAGGAGCAAGAAGGTCAGGGTGGGTAAGGCAGCTGAGCAATGCTACTGGGGACCAGGCAATTTCCACCTTTCATCTCCACCACCATTAAGGGTGTAGTACTTTGTCTCCCATGTGTTGCCTCATGGTCCCAAGATAGCTGCTGTGGCTCCAGATCTTATATCCCCATTCCAGGCAGGAAGAATAGGGAATGACAAAAGGCAAGAAAAATTTTCTCCTAGTGTGGTTTTCCCTTTTCTTCTCCATCAGGGACATCCTGTCCAAGGGCTTTCCCTACATCTCACTGGCCAGCACAAGTGGCCTGAGCAGCTGAGTTACAGAATCTTTTAGGTTTCTTTCTTTCTTTCTTTCTCTTTTTTTTTGAGTGGGAGTCTCACTCTATCACCCAGGCTGGAGTGCAGTGGTGTGATCTTGGCTTACTGCAACCTCCGCCTCTCAGGTCCAAGCGATCCTCCTGCCTCAGCCTCCCAAATAGCTAGGATTACAGGTGCCTGCCATCACGCCTGCCTAATTTTTGTATTTTTTGTAGAGACGGGGTTTCACCATGTTGGCCAGGCTGGTCTCAAACTCTTGACCTCAGGTGATCTGCTTGCCTTGGCCTCCCTAAGTGCTGGGATTTCAGGCGTGAGCCACCACATCAGGCCTCTTTTTATTTTTTGAGACCGTGTCTCACTTTGTTGCTCAGGCTGGAGTGCGTGGAGCAATCTCAGCTCACTGCAACCTCCGCCTCCCCGGTTCAAGTGATTCTCCTGCCTCAGTCTCCTGGGTAGCTGGTATTACAGGCACCTGCTTTTATGGCTGGCTAATTTTTGTATTTTTAGTAGAGACAGAGTTTCACCATGTTGGCCAGGCTGGACTCGAATTATTGACCTCAAGTGATCAGCCAGCCTCGGCCTTTCAAAGTGCTGGGATTACAGGCGTGAGCCACTGCACCCGGCCTCTTTTAGCTCTCTTGACTCTAGAAGAGTCTGGAAGAGGTAGGCTAGGGAGCAGAGCTTCAGCATTCTCCCCTCTGCCCTCCACCCTACCCTGCGCAGGGGGAGACACCAGTGCCCAACATCATGGAGACTGCCTTCTACTTCGAGCAGGCCGGCGTCGGCCTGAGCTCGGACGAGAGCTTCCGCATTTTCCTGGCCATGAAACAGCTGGTGGAGCAGCAGCCCATCCACACCTGTCGCTTCTGGGGCAAGATCCTGGGAATCAAACGCAGCTACCTGGTGGCCGAGGTGGAATTCCGGGAGGGCGAGGAGGAGGCAGAGGAGGAGGAGGTGGAGGAGATGACGGAAGGTGGCGAGGTCATGGAGGCGCACGGCGAGGAGGAGGGCGAGGAGGACGAGGAGAAGGCCGTGGACATCGTCCCTAAGTCCGTATGGAAGCCGCCGCCCGTGATCCCCAAGGAGGAGAGCCGCTCAGGCGCCAACAAGTACCTGTACTTTGTGTGCAACGAGCCGGGCCTGCCATGGACGCGGCTGCCCCACGTCACTCCAGCCCAGATCGTGAACGCCCGAAAGATCAAGAAGTTCTTCACAGGCTACCTGGACACGCCAGTCGTCAGCTACCCACCCTTCCCGGGCAACGAGGCCAACTACCTGCGGGCCCAGATAGCCCGCATCTCGGCCGCCACGCAGGTCAGCCCGCTGGGCTTCTACCAGTTTAGTGAGGAGGAGGGCGACGAGGAGGAGGAAGGTGGTGCTGGGCGCGACTCCTACGAGGAGAACCCGGACTTCGAGGGCATCCCCGTGCTGGAGCTGGTCGACTCCATGGCCAACTGGGTGCATCACACACAGCACATCCTGCCGCAGGTGAGCGCCGGGACTCCCGCCTCTCACAAACGGCAGGAGCAGGGGGCTCACGCATGACCCTGCAATACTGACATCAAGCTCTTACTCTCTGCTGGGCAACTAATATTCATTCGTTCATTCATCCATCCATTCATTGGTTCAACAGATATTAGCGGATAATCCCATCAGAAACCTTTGGGGACAGAGGCATTTTTTTTTCTTTTCTTTCTTTCTTCTTTTTTTTCTTTTTCTTTTCTTTTCTTTTCTTTTTTTTTTTTTGAGACAGAGTCTCGCTCTTGTCACCCAGGATGGAGTGCAGTGGTACGATCTCGGCTCACTGCAACCTCCACCTCCTGGGTTCAAGCGATTGTCCCGCCTCAGCCTCCTGAGTAGCTGGGATTACAGGCACACGCTGCCACACCTGGCTAATTTTTTGTATTTTAGTAGAGATGAGGTTTCACTGTGTTGCCCAAGCTGGTCTCAAAGTCCTGAGCTCAGACAATCTGCCTACCTTGGCCTCCCAAAGTGCTAGGATTATAGACATGAGCCACTGCGCCCTGGCTGGTTTTTTTTTTTTTTCTTTTCTTTTCTTTTTGAGACAGAATTTCGCTCTTGTTGCCCAGGCTGGAGTACAATGGCGTGATCTCGGCTCACCGCAACCTCCGCCTCCCTAGTTCAAGCGAATTCTCCCACCTCAGCCTCCCAAGTAGCTGGGATTACAGGCATGTGCCATCACGCCCAACTAATTTTGTACTTTTAGGAGAGACAGGGTTTCTTCATGTTGGTCAGGCTGGTCTCAAACTCCTGACCTCAGGTGATCTGCCCGCCTCAGCCTCTCAAAGTGCTGGGATTACAGGCATGAGCCACCATGCCCAGCTTTTTTTTTCTTTTAAGACATAGCAACTTGCTTTGTTGCCCAGGCTGGCGTGCAGTGATGAGATCATAACTCACTGCTACCCTGACCTCCAGGGCTCAAGCAATCCTCCCACCTTAGCCTCCCGAGTAGTTAGGACTACAGGCACATACCACCACAACTATGCCTGGCTTTTTTTTTTTTTTTTTCTGAGACGGAGTCTCGCTCTATTGCCCAGGCTGGAGTGCAGTGGCGTGATCTCGGCTCACTGCAAGCTCTGCCTCCTAGGTTCACGCCATTCTCCTGCCTCAGCCTCCTGAGTAGCTGGGACTACAGGCGCCCGCCACCATGCCCGGCTATTTTTTTTGTAGTTTTAGTAGAGATGGGGTTTCACCGTGTTAGCCAGGATGGTCTCTATCTCCTGACCTCGTGATCCGCCCGCCTCAGCCTCCCAAAGTGCTGGGATTACAGGCGTAAGCCACTGCTTGGGAGGCTGAGGTAGGAGAATGGCGTGAACCCAGGAGGCGGAGCTTTCAGTGAGCCACTGCACTTCAGCCTGGGCGACAGAGCCAGACTCCATCTCAAAAAAAAAAAAGAAAAGAATCAATGAGTGGGCCAGGTGCAATGGCTCGCACCTGTAATCCCAGCACTTTGGGAGGCCAAGGCGGGTGGATCATTTGAGGTCAGGAGTTCGAGACCAGCCTGGCCAACTTGGTGAAACCCCGTCTCTACTAAAAAATACAAAAATTAGCCAGGCGTGGTGTCAGGCACCTGTAATCCCAGCTACTCAGGAGGCTGACGCAGGAGAATCACTTAAACCGGGAGGCAGAGGTTGCAGTGAGCCAAGATTGTGCCACTGCACTCCAGCCTGGGCCACAGAGTAAAACTCCATCTCAAAAAAAAAAAAAAAAAAAAATTCAATGAGTGAATGAATGCATGAATGGGGGTCGCACAGTCAGGAGTCCTCACCTCAACACAGCAGTTCTGTCAGCCCGTTTCCCACCTCCCCTTAGCTGTGCGGCTAAATCTTGCCCTCTTGCCTGTGCCTGGGTCTCTGAGGACAAGGCTATGCCTGTTGGCCCTTCACCTCCCCCACAGGAGGCAGGCTGGGTTCCGTGCACTGGGGCCATCACCTGAGCTTCCCCCCACCCCCAGGGCCGCTGCACTTGGGTGAACCCTTTGCAGAAGACAGAGGAGGAGGAGGACCTGGGGGAGGAGGAAGAGAAGGCAGATGAGGGGCCAGAGGAGGTGGAGCAGGAGGTTGGCCCCCCACTGCTAACGCCACTTTCAGAAGATGCAGGTAAGGAAGCCCTCTCAGCCTGTACACCACTGGCTGGGGAGGGCTGGGAAGAAAGGGAGGGGTGGCTGGACTGCTGGGGTCCATCTCCCCGGTCCTTCCCTCCCAGGCTCAGAGGCTCTCTCAGCTAAAAAATGGGTGTAATCACAGTGGCCCCATCAGGAGGTTCTGGGAACATGTCCATAGACACGTGGCAATGGCCTAAACCTTAGGATATGGCCTTTTGAGTTTGGGCCTGGAGGGAAGGGGATGTAGTTGGGGAACCCTGCCTAAAGACTGGAGCTGGGTGTGTGTGTGCATGTGTGTGTATGTGTGTGTGTGTGTGTGTGGTGGTGGTGGTGTTGTTGTCATTGTTGTTGTTTTGAGATGGAGTCCAGCTCTGTCACCCAGGCTAGGGTGTAGTGGTGCAATCTTGGCTCACTGCAACCTCAACCTCTCGGGTTCCTGCAATTCTCCCGTCTCAGCCTCCTGAGTAGCTGGATTGCAGGCGTGTGCCACCACGCCCAGATAACTTTTGTATTTTTAGTGGAGATGGGGTTTCACCATGTTGGCCAGGCTGATCTCGAACTCCTGGCCTCAAGTGATCCACCTTACTCGGCCTCCCAAAGTGCTGGGATTACAGGCAGGAGCCACTGTGCCCAACCTGGAGCTGGATTTTGGATGAATGGACAGGAATTTTTTAAGGTTGGGGCCTCAGGCACCCGGAGGGAAGTGGAGAGAGAGGCTAGGAGTGGGCCAGGGGACAGGTCCTGGATTTGAAGCCAGATCCTGCCAGCCTGTGCCCTTCCCTCTGCACCCTGGTCCAAACCGATGACCAACTCGGGAGTGGAATCACAGTGGCTTCCCAGTCTGGAGGCCCTGCTGGGCGCCAGGCACTGCAGCAGGTGTGCTGCAGACCTTGTCACCAGGCTTCACTGCCACCCTGCAACAAAGGCCAGATGAGTCTCCCCATTTCCTGGGTGCAGCCACTGAGGCTCAGACAGGTGAACTGGCTTCCTGGGGCCACATAGAGAAAGAGTGGTCCAGGCCAGGCGAGGTGGCTCACGCCTGTAATCCCAGCACTTTGGGGGGCTGAGGCGGGTGGATCACCTGAGGTCAGGAGTTCGAGACCAGCTTGGCCAACATGGTGAAACCCTGTCTCTACTAAAAATACAAAAATTAGCCGGGCGTGGTGGTGCATGCCTGTAATCCCAGCTACTCGGGAGGTTGAGGAAGGAGAGTCGTTTGAACCTGGGAGGCAGAGGTTGCAGTGAGTCGAGCTCACACCACTGCACTGCAGCCTGAGTGACAAAGCGACGAGACTCTGTCTCCAAAAAAAAAAAAAAGAGAGCGAGAGAGAGAGAGAGAGTGTGTGTGTGTGTGTGTGTGTGTGTGTGTGTGTGTGTGTGTGTGGTCTGCAGCGAGGGTTCAAACACCGCAGCCCGAGCTGTTGGTGGCTATAGTTCCCCTCATGCCCCTCCAGGCCTCCCTCACTGCTGCCTTCCTTCCTTCAGGGTGCAGTGCAGGGCCTGGGGGCCTCCCTGACCCTGCTGCCCCCCTCTGCTGCCTCTCCACCACAGAAATCATGCACCTGGCACCCTGGACCACCCGCCTGTCCTGCAGCCTCTGCCCGCAGTACTCAGTGGCCGTTGTGCGCTCCAACCTCTGGCCCGGGGCCTATGCCTATGCCAGTGGCAAGTAGGTCTTCCCCCAGCCCCTCCCAGCAGGAGAATCTCTCAGGACTTCTTCAAGCCTGGTTGGGCTGGGCAACTCGCCAGGGTGGGCAGAGATGGGGAGGGCCCCCTTCAGGAAGCCCCAAGGACTAATGCCCTCATAGCTCCTAGGAGTTTCACCAGGGCTAAAGTGGGAAATACCAGCCCACTAGGATGGGTCTTGGTGATGAGTCATGATGAGAGCAAGGAGAATAAGAGAGTGGGAGGGACTGGCTATGGTCACACAGCACTTGCAGGATACGAACCTGGATCTCCAGCCCCCTGATGACAGCAGCAGAATCCCTCTCTGGAGGAGCTAACTCCGTCCCTGGGGTCCCCTGGACAGTTCTTCTTGTTTGTGGTTTTGTTTTGTTTTGTTTGAGATGGAGTCTCGCTCTGTCACCCAGGCTGGGCAACAGTGCAGTAGTGCGATCTCAGCTCACTGAAACTTCCGCCTCCCAGGTTCAAGTGATTCTCCTCCCTCAGCCTCCCTAGTAGCTGGGACTACAGATGCATGCCACCATGCCTGGCTAATTTTTGTATTTTTAGTGGAGACAAGATTTCACCATGTTGGCCAGGCTGGTCTCAGACTCCTGACCTCGAGTGATCTGCCCGCCTTGGCCTCCCAAAGTGCTAGGATTACAGGCATGAGCCACCGCACCCGGCCTGTTCTTCCAGTTGGAAGGCTTTTCTCTCTATGGGGCAGAAACCTTCCCTCCCACCACCAGTTGTTCCAAAAAGAATGGCAAGCTTGGGCCAGGTGCACTGGCTCATGCCTGTAATCCCAGCACTCTGGGTTGCCAAGGTGGGAGGATTGCTTGAGCCCAGGAGCTTGAGACCAGCGAGAGGAACACAGTAAGACACTATCTGTACAAAAAAAAAAATTAAAAAAATTTTTAAAATCAGCCCGGCATGATGGCACGGACTACAGAGTCCCAGCTACTTAGGGGGCTGAGGCAGAAGGATTGCTTGAGCCCAGGAGATCGAGGTTGCAGTGAGCTGTGATTGCACCACTGCACTCCAGTCTGGGCAACAGAGCAAGACCTTGTCTCAAAAAACAAACAAGAATGGCAAGCCAAAGTCACTCCTACATCCTCCCACCCAGCTACACACTCCCCACAGTCCTTCAGCCTTCCCCCGCAGGCACCTGGCAGCCCTCTGCCCTGCTGCGTGACAGGGGGTTTGCCGCTGGAGGTGGGCGCACCTACCAGCTTTGTCCACCAGATGGCATGATGATTTTTCCTAGAATTTCGTTTTTAATCTCAATGTGAACTGGGACTGTATTCGCTCCTGTATGAATCACAGCCGTGGTGGGATTGCATGTAATCTGGATACTTTAACACATTCCTGGCATTTATTTTTTCCTTCTCTGGAAGCTGGGAAGAGGCACGTTTGCTTTTGCCAACTCCCTTCTTCAGGCTATACCCTGATATGCCAACATTCCTCTGAAAGCAAATGATACAAACTTGAGGCTCCACTTGTCCATCCATCCTCTGCCCCCACCCACCCAACGCTCTTCTGTCCCCCACCCAATCTGTGTCCACCCATTGTTCCATTGTTTTTGTTTTTCTTTTCTTTCTTTTTTTTTTTTTTGAGATAGAGTCTCGCTCTGTTGCCCAGGCTGGAGTGCAGTGGCGCGATCTCGGCTCACTGCAACCTCCGCCTCCCGGGTTCATGCCATTCTCCTGCCTCAGCTTCCCAAGTAGCTGGGACTACAGGTGCTCGCCACCATGCCCAGCTAATTTTTTTGTATTTTTAGTAAAGACGGGGTTTCACCGTGTTAGCCAGGATGGTCTCAATCTCCTGACCTCATGATCCGCCCACCTCGGCCTCCCAAAGGGCTGGGATTACAGGCGTGAGCCACCGCGCCTGGCCTTTTTTTTTTTTTTTTTGAGATAGGGTCTCTCTCTGTCACCCAGGCTGGAGTGCAGTGGCGTGATCACGGTTCACTGCAGCCTCCACCTCCTGGCCTCAAGCAATCCTCCCACCTCAGCCTCCCAACATACTAGGATTACAGACGTGAGCCACTGTGCCTGGCCTCATTTTTAAATTTTTTCTTTTTTCTTTTTTTTTGAGATGGAGTCTTATTTTGTTGCCTAGGCTGGAGTTTAGTGGTGCGATCTCAACTCACTGCATCCTCCGCCTCCCAGGTTCAAGCCGTCCTCCTGCCTCAGCCCCCCTAGTAGCTGGGATTACAGGCATGCACTACCGTGCCCAGCTAATTTTTGTATTTTTAGTAGAGATGGGGTTTCACCATGTTGGCCAGGCTGGTCTCGAACTCCTGACCAGGTGATCCACCCACCTCAGCCTCTCAAAGTGCAGGGATTACAGGCGTGGGCCACCATGCTTGGCTCTCTCTGCCTCTTTATCAGTCTCTGTCTCCCTCTCTCCCTACCTCTTAGTCCCCTCCCTTTCCTCCCATCTATTCCTCTTCCTTCTCTAGTTAAAATTCTGCAGAAAGGCTGAATTCGCTGGGTTATGCCTGGGCACTTACCTCCTTGTTCATTATCAGTCTCCTCTTAGCAGAATGTAGGCACAACCCAGGGATTTTTTTTTTATTTTTTGAAATGGAGTCTCGCTGTGTCGCCCAGGCTGGAGTACAGTGGTGTGATCTCAGCTCACTGCAACCTTCACCTCTTGGGTTCAAGTGATTCTTATGCCCCAGCCTCCTGAGTAGCTGGGACTACAGGCGCCCACTACCACGCCCAGCTAATTTTTGTATTTTTTGTAGAGATGTGGTTTCACCAGGGTGGTCTCGAGCCCCTGACCTCAGTTGATCCTCCTACCTCGGCCTCCTAAAGTGCTGGGATTACAGGCCTGAACCACCGCACCTGGCAGGGAGTTTTGTCTAGTTTGTTTACTGCTGTGTCCCCAGCACCTAGACAATTTTATTTATGTCCCACATGATATGTTGGACATAAATAAAGTGTCACAATATAAATAAATTGATATCCAACATAAAATTATGTCTCACATAAATAAAATATGAGCCACATATATAATTTAATTTTTTTTGTTATTTTTAGTTACTTATTTCTTTTTTTTTTTTTTGAGACAGAGTCTCACTCTGTCACCCAGGCTGGAGTGCAGTGGCGCGATCTTGGCTCACTGCAAGCTCCGCCTCCCAGGGTTCACGCCATTCTCCTGCCTCAGCCTCCCCAGCAGCTGGGACTACAGGCGCCTGCCACCACGCCCCACTGATTTTGTTTTTGTATTTTTAGTAGAGACGGGGTTTCACCGTGTTAGCTAGGCTGGTCTCGATCTCCTGACCTTGTGATCCGCCCGCCTCGGCCTCCCAAAGTGCTGGGATTGCAGGCGTGAGCCACTGCGTCCAGCCTAGTTACTTATTTCTTGATTTATTTTGAGATACGTTCTCACTCTGTCACTCAGGCTGGAGTGCAGTGGCATGATCACAACTTACTGCAGCCTCAAACTCCTGGGCTCCGGCAATCCTCCCCCCTCAGCCTCCCCAGTAGCTGGAACCACAGGTACGTGCTACTGCAACTGGCTAATTTTTAAACTTTGGGAGGTGGAGGCGGCAGATCACTTGATGTCAGGAGTTCAAGACCAGCCTGGCCAACATGATGAAACCCCCTCTCTACTAAAAATACAAAAATTAGGCCAGGCATGGTGGCTCATGCCTGTGATCCCAGCACTTTGGGAGGCTGAGGCAGGCAGATCACTTGAGGTCAGGAGTTTGAGACCAGCCTGGCTAACATGGTGAAACCCCGTCTCTACTAAAAATATAAAAATTAGCTGGGCGAGGTGGTGTGTGCCTGTAGTCCCAGCTACTTGGGAAGCTGAGGTGGGAGAATCACTTGAACCCAGGAGGCAGATTTTGCAGTGAACCCAGGAGGTGGAGTTTGCATCCAGCCTGGGTAATACAGAGGAACCCAGTGAGCACATTTCACCCTGCCATCCACAACTTTGCAGTCATGCTATGCACATGCTGGGTCCTACCCTTAAAGAAAGTCAAGGCTGGCCAGGTGCGGTGGCTCACGTCTGTAATCCCAGCACTTTGGGAGGCCGAGGCGGGCAGATCATGAGGTCAGGAGTTCCAGACCACACTGGCCAACATGGTGAAACCCCATCTCTACCAAAAATACAAAAATTAGCTGGGCGTAGTGACGCGTGCCTGTAGTCCCAGCTACATGGGAGGCTGAGGCAGGAGAATCGCTTGAACCTGGGAGGCAGAGGTTGCAGTAAGTCGAGATCACACCACTGCACTAGGCAACAGAGTAAGACTCCATCTCAAAAAAAAAAAAAAAAAAGTCAAGTCTGGGGCCTTTGAGGGAGAATTTCACAGTGTCTCACTGCTTCTCCAGAAAGTTTGAGAACATCTACATCGGCTGGGGTCACAAGTACAGCCCCGAGAGCTTCAACCCGGCCCTGCCAGCCCCCATTCAACAAGAGTACCCCAGTGGCCCAGAGATCATGGAGATGAGTGACCCCACAGTGGAAGAGGAGCAGGCTCTGAAAGCAGCCCAGGAACAAGCCCTGGGAGCCACAGAGGAGGAGGAGGAGGGCGAGGAGGAGGAGGAGGGCGAGGAGACAGATGACTGAGGCCCACCCTCTAGCCACTTTCCCCAAGCAGGTAGATAGCAAATTTCCCCTTAGAGGTAGTTAGCATGGATTATATTTTCACTATGTGCTTCCTGTCCCCAGAGGGCAGGGATAGAAAAGGAAGGCAACTGCTTCAAATAAAATTCCTCCACGGCATTATGGATGAGCCATTCATTCATTTGTTCACCACCTCTGTTGACATGGACTCCAAGCCAGGGCTGTTGGGCCCTGCAGAGAGCACAGACATTGCCTGGCAGAGTCTCTCCCACCTGTTTGGTTTTTGTTGTTGTTGTTTGAGACAGGGTCTCATTCTGTCACCCAGGTTAGAGTACAGTGGCACAATCTCAGCTCCCTGCAGCCTTGACCTCCTGGGCTCAAGCAGTCCTCCCATCTCAGCCTCCGGAGTAGCTGAGACCGCAGGTGCACATCACCACATACACTAATTTTTGTATTTTTTGTAGAGACAGGGTCCTGAGTAACTAGGACTGCAGGCACAGCCCACCATGCCCAGCTAAATTTTTTCAATTTTTCAGAGTCTCACTATGAGATGGGGTTTATGTTGCCCAAGCTGGTCTTGAACTCCTGGCATCAAGCGATCTGCCTGTCTTGGCCTCCCAAAGTGTTAGGATACAGCTGTGAGCCACCGCGACCAGCCCCACCTGTTTTATTTATTCATTTACCTAGCCATCAAACCATTATTGAAATACCTCCTGTCAGCCCACCCCTGTGCTGGGGACACAGACAGCTGCAGTCCTGCCTTCCTGGACCTCACAACACTATAGGGAGAGAGACTCATTTCCAGACAGTGACAGCCCAAATGGGGAAGCCCAGAGGACTGACAGAGCTCCCGAGCCAACTCTTAAAGGGTCAAGAAAAGAATGGGGAAAGGCATTCCAAGAATAGGGAACAGAATGTGCAAAGACCCAAGGACAAGAGAGAGTGTGATATGTTGGGGTAGTTTTTCAAGCCTCATTTTAGGTGGTGGATAGTGTGAGGAGTTAGTGGTGAGATATGAGATTGAAAAGAGGTTGGCAGGGGCCAGATCACTTGGGGCTTAACTTTCCCCTGAGAGCACTAGGGAGCTACAGATGGGTTTTGAGCAGGGGAGGGCCCTGATCATATTCATGCTTTAGAAAGACCTCTCTAGGCCTAGTGCAGTGGGTCACACATGTAATCCCAGCACTTAGGGAGGCCAAGGTTGGCGGATCACCTGAGGTCAGGAGTTTGAGACCAGCATGCCCAACATGGTGAAACCCCGTCTCTACTAAAACTACAAAAAAGTAGCTGGGTGTGGTGGCAGGTGCCTGTAATCCCAGCCACTCAGGAGGCTAAGGCAGGAGAATCACTTGAACCCAGGAGGCAGAGGTTGCAGTGAGCCAAAATCGTCCCATTGCACTCCAGCCCACGTGACAAGAGCGAGACTCTGTCTCAAAAAAAAAAAAAAAAAAAAAAAAAGCCGGGTGCAGTGGCTCATGCCTGTACTCCCAGCACTTTGGGAGGCCGAGGTGGGTGGATCACCTGAGGTCAGGAGTTCGAGACCAGACTGGCCAACATGGTGAAACCCCGTCTCTGAGCCGAGATGGAGCCATTGCACTCCAGCCTGGGTGACAGGGTGAGACTGTCTCAAAAAAAACAAAAACAAAAACAAAATAAAACCTCTCTACATGCCAAGTGAAAGGTGGAAGTGGGGGTGAGACAGAAATCTGGGAGACCAAGAGACACGGTTGATGTGGGGGTGGGGGAAGGGCTTGGGTAGAGGAGAAGCTTGGATCAGGGAGAACAAGGAACTGAGAAAGAGGAATTCCACGTGGTCGAATGCAAAAGACTTGGAGGCTGTAAGCGGGGGCAGAGTGAAGATAAATGGTACACATCTAGGAAGACACCCAGGTCTGTGGCCTGGTTGACTGAGTGGACGGCAGAGCTAGCCCTAAGGTGGGGATGCAAGAGAGGTGGAGGATTTGGTGTAAGACGTCAATTTCATTGTAGGATTCTTTTTTCTTTCTTTTTTTTTTTTTTTTAGAGAGACTGAGTCTGACTCTGTCCCCCAGGCTTTAGTGCAGTGATGTGAATTCATAGCAGTCTTGATCTCCTGGGCTCAAACGATCCTCCCACCTCAGCCTCCCAAAGTGCTGGGATTCTCGGATTCCAGGCATGAGCCACCATGCCCGAACCATTGTAGGATTTTTTTTTTTAAGTGTGAGATGCCCTTGGGACACTCTAGGGAGAAATCGTAGAGGCCATTGACTACATGAGACTAGAAAGATCTATGATGGGGCTGGGTGGCTTCAGCAGACATGGGGAGCACTGGCTATGAGTAGGAGCTGTTGGGATCAGGGGGAGACTTTGGGTTACGAGTGGATCACTGGGACACTGGGGCACCGTGGGGATCAATACAATTTGGGAATCAGAGGTAGGTTTTGGAGGACAAGTGAGGTTGTTGAAAATAAGAAAATCATGGAAATATACATTGGAGGTTGGTGGAAAATATGAAGGATGTTTGGAGTTAGCATTAATCAATAGTGGGTCAGAGGAAGTCCTCTGAGTTGTGTGGGGACACAGGGATTTGGTGGGTCACCAAGGGTGGGGAAGAATGGTAGCAGATGCTGTGGTCATTCAGGGATTTGAATATGTCAGTGGGAAACACTGGAGGTCAGGGGAGTGTATATTGGGCGTCTAAGGAGAGACCAGGGTCACTTGGGGTTGGCTGTGACTTCATGGGAAGGCTGGACTATGGATGAGGGCTTCTTTGTCGTGGGGGAAAAAAAAAAAAAAATCCCTCCGTTGCTAGGCAAACGTTCCCAGGGCGCGGTTGCTAAGGACTTGAGCTTTCTAACTGGCCACGCCTCTTTCCATTGCGGGCTCCGCCCCCGCAGCCAACCACAAGTCGGTCACAGGCTCAAAGGCCGCGCCCACCTTCTCGCCCCGCCCACAGTCCCAGCACCGTTACCCGAGCGACCGCGGGGATTCGTCCCGCCTCCGGATCTGGGTGCCAATCGAAGAGGCGTTGCCCGGGCGACGACCCCACCTTTTCCGGCGCGGGCCAGCGGCTTCCGGGAGGGGGCCCGGCTGCGGGCGGCAGTCCGGCAGTGGCGGGGCCCGGGGGGCGCCCAAGATGGCGGCGGGCGGCGCGGAGGGCGGCTCGGGCCCCGGCGCCGCCATGGGGGACTGCGCGGAGATTAAGTCGCAATTCCGCACGCGCGAGGGTTTCTACAAGCTACTCCCGGGCGACGGCGCCGCTCGCAGGTCGGGTCCGGCTTCCGCCCAGACTCCGGTGCCGCCTCAGCCACCGCAGCCCCCGCCCGGCCCTGCCTCCGCCTCCGGTCCCGGCGCTGCAGGCCCCGCGTCGTCCCCGCCGCCCGCAGGCCCCGGACCCGGGCCCGCCCTGCCCGCCGTGCGCCTCAGCCTCGTGCGCCTCGGGGAGCCGGACAGCGCCGGGGCCGGGGAGCCGCCCGCCACGCCCGCGGGGCTGGGCTCGGGGGGAGACCGCGTCTGCTTCAACTTGGGCCGTGAGCTCTATTTCTACCCAGGCTGCTGTCGTCGTGGGAGCCAACGGGTGAGCGGCCTGCATCGTGGGGCCCTGGGTGCTGAAAGGATGGAGGTTCCAGAGAACTGATAGGAGGGTCCCCGAATTGATATGGGGCCCTGAGATAGGCATTCTAAATGTGATGGACGTTGTAGGGCGACAGCATTGGAGGGAGTACAGGATTCTGAAATGTGATGAGAGGCCCGCGGGGTGCTGGGCAGGCATCTTGGAGGTGATGGGGGAAATCCCCTTTACCCCCGTTATGCGTAGGAGTTCTGGGATGGTGACTATTGGACATGATGGGGTATCTGAGATGAGGTGGGATCCCCCGGGTTCTGGGGTGGCAGGCATTCTGCAGGTAATGGGGAATCATGAGGTGATGCAAGCCCAGAGGTGATGGAGAACCCAGTATTGCAGCCTGGAGGTGTGGGAGAGGGGTCTTGAGATTGAGCCCAGGAATGAGGAGAAGTCTAGAAGTGATGGGGGCCTTGAAGGTGATAGGGGATCCAGAAGCTGAATGGGATTCTAGAGAAAATTGGGGTCTGGAAGTCATGAGGGTCCTGGAGGAGATGAGCGTCCGGAAGCTGATGGGAGCTCTCAAGGGAATGAGAGGCCCTGGCAGGGGAATCTGCAGGTGTGATTCAGGACATCTCTAAAGCGATGTGGTGAGAACCCTGGCCGTTTATGGTGATCCCAGAAATGATGGGGATCCTTCGGAGCCCCTAGGTAATAAATGGGCCTAAAATGTGGGAGACCGTGAGGTTTGACGGGTCCCAGAACTGTGGCGGTTTAGGGACTACAAAGTGAAGAGAATGCTAGGATGTTAGGCTTTAGAGTCCTGGAAATTTGGGTGACCTCAAGGTTTGGGGGTCTTGGAATAGTGTGGTACTAGGTCCCAAGGGAGTTGCTGAGGTTATAGGATGGAGTGGTGAGGCTAAAAGGAATCGGAGCTTAGGAACTGTGTGGACCCAGAACCCTGATTATGTGGACAAGGGTGTCTCTGAATTAGAGGTGACCCAACTTTGGGGAGGCACTGTGGTCAAGGGGGATCCTTACCATCTTTTTTGCTACTCTTGTCTGTGATTTGGGTCCCCTTCCCGTCTGTGGTTGCCCCGTCCTTCGCAATCCACCTACTCACCTCCCCACTTCCCTCTGGGTTCTAACCCTGCTTCCTCTTAGTGGTTTCCCCCAACCTCAACATCCTCTTCCTTCTCCTCAGTGGCATACACCATTAACTCCTTTTCTCCCACCCCTCAAGTCCATTGACCTCAACAAGCCAATTGACAAGCGGATCTACAAGGGCACCCAGCCCACCTGCCACGATTTCAACCAGTTCACTGCTGCCACCGAGACCATCTCGCTGCTGGTGGGCTTCTCAGCGGGTCAAGTGCAGTACCTGGATCTCATCAAAAAGGACACCAGCAAGCTGTTCAATGAGGAGGTGATTGCAGCCCCCAGAGCCCCCAACTTCTCTGCCTTCTCACCTACCCACTATATGCCATTAGGATGCAGCTGCCTGCGGAACAGTGTAGGCCTGAGAGGGGCAGGACCAGGGAGAGATGGAGAATGGGGTGACAGCAGCTAATGACAGCTGCCTTTACTGTACCCAGGCCCTGTGCTGTGTTACCCTTGTGCTGAATACTTTACTCCTTGGGTTTTCTTTCTTTCTTTCTTTCTTTTATTTATTTATTTTGAGATGGAGTCTCACCCTGTCACCCAGGCTGGAGTGCAGTGGCGCGATCTCTGCTCACTGCAAGATCCACCTCCCGGGTTCATGCCATTCTCCTGCCTCAGCCTCCTGAGTAGCTGGGACTTCAGGCACCTGCTGCCACGCCCGCCTAATTTATTGTAGTTTTAGTGGAGATGGGGTTTCACCGTGTTAGTCAGGATGGTCTCGATCTCCTGACCTCGTGATCTGCCCACCTCGGCCTCCCAAAGTGGTGGGATTACAGGTGTGAGCCACCATGCCCGGTTCTTTTTTTTTTTTTTAATTGTAATTGTAATTTTTATTGTTTTTAATTTTTTTTTTCTTTTTAAGGCGGAGTCTCACTCTGTCGCCCAGGCTGGAGTGCAGTGGTACAATCTCGGGTCACTGCAACCTCCGCCTCCCAGGTTCAAGCAATTCTCCTGCCTCAGCCTCCTGAGTAGCTGGGACTACAGGTGCGCACTATCATACCTGGCTAATTTTTTTTTTTGAGATGGAGTCTCGCTCTGTCGCCCAGGCTGGAGTGCAGTGGCGCGATCTCGGCTCACTGCAACCTCTGCCTCCCGGGTTCACGCCATTCTTCTGTCTCAGCCTCCCCAGCAGCTGGGACTACAGGCGCCCAGCACCACGCCCAGCTAATTTTTTTGTATTTTTAGTAGAGACGGGATTTCACCGTGTTAGTCAGGATAGTCTCGATCTCCTGACCTCGTGATCTGCCCGCCTCGGCCTCCCAAAGTGCTGGAATTAAAGGCGTGAGCCACCACACCCGGCCAATTTTTGTATTTTTGGTAGAGATGGGGTTTCACCATGTTGGCCAGGCTGGTCTCAAACACCTGACCTTGTGATCCGCCCACCTCGGCCTCCCGAAGTGCTGGGATTACAGGCATGAGCCACCGCGCCCGGCCATTCTTTGAGTTTTCATCAACCAGTGGATACAGAAGTGTGCTGCCCATTTTGCAGATTAGAGAATTGAGGCTAGTAAATAAGTCGGGACTTAGTTGATGCCCTTGCTCTTTGAGTTCTGGGCTCTGGAGGCTTTGGATTCAAAGCCCTGCTGCACCATTTACTCATCATGTGACTTTGGGAAGGTGACCATTCTCTGAGCCTCACTTCTCCTCCTCTGCAAAATGGGATTCCAGTTCCTACCTTGCAGGACCGCTGTTGTAGAATCATACATGGAGATTGCTCAGTCCTGGGCCAACTTGGCCTACGAGGAGATACCAGTAAACGACCTTATCCGCGGGCAGGGACTGCTCTTGGCTTCTGTCTCATTCTCTCTGGTCCAGAGGAGGTGTTCCATAAATATTCTCAGAATGAGTGAATGGCTGAAGGGAGTGAACGGAACAGTCAGTGGATTAAAAATTCATTAGCTCATCCATTCACAAATAGTTTTTGAGCATCCGTTCTGTGCCAGGCACCGTTCCCAGCACTAGGGATATCACATCTCAGGGCCCTGGACAGGAGGCCCTGCCCTTTTGGAGCTTTCAGTCTAGCTGGGGAGACAGACAGTTAATCAAGTTAAGTCTTCGTGTGTCAGCAGGTGATTAAGGCCTGTTTAGAAGAAGCAGTGGGGAAGGGGCTGAGGGAAGCTTGGAGAGTTTAGTAGGGTGGTCAGGAAAGCCCTCACTAAGAGGTGATACTGAAATAAAGACCTGAAGGAGGCAGGTGAGAAGAGTTGCCTGGGGAAGGGCATTTTTTTTTTTTTTTTTCCTGAGATAGGGTCTCACTCTGTCGTCCATGCTGGAGTGCAGTGGTACGATCTTCGTTCACTGCAACCTCCGCCTCCCAGGCTCAAGCAGTCCTCCCATATCAGCCTCCTGAGTAGCTGGGACTACATGCATGCACCACCACAACTGGCTAACTTTTGTATTTTTTGTAGAGGCGGGGTCTCTTTGTGTTGCCCAAGCTGGTCTCGAACTCCTGGGCTCAAGCTATTCTCCTGCTTTGGCCTCCCAAAGCGCTGGGATTATAGGCGTGAGCCATCACACCCAGCCAAGAAGGACATTCTGAGTATCGGGGCCAGCTAGGACAAATGCAGGATTGCACAGAAGCCGTGTGGCCAGTGCAGTTACTGAGGGAGAGAAGATGGTAGATGAGTTCCAAGAAATAACGGAGGGGCTGGCTCATGGAGAGTCTGGAAGGTCACGGAGAGATTTTGCCTTACTCTTAGTTGGAAGCCTGTGGAGGAGCCTTTCTCATTGGGGCTCACCTGAGCCCTGGAAGGCAGAAGTGACTAGAGTGATTATTTGTTCAGTTCTCCCAGGGATGGGAGGCACCTCATCCTGGGAGAGCAGCTCCTTAGTTGCATACACTGGCTGCCTGAGAGCATTAGGGCCTCAGGCTCTGGAACCCTGCTTGAGAGAGGCTGCGAAGTGTTCAGAGCAGGACAGTGCCAGGTGCTGGCTGATACTTCACAGAGCATCGCTGTGGCGGCTGCAGAGGACAGACAGGCCCAGGCATTGGAGCCTGAGGCCAGTCACACAGCATTGCAGGCTTGGGGTGGTTGAATGGGATGGTGAGAGGAGGTCAGATTCTGGGTGTATTTTTTCTTTTTTTTTTATTTTGAGGTGGAGTCTCGCTCTGTCGCCCAGGCTGGAGTACAGTGGCATGATCTCCCCTCACTGCAACCTCCGCCTCCCGGGTTCAAGCAATTCTGCCTCAGCCTCCTGAGTAGCTGGGACTATAGGCGCCCGCCACCATGCCTGGCTAATTTTTGTATTTTTAGTAGAGATTTTGTATCTCTACTTGTATTTCACCATATTGGCTAGGCTGGTCTGGAACTCCTGACTTTGTGATCCGCCTGCCTCAGCCTCCCAAAGTGCTGGGATTACAGGCGTGAGCCACCACGCCCAGCCACTTCTGGGTGTATTTTGAAGGTCGAGCCCACAGGATTTGTGGAAGGATTGGATGAGGAAAAGAGGGGCAGATGCCGAGGTTTTTTGTCTAAGCACCTAGCGGGATGGGGGGTTGTCACTCATTTGTCCAGGAATTACCTTCAAGCTGCCTCCTGTGTGCACTGCTTTAAAGAATAGTGAACCAAACAAAGATCGCTTCCTTTGGGGAGCTGCCTTTCCGTGAAGAAATTTCCTACTTGAAGCCTGACGTAGTAAAGATCGGGGGAGGGTTAGACAGATACAGTGGTCCCCAACCATTTTGGCACCAGGGACTGGTCTTATGGAAGACAGTTTTTCCACAGACTGTTGGGGGGATGGTTTTGGGATGAAACCGTTCTGCCTCTGATCATCAGGTGTTAGATTCTAATAAGGAGCGCACACCTAGATCCCTCGCATGCATAGTTCATGGTGGGGTTCGCACTCTTACGAGGATTGAATGGTGCGCTGCTCCGGTAGGAGGCTGGGCTCAGGCTGTAATGCCTGCTCGCCCACCACTCACCTCCTGCTGCATGGCCTGGTTCCTAACAGGCCACGGACCACTACTGTTCCATGGCCCGGAGGTTGAGGACCCCGAGATACAGGACAATTCTGTGGCAAGCAGGACTGTCCCCTCGCCAAAGATGGGACATCGAGGCTCCTTGGAGCACCCTGTGGCCACCTTGCAGCAGCCTCTGTTTCCCCATGTTTCCATGACCTGGTGTCCATCTGTCTTCCCCAGTTTGGGAGCTTCTCTCCGAGGAGGACCTGGGCCTGGTGTGGCACCTGCTGTGTGAGCGGGGCCATGTCCAACGGCCTTCTTGGGGACTTTGGGTCGGGGAGAAGTTCTGCCTGGGTTTTACTGCCTTCTCCCAACCCCACACTGTCTCCCCTGGCAGCGGTTGATCGACAAGACCAAGGTGACATATCTGAAGTGGCTGCCTGAGTCGGAGAGCCTGTTCCTGGCATCACACGCCAGTGGCCACCTGTACCTGTACAACGTCAGCCACCCCTGCGCCTCGGCCCCGCCCCAGTACAGCCTGCTGAAGCAGGGCGAGGGCTTCTCTGTCTATGCTGCCAAGAGCAAGGCACCCCGCAACCCGCTGGCCAAGTGGGCGGTGGGTGAGGGGCCCCTCAACGAGTTCGCCTTCTCGCCCGATGGCCGGCACCTGGCCTGTGTGAGCCAGGATGGCTGCCTGCGCGTCTTCCACTTCGACTCCATGCTCCTGCGTGGGCTCATGAAGAGCTACTTTGGGGGCCTGCTGTGTGTGTGCTGGAGCCCTGACGGCCGCTACGTGGTGACGGGTGGCGAAGATGACCTGGTCACCGTGTGGTCCTTCACCGAGGGCCGCGTGGTGGCTCGAGGCCATGGCCACAAGTCCTGGGTCAACGCTGTGGCCTTTGACCCCTACACCACAAGGGCAGAGGAGGCGGCGACAGCAGCCGGTGCTGATGGGGAGCGGAGCGGCGAAGAGGAGGAGGAGGAGCCCGAGGCTGCGGGCACAGGCTCGGCCGGGGGCGCCCCGCTCTCTCCACTGCCCAAGGCTGGCTCCATTACTTACCGCTTTGGCTCGGCGGGCCAGGACACGCAGTTCTGCCTGTGGGACCTCACTGAAGACGTGCTCTACCCGCACCCCCCCCTGGCCCGCACCCGCACCCTCCCTGGCACACCTGGCACCACGCCACCGGCCGCCAGCAGCTCGAGGGGTGGCGAGCCTGGCCCAGGCCCCCTGCCTCGCTCGCTGTCCCGCTCCAACAGTCTCCCGCACCCAGCTGGCGGGGGCAAGGCGGGCGGCCCGGGTGTGGCGGCAGAGCCTGGCACACCATTCAGCATTGGCCGCTTCGCCACGCTCACACTGCAGGAGCGGCGGGACCGGGGGGCAGAGAAGGAGCACAAGCGCTACCACAGCCTGGGCAACATCAGCCGGGGTGGCAGTGGCGGCAGTGGCAGTGGTGGGGAGAAGCCCAGCGGCCCTGTTCCCCGCAGCCGCCTGGACCCCGCCAAGGTGCTGGGCACTGCGCTGTGCCCGCGCATCCACGAGGTGCCCCTGCTGGAGCCCCTTGTGTGCAAGAAGATCGCCCAGGAGCGGCTCACAGTCCTCCTGTTCCTGGAGGACTGCATCATCACTGCCTGCCAGGAGGGCCTCATCTGCACCTGGGCCCGGCCGGGCAAGGCGGTGAGTGGCCCCACACCAGCCTGCCGGGGACCTGGCAGGACCTTTCGTGGGAAGAGGCAGGCATTGGCAGAGAGAGGGCTTTGTTGCTGTCACAGCCTCTGGCTCCGTGGGGTGAGGGGAAGCCAGGGAAATCTTAGTGTCTCAGTACAAGACCTCTCAGATCCTTAGAGTGAGGGGGTCTAGCCCTAGGCAGCAGGCAGCAGAAAGAGGGGTGGGTGTGAGAGCCAGCTAGGAATTGGGGCATCCAAGGCTGGCCGTCTGAAGGGCAGCAGATGGGCCCCACATGGCCAGGTCTTACTGCCTGTCACTCGAACCAGAATCTATTTCTGTTGAACATCTGTTTTTTAAATCGTGAAACTTTTTTGAGTACTTCAGGCCAAAACTAGGGGCGAGCTCAAGCCTGTGGGCATGGCTGCCAGCCTGGGTCTGGGACTCAGGATCTGAGCCTCCTGCTGAAGGCACAGGCTGGGAATCCCAGGCCTGGGTTCCAGTCCCACTCCCTCTGTGACCCTGGACAAGTCACTGCCCCCTCTGACCTCCAACTCATCACCTCTTAGAACAGAGCCTGTAGGATGGGCAGTGGGTGGATGTGCTTGCCTCCTGGGTGGGCTGTGGCGTTGGGAAGGTCATAGTAGGCGAATCAGGCCTGGCATCTTGTAAGTTCGGAGCTCGTCTTGGGTGTCTCAGCTTCTTAGGGCTTGGACTCAGTTGCCCAGGGTCCTGGAGGCCGTGGCTTGGTTCCTCAGATCCTCAGTTTTGGAATCGTAGAGTCCTGAGTCCCTAGAACTTGAGAGCACAGTCTGAGTGACTCAGAGGCAAGAGTGGTGGGATTTGGGGAGTCTGGTTGAGTCCTAAAAGAGACCCCTCTGTCTCCGTAGTTCACAGACGAGGAGACCGAGGCCCAGACAGGGGAAGGAAGTTGGCCCAGGTCACCCAGCAAGTCAGTGGTAGAGGTAGGACTGTCCCTGAGTTCTTTCCCCAGCACCTCAGGGTCCCTCCCAAGTTAGAAGGGAGCTCCAGTTTCCCCCTCCCCTCCCACCCTTACCCTTACCCCATGGTCTCACTCAGGATCCGCCAAGGACTTTGATTATTGCGTGAAAGTGCTGACTGCCAGGACAGGAAGCTAGCTAAGATGCAAGTTCCCAGCCTAGAGCAGTGGCCTCTGGGGGGTCTAGGGCGGACCCAAGGGCAAGGCCAGGGTGGCAGCAGCTTTGGGGACTCTGGGCTGGCTCCCTCCCCTTGACACTGGCTGAAGCCCAGGTGGTCTCTAACCCCTCCCATCTCTCCCTCTCATCTTCCCCAGGGCATCTCCTCCCAACCAGGCAACTCCCCGAGTGGCACAGTGGTGTGAAGCCATGGATATCGGGCCCCCCCAACCCCATGCCCCCAGCCTCCTAGCCATAACCCTCCCTGCTGACCTCACAGATCAACGTATTAACAAGACTAACCATGATGGATGGACTGCTCCAGTCCCCCCACCTGCACAAAATTTGGGGGCCCCCCAGACTGGCCCGGACACGGGCGATGTAATAGCCCTTGTGGCCTCAGCCTTGTCCCCCACCCACTGCCAAGTACAATGACCTCTTCCTCTGAAACATCAGTGTTACCCTCATCCCTGTCCCCAGCATGTGACTGGTCACTCCTGGGGAGAGACTCCCCGCCCCTGCCACAAGAGCCCCAGGTCTGCAGTGTGCCCCTCAGTTGAGTGGGCAGGGCCGGGGGTGGTCCAGCCCTCGCCCGGCCCCCACCCCAGCTGCCCTTGCTATTGTCTGTGCTTTTGAAGAGTGTTAAATTATGGAAGCCCCTCAGGTTCCTCCCTGTCCCGCAGGACCTCTTATTTATACTAAAGTTCCCTGTTTTCTCAGCGGGTCTGTCCCCTTCGGAGGAGATGATGTAGAGGACCTGTGTGTGTACTCTGTGGTTCTAGGCAGTCCGCTTTCCCCAGAGGAGGAGTGCAGGCCTGCTCCCAGCCCAGCGCCTCCCACCCCTTTTCATAGCAGGAAAAGCCGGAGCCCAGGGAGGGAACGGACCTGCGAGTCACACAACTGGTGACCCACACCAGCGGCTGGAGCAGGACCCTCTTGGGGAGAAGAGCATCCTGCCCGCAGCCAGGGCCCCTCATCAAAGTCCTCGGTGTTTTTTAAATTATCAGAACTGCCCAGGACCACGTTTCCCAGGCCCTGCCCAGCTGGGACTCCTCGGTCCTTGCCTCCTAGTTTCTCAGGCCTGGCCCTCTCAAGGCCCAGGCACCCCAGGCCGGTTGGAGGCCCCGACTTCCACTCTGGAGAACCGTCCACCCTGGAAAGAAGAGCTCAGATTCCTCTTGGCTCTCGGAGCCGCAGGGAGTGTGTCTTCCCGCGCCACCCTCCACCCCCCGAAATGTTTCTGTTTCTAATCCCAGCCTGGGCAGGAATGTGGCTCCCCGGCCAGGGGCCAAGGAGCTATTTTGGGGTCTCGTTTGCCCAGGGAGGGCTTGGCTCCACCACTTTCCTCCCCCAGCCTTTGGGCAGCAGGTCACCCCTGTTCAGGCTCTGAGGGTGCCCCCTCCTGGTCCTGTCCTCACCACCCCTTCCCCACCTCCTGGGAAAAAAAAAAAAAAAAAAAAAAAAAGCTGGTATAAAGCAGAGAGCCTGAGGGCTAAATTTAACTGTCCGAGTCGGAATCCATCTCTGAGTCACCCAAGAAGCTGCCCTGGCCTCCCGTCCCCTTCCCAGGCCTCAACCCCTTTCTCCCACCCAGCCCCAACCCCCAGCCCTCACCCCCTAGCCCCCAGTTCTGGAGCTTGTCGGGAGCAAGGGGGTGGTTGCTACTGGGTCACTCAGCCTCAATTGGCCCTGTTTCAGCAATGGGCAGGTTCTTCTTGAAATTCATCACACCTGTGGCTTCCTCTGTGCTCTACCTTTTTATTGGGGTGACAGTGTGACAGCTGAGATTCTCCATGCATTCCCCCTACTCTAGCACTGAAGGGTTCTGAAGGGCCCTGGAAGGAGGGAGCTTGGGGGGCTGGCTTGTGAGGGGTTAAGGCTGGGAGGCGGGAGGGGGGCTGGACCAAGGGGTGGGGAGAAGGGGAGGAGGCCTCGGCCGGCCGCAGAGAGAAGTGGCCAGAGAGGCCCAGGGGACAGCCAGGGACAGGCAGACATGCAGCCAGGGCTCCAGGGCCTGGACAGGGGCTGCCAGGCCCTGTGACAGGAGGACCCCGAGCCCCCGGCCCGGGGAGGGGCCATGGTGCTGCCTGTCCAACATGTCAGCCGAGGTGCGGCTGAGGCGGCTCCAGCAGCTGGTGTTGGACCCGGGCTTCCTGGGGCTGGAGCCCCTGCTCGACCTTCTCCTGGGCGTCCACCAGGAGCTGGGCGCCTCCGAACTGGCCCAGGACAAGTACGTGGCCGACTTCTTGCAGTGGGGTGAGTGCCTACCCTCGGGGCTCCTGCAGATGGGGTGGGGGTGGGGCAGGAGACAGGTCTGGGCACAGAGGCCTGGCTGTTGGGGGGGCAGGATGGCAGGATGGGCATGGGGAGATCCTCCCATCCTGGGGCTCAGAGTGTGGACCTGGGCCCTGGGGCAACATTTCTCTGTCCTATGCCACCACTCTGGAGGGGCAGAGTAAGGTCAGCAGAGGCTAGGGTGGCTGTGACTCAGAGCCATGGCTTAGGAGTCACAGCAGGCTAGGCTGCCAACAGCCTCCCATGGCCTCTCTGCACCCCGCCTCAGGGTCAGGGTCAGGGTCATGCTGGGAGCTCCCTCTCCTAGGACCCTCCCCCCAAAAGTGGGCTCTATGGCCCTCTCCCCTGGTTTCCTGTGGCCTGGGGCAAGCCAGGAGGGCCAGCATGGGGCAGCTGCCAGGGGCGCAGCCGACAGGCAGGTGTTCGGCGCCAGCCTCTCCAGCTGCCCCAACAGGTGCCCAGGCACTGGGAGGGCGGTGACTCACGCGGGCCCTGTGGGAGAACCAGCTTTGCAGACAGGCGCCACCAGTGCCCCCTCCTCTGCGATCCAGGAGGGACAACTTTGGGTTCTTCTGGGTGTGTCTCCTTCTTTTGTAGGTTCTGCACCCACCCCCACCCCCAGCCCCAAAGTCTCGGTTCCTATGAGCCGTGTGGGTCAGCCACCATTCCCGCCACCCCGGGTCCCTGCGTCCTTTAGTTCTCCTGGCCCAGGGCCTCCAACCTTCCAGCTGTCCCACAAAACCCCTTCTTGCAAGGGCTTTCCAGGGCCTGGGGCCAGGGCTGGAAGGAGGATGCTTCCGCTTCTGCCAGCTGCCTTGTCTGCCCACCTCCTCCCCAAGCCCAGGACTCGGGCTCACTGGTCACTGGTTTCTTTCATTCCCAGCACCCTGCCCCTCTGGCCCTCATATGTCTGGCCCTCAGTGACTGGTGTTTGGTTTTTGGCCTGTGTGTAACAAACTGTGTGTGACACTTGTTTCCTGTTTCTCCGCCTTCCCCTGCTTCCTCTTGTGTCCATCTCTTTCTGACCCAGGCCTGGTTCCTTTCCCTCCTCCTCCCATTTCACAGATGGGAAGGTGGAGGCCAAGAAGGGCCAGGCCATTCAGCCTCTGGAAAAACCTTCTCCCAACCTCCCACAGCCCCTAATGACTCTCCTGGCCTCCCTTTAGTAGAGGATGAAGTTGGGTTGGCAGGGTAAACTGAGACCGGGTGGGGTAGGGGTCTGGCGCTCCCGGGAGGAGCACTCCTTTTGTGGCCCGAGCTGCATCTCGCGGCCCCTCCCCTGCCAGGCCTGGGGCGGGGGAGGGGGCCAGGGTTCCTGCTGCCTTAAAAGGGCTCAATGTCTTGGCTCTCTCCTCCCTCCCCCGTCCTCAGCCCTGGCTGGTTCGTCCCTGCTGGCCCACTCTCCCGGAACCCCCCGGAACCCCTCTCTTTCCTCCAGAACCCACTGTCTCCTCTCCTTCCCTCCCCTCCCATACCCATCCCTCTCTCCATCCTGCCTCCACTTCTTCCACCCCCGGGAGTCCAGGCCTCCCTGTCCCCACAGTCCCTGAGCCACAAGCCTCCACCCCAGCTGGTCCCCCACCCAGGCTGCCCAGTTTAACATTCCTAGTCATAGGACCTTGACTTCTGAGAGGCCTGATTGTCATCTGTAAATAAGGGGTAGGACTAAAGCACTCCTCCTGGAGGACTGAGAGATGGGCTGGACCGGAGCACTTGAGTCTGGGATATGTGACCATGCTACCTTTGTCTCCCTGTCCTGTTCCTTCCCCCAGCCCCAAATCCAGGGTTTTCCAAAGTGTGGTTCAAGAACCACCTGCATCTGAATCTAGAGGTACTGGATACAACCCCACGTCTGGGCCGTTACCCAGGACATTCTACATGAGAACGTGGGGGTGGGGCCCTGGCTGCACCTGAACTGTCACCTGGAGTCAGGGTGGAAGGTGGAAGAACTGGGTCTTATTTCCTTCTCCCCTTGTTCTTTAGGGTCTGTCCTTCTGCAGACTCCGTTACCCCACCCTAACCATCCTGCACACCCTTGGAGCCCTCTGGGCCAATGCCCTGTCCCGCAAAGGGCTTCTCAGGCATCTCACCTCTATGGGAGGGCATTTTTGGCCCCCAGAACCTTACACGGTGTTTATGTGGGGAAGCCCCTGGGAAGCAGACAGTCCTAGGGTGAAGCTGAGAGGCAGAGAGAAGGGGAGACAGACAGAGGGTGGGGCTTTCCCCCTTGTCTCCAGTGCCCTTTCTGGTGACCCTCGGTTCTTTTCCCCCACCACCCCCCCAGCGGAGCCCATCGTGGTGAGGCTTAAGGAGGTCCGACTGCAGAGGGACGACTTCGAGATTCTGAAGGTGATCGGACGCGGGGCGTTCAGCGAGGTAAGCCGAACCGGGCGGGAGCCTGACTTGACTCGTGGTGGGCGGGGCATAGGGGTTGGGGCGGGGCCTTAGAAATTGATGAATGACCGAGCCTTAGAACCTAGGGCTGGGCTGGAGGCGGGGCTTGGGACCAATGGGCGTGGTGTGGCAGGTGGGGCGGGGCCACGGCTGGGTGCAGAAGCGGGTGGAGTTGGGTCTGGGCGAGCCCTTTTGTTTTCCCGCCGTCTCCACTCTGTCTCACTATCTCGACCTCAGGTAGCGGTAGTGAAGATGAAGCAGACGGGCCAGGTGTATGCCATGAAGATCATGAACAAGTGGGACATGCTGAAGAGGGGCGAGGTGAGGGGCTGGGCGGACGTGGGGGGCTTTGAGGATCCGCGCCCCGTCTCCGGCTGCAGCTCCTCCGGGTGCCCTGCAGGTGTCGTGCTTCCGTGAGGAGAGGGACGTGTTGGTGAATGGGGACCGGCGGTGGATCACGCAGCTGCACTTCGCCTTCCAGGATGAGAACTACCTGGTGAGCTCCGGGCCGGGGTGACTAGGAAGAGGGACAAGAGCCCGTGCTGTCACTGGACGAGGAGGTGGGGAGAGGAAGCTCTAGGATTGGGGGTGCTGCCCGGAAACGTCTGTGGGAAAGTCTGTGTGCGGTAAGAGGGTGTGTCAGGTGGATGAGGGGCCTTCCCTATCTGAGACGGGGATGGTGTCCTTCACTGCCCGTTTCTGGGGTGATCTGGGGGACTCTTATAAAGATGTCTCTGTTGCGGGGGGTCTCTTACCTGGAATGGGATAGGTCTTCAGGAATTCTAACGGGGCCACTGCCTAGGGAAGGAGTGTCTGGGACCTATTCTCTGGGTGTTGGGTGGCCTCTGGGTTCTCTTTCCCAGAACATCTCAGGGGGAGTGAATCTGCCCAGTGACATCCCAGGAAAGTTTTTTTGTTTGTGTTTTTTTTTGAGGGGCGGGGGCGGGGGCCGCAGGTGGTCTCTGATTTGGCCCGGCAGATCTCTATGGTTATCTCTGGGCTGGGGCTGCAGGTCTCTGCCCAAGGATGGGGTGTCTCTGGGAGGGGTTGTCCCAGCCATCCGTGATGGATCAGGGCCTCAGGGGACTACCAACCACCCATGACGAACCCCTTCTCAGTACCTGGTCATGGAGTATTACGTGGGCGGGGACCTGCTGACACTGCTGAGCAAGTTTGGGGAGCGGATTCCGGCCGAGATGGCGCGCTTCTACCTGGCGGAGATTGTCATGGCCATAGACTCGGTGCACCGGCTTGGCTACGTGCACAGGTGGGTGCAGCATGGCCGAGGGGATAGCAAGCTTGTTCCCTGGCCGGGTTCTTGGAAGGTCAGAGCCCAGAGAGGCCAGGGCCTGGAGAGGGACCTTCTTGGTTGGGGCCCACCGGGGGGTGCCTGGGAGTAGGGGTCAGAACTGTAGAAGCCCTACAGGGGCGGAACCCGAGGAAGTGGGGTCCCAGGTGGCACTGCCCGGAGGGGCGGAGCCTGGTGGGACCACAGAAGGGAGGTTCATTTATCCCACCCTTCTCTTTTCCTCCGTGCAGGGACATCAAACCCGACAACATCCTGCTGGACCGCTGTGGCCACATCCGCCTGGCCGACTTCGGCTCTTGCCTCAAGCTGCGGGCAGATGGAACGGTGAGCCAGTGCCCTGGCCACAGAGCAACTGGGGCTGCTGATGAGGGATGGAAGGCACAGAGTGTGGGAGCGGGACTGGATTTGGAGGGGAAAAGAGGTGGTGTGACCCAGGCTTAAGTGTGCATCTGTGTGGCGGAGTATTAGACCAGGCAGAGGGAGGGGCTAAGCATTTGGGGAGTGGTTGGAAGGAGGGCCCAGAGCTGGTGGGCCCAGAGGGGTGGGCCCAAGCCTCGCTCTGCTCCTTTTGGTCCAGGTGCGGTCGCTGGTGGCTGTGGGCACCCCAGACTACCTGTCCCCCGAGATCCTGCAGGCTGTGGGCGGTGGGCCTGGGACAGGCAGCTACGGGCCCGAGTGTGACTGGTGGGCGCTGGGTGTATTCGCCTATGAAATGTTCTATGGGCAGACGCCCTTCTACGCGGATTCCACGGCGGAGACCTATGGCAAGATCGTCCACTACAAGGTGAGCACGGCCGCAGGGAGACCTGGCCTCTCCCGGTAGGCGCTCCCAGGCTATCGCCTCCTCTCCCTCTGAGCAGGAGCACCTCTCTCTGCCGCTGGTGGACGAAGGGGTCCCTGAGGAGGCTCGAGACTTCATTCAGCGGTTGCTGTGTCCCCCGGAGACACGGCTGGGCCGGGGTGGAGCAGGCGACTTCCGGACACATCCCTTCTTCTTTGGCCTCGACTGGGATGGTCTCCGGGACAGCGTGCCCCCCTTTACACCGGATTTCGAAGGTGCCACCGACACATGCAACTTCGACTTGGTGGAGGACGGGCTCACTGCCATGGTGAGCGGGGGCGGGGTAGGTACCTGTGGCCCCTGCTCGGCTGCGGGAACCTCCCCATGCTCCCTCCATAAAGTTGGAGTAAGGACAGTGCCTACCTTCTGGGGTCCTGAATCACTCATTCCCCAGAGCACCTGCTCTGTGCCCATCTACTACTGAGGACCCAGCAGTGACCTAGACTTACAGTCCAGTGGGGGAACACAGAGCAGTCTTCAGACAGTAAGGCCCCAGAGTGATCAGGGCTGAGACAATGGAGTGCAGGGGGTGGGGGACTCCTGACTCAGCAAGGAAGGTCCTGGAGGGCTTTCTGGAGTGGGGAGCTATCTGAGCTGAGACTTGGAGGGATGAGAAGCAGGAGAGGACTCCTCCTCCCTTAGGCCGTCTCTCTTCACCGTGTAACAAGCTGTCATGGCATGCTTGCTCGGCTCTGGGTGCCCTTTTGCTGAACAATACTGGGGATCCAGCACGGACCAGATGAGCTCTGGTCCCTGCCCTCATCCAGTTGCAGTCTAGAGAATTAGAGAATTATGGAGAGTGTGGCAGGTGCCCTGAAGGGAAGCAACAGGATACAAGAAAAAATGATGGGGCCAGGCACGGTGGCTCACGCCTGTAACCCCAGCAATTTGGCAGGCCGAAGTGGGTGGATTGCTTGAGCCCAGGAGTTCGAGACCAGCCTGGGCAATGTGGTGAGACCCCCGTCTCTACAAAAATGTTTTAAAAATTGGTTGGGCGTGGTGGCGCATGCCTGTATACTCAGCTACTAGGGTGGCCGACGTGGGCTTGAGCCCAGGAGGTCAAGGCTGCAGTGAGCTGTGATTGTGCCACTGCACTCCAGCCTGGGCAACGGAGAGAGACTCTGTCTCAAAAATAAGATAAACTGAAATTAAAAAATAGGCTGGGCTGGCCGGGCGTGGTGGCTCACGCCTGTAATCTCAGCACTTTGGGAGGCCGAGGCGGGTGGATCACGAGGTCAGGAGATCGAGACCATCTTGGCTAACACGGTGAAACCCCATCTCTCCTAAAAATACAAAAAATTAGCCAGGCGTGGTGGCGGGCGCCTGTAGTCCCAGCTACTCAGGAGGCTGAGGCAGGAGAATGGCGTGAACCCGGGAGGCAGAGTTTGCAGTGAGCCGAGATCGTGCCACTGCACTCCAGCCTGGGCGACAGAGCGAGACTCTGTCTCAGAAAAAAAAAAAAAAAAAAAAAAAAATAGGCTGGACCGCGGCCGGGCGCTGTGGCTCATGCCTGTAATCCCAGCACTTTGGGAGTCCAAGGCCGGTGGGTCATGAGATCAGGAGTTTTGAGACTAGGCTGGCCAACACGGTGAAACCCCGTCTCTACTAAAAATACAAGAAAATTAGCTGGGTGTGGTCTCGGGTGCCTGTAATTCCAGTTACTGGGGAAGCTGAGGCAGGAGAATTGCTTGAACCTGGGAGGCAGAGTTTGCAGTGAGCCAAGATCATGCCACTACACTCCAGTCTGGGTGACAGAGTGAGACTCTGTCTCAAAAAAAAAAAAAAAAAAAAGGGTTGGGCAAGGTGGTTCACGCCTGTAATCCCAGAACTTTGGGAGGCTGAGGCAGGCAGATCACTGGAAGTCAGGAGTTCAAGACCAGCCTGGCCAACATGGTGAAACCCTGTGTCTACTAAAAATACAAAATTTAGCCAGGCTTGGTGGCGTATGCCTGTAATGCCAGCTACTCAGGAGGCTGAGGCAGGAGAATCGCTTGATTGAACCTGGGAGGCAGAGTTTGCAGTGGGCTGGGGTTGTGCCACTGCACTCTAGGCTGGGAGACAGCAAGACTCCATCTAAAAAAAAAAAACAGAACTGGGCTGGGCACAGTGGCTTATATTTGTAATCCCAGCACTTTGGGAGGCTGAGGTTGGAGGACTGCTTGAGCCCAGAGTTTGGGACTACAACAGCTGAGGTAGGCGGATCACTTGAGGTCAGAAGATGGAGACCAGCCTGGCCAGCGTGGCGAAACCCCGTCTCTACCAAAAATATAAAAAATTAGCCAGGCGTGGTAGAGGGCGCCTGTAATCTCAGCTACTCAGGACGCTGAGGCAGGAGAATCGCCTGAACCTGGGAGGCGGAGGTTGCAGTGAGCTGAGATTGCACCACTGCACTCCAGCCTGGGTAACAGAGCGAGACTCCGTATCAAAGAAAAAGAAAAAAGAAAAAATGCTGGAGGGGCCACTTTAGATAAGCCCTGAGTTGGGGCTGGTTTGGGGGGAACATGTAAGCCAAGATCAAAAAGCAGTGAGGGGCCCGCCCTGACGACTGCTGCTCACATCTGTGTGTCTTGCGCAGGAGACACTGTCGGACATTCGGGAAGGTGCGCCGCTAGGGGTCCACCTGCCTTTTGTGGGCTACTCCTACTCCTGCATGGCCCTCAGGTAAGCACTGCCCTGGACGGCCTCCAGGGGCCACGAGGCTGCTTGAGCTTCCTGGGTCCTGCTCCTTGGCAGCCAATGGAGTTGCAGGATCAGTCTTGGAACCTTACTGTTTTGGGCCCAAAGACTCCTAAGAGGCCAGAGTTGGAGGACCTTAAATTTTCAGATCTATGTACTTCAAAATGTTAGATTGAATTTTAAAACCTCAGAGTCACAGACTGGGCTTCCCAGAATCTTGTAACCATTAACTTTTACGTCTGTAGTACACAGAGCCACAGGACTTCAGAACTTGGAAAATATGAAGTTTAGACTTTTACAATCAGTTGTAAAAGAATGCAAATTCTTTGAATCAGCCATATAACAATAAGGCCATTTAAAAGTATTAATTTAGGCGGGCCGCGGTGGCTCACGCCTGTAATCCTAGCACTTTGGGAGGCCAAGGCAGGTGGATCATGAGGTCAGGAGATCGAGACCATCCTGGCTAACACGGTGAAACCCCGTCTCTACTAAAAATACAAAAAAATTAGCCGGGCATGGTGGCGGGCGCTTGCGGTCCCAGCTACTTGGGAGGCGAGGCAGGAGAATGGCATGAACCCGGGAGGCGGAGCTTGCAGTGAGCCGAGATCATGCCACTGCACTCCAGCCTGGGCGACAGAGCAAGACTCCGTCTCAAAAAAAAAAAAAAAAAAGTATTTATTTAGGCCGGGTGTGGTGGCTCACGCCTGTAATTCCAGTGCTTTGGGAGGATGAGGTGGGTGGATCACCTGAGGTCAGGAGTTCGAGACCAGCCTGACCAACGTGGAGAAACCTCATCTCTACTAAAAAACAAAATTAGCCAGGCGTGGTGGCATATACCTGTAATCCCAGCTACTCAGGAGGCTGAGGCAGGAGAATCAGAACCCAGGAGGGGGAGGTTGTGGTGAGCTGAGATCGTGCCATTGCATTCCAGCCTGGGCAACAAGAGTGAAACTTCATCTCAAAAAAAAAAAAAAAAAAGTACTAATTTACAGGCTGGGCATGGTGGCTCACGCTTGGAATCCCAGCACTTTGGGAGGCTGAAGTGGACGGATTGCTTCAGCCCAGGAGTTCAAGACCAGCCTGAGCAACATAATGAGACCCTGTCTCTACAAAAAATTGAAAAAATCGTGCCAGGCATGGTGGTCTGTGCCTGCAGTCCTAGCTACTCAGGAGTCTGAAGTAGGAGAATCACTTGAGCCTGGAGTTTGAGGCTTCAGTGAGCCATGATAGATTCCAGCCTAGGCAACAAAGTGAGACCTGGTCTCAACAAAAGTATTAATTACACAAATAATGCATTGCTTATCACAAGTAAATTAGAAAATACAGATAAGGAAAAGGAAGTTGATATCTCGTGAGCTCACCAGATGGCAGTGGTCCCTGGCTCACACGTGTACTGACACATGTTTAAATAGTGGAGAACAGGTGTTTTTTTGGTTTGTTTTTTTCCCCTTCCTCATGCTACTTTGTCTAAGAGAACAGTTGGTTTTCTAGTCAGCTTTTATTACTGGACAACATTACACATACTATACCTTATCATTAATGAACTCCAGCTTGATTCTGAACCGCTGCGGGGCCTGAACGGTGGGTCAGGATTGAACCCATCCTCTATTAGAACCCAGGCGCATGTCCAGGATAGCTAGGTCCTGAGCCGTGTTCCCACAGGAGGGACTGCTGGGTTGGAGGGGACAGCCACTTCATACCCCAGGGAGGAGCTGTCCCCTTCCCACAGCTGAGTGGGGTGTGCTGACCTCAAGTTGCCATCTTGGGGTCCCATGCCCAGTCTTAGGACCACATCTGTGGAGGTGGCCAGAGCCAAGCAGTCTCCCCATCAGGTCGGCCTCCCTGTCCTGAGGCCCTGAGAAGAGGGGTCTGCAGCGGTCACATGTCAAGGGAGGAGATGAGCTGACCCTAGAACATGGGGGTCTGGACCCCAAGTCCCTGCAGAAGGTTTAGAAAGAGCAGCTCCCAGGGGCCCAAGGCCAGGAGAGGGGCAGGGCTTTTCCTAAGCAGAGGAGGGGCTATTGGCCTACCTGGGACTCTGTTCTCTTCGCTCTGCTGCTCCCCTTCCTCAAATCAGGAGGTCTTGGAAGCAGCTGCCCCTACCCACAGGCCAGAAGTTCTGGTTCTCCACCAGAGAATCAGCATTCTGTCTCCCTCCCCACTCCCTCCTCCTCTCCCCAGGGACAGTGAGGTCCCAGGCCCCACACCCATGGAACTGGAGGCCGAGCAGCTGCTTGAGCCACACGTGCAAGCGCCCAGCCTGGAGCCCTCGGTGTCCCCACAGGATGAAACAGTAAGTTGGTGGAGGGGAGGGGGTCCGTCAGGGACAATTGGGAGAGAAAAGGTGAGGGCTTCCCGGGTGGCGTGCACTGTAGAGCCCTCTAGGGACTTCCTGAACAGAAGCAGACAGAAACCACGGAGAGACGAGGTTACTTCAGACATGGGACGGTCTCTGTAGTTACAGTGGGGCATTAAGTAAGGGTGTGTGTGTTGCTGGGGATCTGAGAAGTCGATCTTTGAGCTGAGCGCTGGTGAAGGAGAAACAAGCCATGGAAGGAAAGGTGCCAAGTGGTCAGGCGAGAGCCTCCAGGGCAAAGGCCTTGGGCAGGTGGGAATCCTGATTTGTTCCTGAAAGGTAGTTTGGCTGAATCATTCCTGAGAAGGCTGGAGAGGCCAGCAGGAAACAAAACCCAGCAAGGCCTTTTGTCGTGAGGGCATTAGGGAGCTGGAGGGATTTTGAGCAGCAGAGGGACATAGGTTGTGTTAGTGTTTGAGCACCAGCCCTCTGGTCCCTGTGTAGATTTAGAGGACCAGACTCAGGGATGGGGCTGAGGGAGGTAGGGAAGGGAGGGGGCTTGGATCATTGCAGGAGCTATGGGGATTCCAGAAATGTTGAGGGGACGGAGGAGTAGGGGATAAACAAGGATTCCTAGCCTGGAACCAGTGCCCAAGTCCTGAGTCTTCCAGGAGCCACAGGCAGCCTTAAGCCTGGTCCCCATACACAGGCTGAAGTGGCAGTTCCAGCGGCTGTCCCTGCGGCAGAGGCTGAGGCCGAGGTGACGCTGCGGGAGCTCCAGGAAGCCCTGGAGGAGGAGGTGCTCACCCGGCAGAGCCTGAGCCGGGAGATGGAGGCCATCCGCACGGACAACCAGAACTTCGCCAGGTCGGGATCGGGGCCGGGGCCGGGGCCGGGATGCGGGCCGGTGGCAACCCTTGGCATCCCCTCTCGTCCGGCCCGGACGGACTCACCGTCCTTACCTCCCCACAGTCAACTACGCGAGGCAGAGGCTCGGAACCGGGACCTAGAGGCACACGTCCGGCAGTTGCAGGAGCGGATGGAGTTGCTGCAGGCAGAGGGAGCCACAGGTGAGTCCCTCATGTGTCCCCTTCCCCGGAGGACCGGGAGGAGGTGGGCCGTCTGCTCCGCGGGGCGTGTATAGACACCTGGAGGAGGGAAGGGACCCACGCTGGGGCACGCCGCGCCACCGCCCTCCTTCGCCCCTCCACGCGCCCTATGCCTCTTTCTTCTCCTTCCAGCTGTCACGGGGGTCCCCAGTCCCCGGGCCACGGATCCACCTTCCCATGTAAGACCCCTCTCTTTCCCCTGCCTCAGACCTGCTGCCCATTCTGCAGATCCCCTCCCTGGCTCCTGGTCTCCCCGTCCAGATATAGGGCTCACCCTACGTCTTTGCGACTTTAGAGGGCAGAAGCCCTTTATTCAGCCCCAGATCTCCCTCCGTTCAGGCCTCACCAGATTCCCTCCGGGATCTCCCTAGATAACCTCCCCAACCTCGATTCCCCTCGCTGTCTCTCGCCCCACCGCTGAGGGCTGGGCTGGGCTCCGATCGGGTCACCTGTCCCTTCTCTCTCCAGCTAGATGGCCCCCCGGCCGTGGCTGTGGGCCAGTGCCCGCTGGTGGGGCCAGGCCCCATGCACCGCCGCCACCTGCTGCTCCCTGCCAGGGTACGTCCGGCTGCCCACGCCCCCCTCCGCCGTCGCGCCCCGCGCTCCACCCGCCCCTTGCCACCCGCTTAGCTGCGCATTTGCGGGGCTGGGCCCACGGCAGGAGGGCGGATCTTCGGGCAGCCAATCAACACAGGCCGCTAGGAAGCAGCCAATGACGAGTTCGGACGGGATTCGAGGCGTGCGAGTGGACTAACAACAGCTGTAGGCTGTTGGGGCGGGGGCGGGGCGCAGGGAAGAGTGCGGGCCCACCTATGGGCGTAGGCGGGGCGAGTCCCAGGAGCCAATCAGAGGCCCATGCCGGGTGTTGACCTCGCCCTCTCCCCGCAGGTCCCTAGGCCTGGCCTATCGGAGGCGCTTTCCCTGCTCCTGTTCGCCGTTGTTCTGTCTCGTGCCGCCGCCCTGGGCTGCATTGGGTTGGTGGCCCACGCCGGCCAACTCACCGCAGTCTGGCGCCGCCCAGGAGCCGCCCGCGCTCCCTGAACCCTAGAACTGTCTTCGACTCCGGGGCCCCGTTGGAAGACTGAGTGCCCGGGGCACGGCACAGAAGCCGCGCCCACCGCCTGCCAGTTCACAACCGCTCCGAGCGTGGGTCTCCGCCCAGCTCCAGTCCTGTGATCCGGGCCCGCCCCCTAGCGGCCGGGGAGGGAGGGGCCGGGTCCGCGGCCGGCGAACGGGGCTCGAAGGGTCCTTGTAGCCGGGAATGCTGCTGCTGCTGCTGCTGCTGCTGCTGCTGCTGCTGCTGCTGCTGCTGCTGCTGCTGCTGGGGGGATCACAGACCATTTCTTTCTTTCGGCCAGGCTGAGGCCCTGACGTGGATGGGCAAACTGCAGGCCTGGGAAGGCAGCAAGCCGGGCCGTCCGTGTTCCATCCTCCACGCACCCCCACCTATCGTTGGTTCGCAAAGTGCAAAGCTTTCTTGTGCATGACGCCCTGCTCTGGGGAGCGTCTGGCGCGATCTCTGCCTGCTTACTCGGGAAATTTGCTTTTGCCAAACCCGCTTTTTCGGGGATCCCGCGCCCCCCTCCTCACTTGCGCTGCTCTCGGAGCCCCAGCCGGCTCCGCCCGCTTCGGCGGTTTGGATATTTATTGACCTCGTCCTCCGACTCGCTGACAGGCTACAGGACCCCCAACAACCCCAATCCACGTTTTGGATGCACTGAGACCCCGACATTCCTCGGTATTTATTGTCTGTCCCCACCTAGGACCCCCACCCCCGACCCTCGCGAATAAAAGGCCCTCCATCTGCCCAAAGCTCTGGACTCCACAGTGTCCGCGGTTTGCGTTGTGGGCCGGAGGCTCCGCAGCGGGCCAATCCGGAGGCGTGTGGAGGCGGCCGAAGGTCTGGGAGGAGCTAGCGGGATGCGAAGCGGCCGAATCAGGGTTGGGGGAGGAAAAGCCACGGGGCGGGGCTTTGGCGTCCGGCCAATAGGAGGGCGAGCGGGCCACCCGGAGGCACCGCCCCCGCCCAGCTGTGGCCCAGCTGTGCCACCGAGCGTCGAGAAGAGGGGGCTGGGCTGGCAGCGCGCGCGGCCATCCTCCTTCCACTGCGCCTGCGCACGCCACGCGCATCCGCTCCTGGGACGCAAGCTCGAGAAAAGTTGCTGCAAACTTTCTAGCCCGTTCCCCGCCCCTCCTCCCGGCCAGACCCGCCCCCCCTGCGGAGCCGGGAATTCCGAGGGGCGGAGCGCAGGCCGAGATGGGGAATGTGGGGGCCTGCAGAGGACCCTGGAGACGGAGGCGTGCAGAAGCTCAGTCTCGGGGCGGAGGCTTCGCGCCCTTAGTCCTCCTGGACGGCCCGTTACCTTCTGCGTTGTCCCGATGGGGAAACTGAGGCCCTGAGCCAGAAGCACACGCTGGGGGGAGGCAGAAAGCGCGGCCAGAGGCGGAGGGAAAACAAAGGGAGAATCACAGACAGACGGGAGGGGGACGGACACACACAAGGGGACAGAGACCCGAGTGGAGAGCTGGATCTCGCCTTCCCGGCGTGGGGCGCAGGGTCGGCCAGAAAGAAGATCGAGAAGAGCGGGGAGTGGGGGCGAAAAGGGGGGACAGGTGGGGGAGGAGGCTGGGGAAAGCCCGAGGGAGGAAGAGAGGGAGGGAGGAACTTCCCAAAGTTGCAAAACATGGCTACCTTGCCTGCGGAGCCGAGCGCGGGGCCGGCGGCTGGGGGGGAGGCGGTGGCGGCGGCGGCGGCGACCGAAGAGGAGGAGGAGGAAGCGCGCCAGCTCTTGCAGACTTTGCAGGCGGCCGAGGGTGAGGCGGCGGCGGCGGCCGGGGCCGGGGCGGGCGCAGCGGCTGCGGGAGCTGAGGGCCCGGGATCCCCGGGCGTCCCCGGGTCGCCCCCCGAGGCCGCTTCCGAACCGCCCACGGGCCTCCGCTTCTCGCCCGAGCAGGTGGCGTGCGTCTGCGAGGCGCTGCTCCAGGCGGGCCACGCCGGCCGCTTGAGCCGCTTCCTGGGCGCACTGCCCCCGGCCGAGCGCCTACGTGGCAGCGACCCGGTGTTGCGCGCGCGGGCCCTGGTGGCCTTCCAGCGGGGCGAGTACGCCGAGCTCTACCGGCTACTCGAGAGCCGCCCCTTCCCCGCCGCCCACCACGCCTTCCTGCAGGACCTCTACCTGCGCGCGCGCTACCATGAGGCCGAGCGGGCCCGCGGCCGCGCGCTTGGCGCAGTGGACAAGTATCGACTGCGCAAGAAGTTCCCGCTGCCCAAGACCATCTGGGACGGCGAGGAGACAGTCTACTGCTTCAAGGAGCGCTCCCGCGCAGCGCTCAAGGCCTGCTACCGCGGCAACCGCTACCCCACGCCGGACGAGAAGCGCCGCCTGGCCACACTCACCGGCCTGTCGCTCACGCAGGTCAGCAACTGGTTCAAGAACCGGCGACAGCGCGACCGGACCGGGGCCGGAGGCGGCGCGCCCTGCAAGAGGTGAGGGGCCTCGGGCGGCGCAAGTCCAGCTCTCCCGGGGACATCCCGTCCACCAGCCCTCTTCCCCCGTGCCCACTGCTGGGGCCGGCGCGCCGAGGTCCTCGGACATCTCCCGGGACCAGCTCACAATCTCAGGCGCCCGCGGGGCGCGGGGACTAAGTGTGGACGGGACAGGCACCCGCCCGGGCCCTCTCCCCGCACGCGTCTCCTCTTCCAGCGGCTCCATTCCGAGCTCCTTCCCAAATCCCATCGGTGTTGGGGAATCACACTGCGGGGGGCACTAGAGGGACTGAGGAAAAAGGACAGGGCCTGTGGCCACTCCACTCCGCGTAGGGGCTGCCTCCCAGCCCCCTTTCTTCACTGACCGTTACTCTTACCCACCCGCCCCCACACTCCCTCCGGGCCCGGACGGCGTGGTCCGTCTTCTGCCTTTGTTGTGAAACGTGAACCTTTCCCAGCTCCGGTTTCCCTGTAACCCAAACCCTTCTCCTCCCACCCTGAGCGCCGGCCTCTCCCTTCTCTGACGCCCCGCGGGGAGGGCACCGGGAACTGGGCTGGCGGCTGCTGCTCCCTCTCTCCAGGCCACTCGCCCGCTTTCCGCCCAACCAAGGAACTTTTAGGGCAACCTGGGAGCTCAGCCTCTGGGGACCCGAGGCCGAGGTGGGGGAGAGCAAGGGCCTCTTCCCTCCCCAGCGCTTCTCTGCAGTGGTGTCCACGCAGGGCTTGCAAAAGGCCCTGGAGTTTGGAGTGGTCTCAGAGAGGCGTCATAACCCCTGGAATGATCCACCGAAACTTGGGCCAGGGAAAGGTGGGGGAGCAGCTGGCTGGCTATGCGGGAGGCCCCACAGGCTAAGGGACCCCAGCTGACAGCCATTTCTCCGGCCAGCGAGTCTGATGGGAATCCCACGACTGAGGACGAGTCCAGCCGAAGTCCTGAGGACCTGGAGAGAGGGGCGGCCCCAGTGTCCGCCGAGGCCGCTGCCCAGGGCTCCATATTCCTGGCAGGGACCGGCCCTCCCGCGCCTTGCCCGGCTTCCTCCTCCATCCTGGTGAACGGGAGCTTCCTGGCAGCCAGCGGCTCCCCAGCAGTGCTCCTCAACGGGGGCCCCGTCATCATCAACGGCCTGGCCCTGGGCGAGGCCTCCAGCCTGGGCCCGCTGCTGCTCACTGGGGGCGGGGGTGCCCCTCCACCGCAGCCCAGCCCTCAGGGGGCCAGCGAGACCAAGACCTCTCTGGTCCTGGACCCTCAGACAGGGGAGGTGCGGCTGGAGGAGGCTCAGTCGGAGGCCCCTGAGACCAAAGGGGCCCAGGTGGCTGCTCCGGGACCAGCCCTTGGAGAGGAGGTCCTGGGGCCCCTGGCCCAAGTGGTGCCTGGCCCCCCGACGGCTGCCACCTTTCCTCTGCCCCCGGGGCCAGTGCCTGCTGTGGCTGCCCCACAAGTGGTACCGCTCTCCCCACCCCCGGGGTATCCCACGGGCCTGAGCCCCACCTCCCCACTATTGAACCTGCCCCAGGTAGTACCCACCTCACAGGTGGTGACCCTGCCCCAGGCTGTGGGGCCCCTGCAGCTGTTGGCAGCCGGGCCAGGCAGCCCTGTGAAGGTGGCAGCTGCAGCAGGCCCTGCCAATGTGCACCTCATCAACTCCGGGGTGGGCGTGACTGCCCTGCAGCTGCCTTCGGCCACTGCCCCAGGTACCCCCATCTCCCTCCCTCAGGCCTAGGTGAGAGCCGGGGAGGGGTGCAGTCATCTCGGAGAGGGAGGGGCTGTCCCTGGGCTCCTGGAGGGCATCTCATCCCTGGCAAGTCCCAGTGCCCCAAGGCCCACCACAAGGCTCCCTCCGCCCGCCCTCCAGCTGCACAGTCTCCACTTCTCTCTGGCTTGGCCTGCTCTCCTGGCTCTCACCTGCGCTCGGTCCCTCTCTCCCCACAGGAAACTTCCTCCTGGCCAACCCTGTGTCTGGCAGCCCCATCGTGACGGGTGTGGCCCTGCAGCAGGGCAAGATCATCCTCACCGCCACCTTCCCCACCAGCATGCTCGTCTCCCAGGTCCTGCCGCCAGCCCCCGGCCTGGCCCTGCCACTGAAGCCAGAGACGGCCATCTCCGTGCCTGAGGGAGGCCTCCCGGTGGCCCCCAGCCCTGCTCTCCCAGAGGCTCACGCCCTAGGCACCCTTTCTGCACAGCAGCCACCCCCCGCCGCTGCCACCACCTCCAGCACCAGCCTGCCCTTCTCCCCTGACTCCCCTGGCCTCCTGCCCAACTTCCCGGCGCCCCCACCAGAGGGGCTGATGTTGTCACCCGCGGCCGTGCCTGTCTGGTCAGCAGGGCTGGAACTAAGCGCAGGAACAGAGGGGCTGCTGGAAGCGGAAAAGGGGCTGGGGACACAGGCCCCCCACACCGTGCTGAGGCTGCCAGACCCCGACCCTGAGGGGCTGCTCCTGGGGGCCACCGCAGGGGGTGAGGTTGACGAGGGGTTGGAAGCTGAGGCCAAGGTTCTGACCCAGCTCCAGTCGGTGCCTGTGGAGGAGCCCTTGGAACTGTGACCCAGTGTGGCCCCGTGGCCTCTCCCGACATTGGTGCTGAAGACGCAGGGACAGGAATGGGAGGGGGGAGCCCCAGAAATGCGGTTGCTGAAGACCCCAGTCACCACATCCTTCTGCCTGGGTGGCCTCTCCAAGCCCTGGTGGTGCTGGGGGTTGTATCCCCGGCCACCTCCTGTCCAGGTCTCCATCCCCCTTTGGATGGGAGGCCTCTCTGTTACAGCCCTCCCCATGCTGTGCCCTGCCATATACGTGGGGGACTCAGGGTCCTGACTCAGGGGCCCTGCCCCCTCCACTTGGTACTAGCTGTAAGCGGAACACCCTGCCCCAGGGCCGGACTTCCAGCCCCCAGAGCCCTCTCCCTGTCACTCCCTGAAACACTATTAATAGCTCTGCCGATAGCTGGTGTTGTCACAACTGCCTGGAATCCGAAGGTGGAGGACAGGCAGCCCCGCGCCCCTGAGACTGGAGACCCTCCCCAGTGTGGCATTTCCTGCCAGGGGCGGGGGGTGGGGCAGCTGTGGGGAGACGGGGGTCTTCCTTCACCAGCTCCCCTCGACTCAAGCCCTTGTCCTCATTATCCGGCCCAGACCAAAGATTCCCTCATCCCTGGGGGCAGCCCTGCCGCTGTGTCTCCTTTGTATCCTAAATCTTTATTTTTCTAGGACATGTTATGCCTCCATTTTCAATTAAAATAAAGTTATCGGATTACACCACCACCAGGGGTCTGGGGTGCCTTCCAGTGTCTGTCCAAAGCAGCGCTGAACACAGAGCCCACCTCGAGACCTGGCCTTCCCATTGCTGCCTCCCGAGGGGAAGAGGGGTTTGCATTCAGATGCACAGAGTGGCTGGGGAGGGGGTGGCACTGAGGCCTCTTGCAAGCCACAGGCCTCCAGATGAGGGTGGACGGAGCACCCCAGTGGGGCAGCAGGGGGACGCAGGAGGGCCTGCCCTTGTCTCTCTTGCTGGTAACAAAGGTTCCACTTGCTTTATTTTATTTAAAACAATAAATAGTCTAAAAATAGAACAGGAGAGGGAGGAGTAGGGTGAGGTGAGCATGAACAGGGTTGCAACCGAGTGGCTCTGGGGTGGGGAAGGGAAGGGGAGAGGGGTGGGTAAACTTCACCTTCCGACACCCCGCATTTCATTTTGGGTTTCCTTCCTAAGCCTGGGGGAGAATCAAGGCAGCTGTGGGTGACTCTGGTGCTCCAGGCAAATGTGCCCAGCGGTTGGGGCTAATCAGTGCCCCCCTCCCCAGTCCCATGGGACCTGCATTCTCAGGGGCTGGAGGCCCAGGAGGGACAAGTTCATCGATGGGTCCTGGCTTCCAGCAAGAGCCGCGGTTGCCATGAGGGGTGAGGGGAGCGAGGCGAGGGGCCGCCCTCTCACTGGAGGTGCGGGGGCAGCGGCAAGGCCTTCTCGGCCAGCAGCTGGTAGAAGGGCTTTGGCGTCTCCCAGTCCTCAGCCTCGCTGCTGGAGCCGTCCTGCTTCACGATGCGGTTGTGCTGGCGGCTGAACCTGCGAGCCTTGGTGCTGGGGAGACGGTGGCAGGATGGCCTGGCTTCCTCACTCGCCTCCCGGGCATCCCTGTACCACTCCCAATCCTGTGTCCCCGCAGGGGCCTGGGCCACCGTTTTAGCCTCTATTGGGCGAGCCTTGGGTCCACCAAGTCCCAGTCAGTAAGATGGGACTCGGCCAAGGGCTCTGGGATGTGTTCAAAGTCAGGAGCCAGGGCAGGTGGCAGCTCCTTGAAGGTGGAGGGGACAGGATTCGGGGGAGTCGAGGTGGCCAAGCGACAGGAAAATCAGACCACGCCCCGAGAAAGTCGTGTGGCAGAGACAGCAAAAGAATTGAGGCAGGGGTCCATGTCTGGGCTCAGCTGTTCCCCAGCTTAGCTGTGGTGGGGTACCCCTACACCTGTGTCACCCCCAAGGGTTTCATAAGAAGGGGCAACACGCAAATTCCTCGGCCCAGTCTCCCATGCCATGACACCCAAGGCTCCAGAGACAGAGCAGGGTTCCGGGGTAGGGAGGCTCTTCCACCCCCCACCCACACCTCGGGGCCGGAGCCTCTCACCAGTATGGCCTCCGCTCCTGCTGGGTCATCACCCGCCACAGCTGGGCCAGCTCCTTGGTGGCAGCTGTGGAAGCGGTTCCAGGGCAGGATCTGGGACAGGAAGGAGGAGGAGGTAAGGAGAGGTCTGCAGGACACCCTGACTGAGAACTCAGACCCTTCCTAGCCTTGTGGGTCTACAAGGCCTCCAAGACCACCCTCTGGAGCTGAGGAGGCAGAGGGAGCTGGACTCAGCGGCTGTTCACAAGGGGGCACCTGGTGTCCCAGGAGAGTGCAGGGGACCTGTGGGCACCGCTCCTGGCCCCCACATCTGGATCTTCCTGTAAAGGAACTAGCTGTTTTCCACTGTGGCTTGGGGGGGGCCTCCCCATCCCCTGGCTCCAGGCCTGGCAGTGACTGGTTCAGGGTTGGCACCGGATCTACCAAAGTCAGTCCCAAGGACTTTGCTTAAAACCTTAGAGACCTCTCCTCCTCCCGGGGTCGCTTGGGTGGGGGACAGGACCCGAGCCTGTGCCTCCTGGGGTGACCCCACCTGCCAGAGAATGAAGCCAGCCCGGAAGACAGAGGAACTGGGTGAAAAGGACAAAGATTCCAGACAGCCTGTGTGAGCCCTAAAACCAGCTATGTCTCAAGGCAGTCTATACCCGCCCTTGTTTTCTAGGTTATATAAGCCAATTCATTTTCTTTTCTTGCTGGGCCTGATGGCTCACACCTGTAATCCCAGCAATTTGAGAGGCCGAGGCAGGCAGATCACTTGAGGTGAGGCATTCGAGACCAGCCTGGCCAACATGGTGAAACCCTGTCTCTACTAAAAATACAAAAATTAGCTGATGGCGCGCCTGTTATCCCAGCTACTCAGGAGGCTGAGGCAGGAGAATCTGAGAGGCAGAGGTTGCAGTGATTTGAGCCCGGGAGGCAGACATTGCAGTGAGCTGTGATTGTGCCACTGCACTACAGCCTGGGCAATAGAGTGAGACTCTGTCTCAAAAAACAAAACAAAACAAAAAAAACTCCTTTTTTTCTGAAGTCTAAAGCCTGAATTGGGTTTCAGCGCTGACAATGGATGGACCCTGTCCAATACAATGGGGCCGGGTTCAGTTCTGGGGAAGAACTGTGGTCCACGAAGGGTTTGTGGGGTCTCGGAGGGGGAAAAAGTGTCAGACAGTTGTGAGGAGCGGCATGGCCAGGCTGCGGGCAGAGAACGAAGCCAGGGCCTTCCCCAGGGCCAAAGACGACCCCCTACCCACCGGATGTACTGCTTCCGGTTCATCCTGCAGAACATGATGAAGCCGTTGACACACTTCTTCTTCATCTGGGGTGGGCAGGGGCCTTTCTTCTTCTCCTTGGGCTTCACAGGGGCCCTGGCTACTTGGCCCTTCGTGGCCTTTTTCTCAGCTGCCAGCAGGGGTGAGGCCAGCCGGGTGGGGGTCCATGTGGTGTCTTCGTCCTCTTCGCTGGAGCCCGGCGTGCCCACAGGGTTGGCCTGCATATCCTGGGGGAGGGAGAGGGTGGTGAGAGAGGAAGGAGGCCCTGCTGGCCCTGGCATGCGGCCGTGTCTCTCACCTCTCGCTGCTTCCACAGGGGCTCCGAGTCGCTGTCCTCCGAGCTGGAGCTGGAGCTGGAGCTGGAGCTGGAGCTGGATGGCGCCTTGCTGTTCCCGCTCAGCGAGAGGTAGCAGTGGTCCAGCGAGACTGAGGACCGGTGCAGGCTGTGGGACTCAGGAGGGTCTTTGGGGGCCTTGGAGGCTGTGTCCTGGGGCATGATGAGGGAGAAAGATGGGAGGGGAGACAAGTGGTGCCCCTTCATCCCCCCAGTACTGCTTTTCTAGGACATAACATGAGCATTAGCAGCAGCTCAGATTGGCAGGGTGTGGTGGCTTACGCCTGTAACCCCAACACTCTGGGAGGCTGAGGCAGGAGGACTGCTTGAGGCCAGGAGTTACAGACCAGCCTGGGCAACATAGAGAGACCTTGTTCTACAAAAAAAAAAAAAAAAAAAAAAAAAAAATAGGCCAGGCGCAGTGGCTCATGCCTGTAATCTCAGCACTTTCGGAGGCTGAGGCAGGAGGATCACCTGAGGTCAGGAGTTCAAAACCAGCCTGGCCAACATGGCGAAACTCTGTCTAAAAATACTAAAAAATTAGCCAGGTATGTTGGTGGGCGCCTGTAGTCCCAGCTACTCTGGAGGCTGAGGCACAAGAATCGCTTAAATCCAGGAGGCGGAGGTTGCAGTGAGCCGAGATCGTACCACTGCACTCCAGCCTGGGTGACAGAGTGAGACTCTGTCTCAAAAAAAAAAAAAGAAATTGAATTAAGTTAAATTTAAAAATAATTTAAAAAACCAGCTGGGCATGGTGGTGTGGGAGGGTCATTTGAGCCCAGGAGTTCAAGGCACTGATCTATGATGGTGACACTGCACTCCAGCCTGGGCAACAAAGCAAGACCCTGTCTTTCTTTCTTTCTTCCTTTCTTTTCTTTTTTTTCTTTTCTTTCTTTTTTTTTTTTTTGAGACGGAGTCTTACTCTTGTCCCTCAGGCTGGAGTGCAATGGCACCATCTCAGCTCCATTCTCCACCTCTTGGGTTCAAGTGATTCTCCTGCCTCAGACTCCTGAGTAACTGGGGTTACAAGTGCCCACCACCACGCCCAGCTAATTTTGTATTTTTAGTAGAGAGGGGGTTTCATCATATTGGTCAAGCTAGGTTTAAACTCCTGACCTCAGGTGATCTGCCCGCCTCAGCCTCCCAAAGTGCTAGAAGTATAGGCATGAGCCACCACGCCCGGCCACACCCTGATAATTTCTTTTTCTTTTTCTTTTCCTTTTTTGAGACTGGGTTTCGCTCTTGTTGCCCAGGCTGCAGTCCAACGGTGCCATCTTGGCTTACTGCAACCCCCGCCTCCCAGGTTTAAGCGATTCTTCTGCCTCAGCCTCCTGAGTAGCTGGGATTACAGGCACGTACCACCACACCCGGCTAATTTTGTATTTTTAGTAGAGATAGTATTTCGCCATGATGGCCAGACTGGTTGGTCTCCAACTCCTGACCTCAGGTGATCTGCCCTCCTCGGCCTCCCAAAATAGTGGGATTACAGGCGTGAGCCACCACGCCCGGACACTTCTTGTATTTTTAGTAGAAATGGGGTTTCCCCATGTTGGCCAGGCTGGTCTTGAACTCCTGATCTCAGGTGATCCGCCTACGTCAGCCTCTCAAACTGCTGAGATTACAGGTGTGAGCCACCGCGCCCAGCTTAGTCTTTTGATTTCAATTTCCTTATCTGTAAAATGGGGCCACAGGAGACCCTGCTTCGTAGAGTAGTTGTAAAATGATGTGGGAAGCTGGGCACGGTGGCTCACACCTGTAATCCCAGCACTCTAGGAGGCCAAGGTGGGCGGATCACTCGAGGTCAGGAGTTGGAGACCAGCCTGGCCAACATGGTGAACCCCCATCTCTACTAAAAATACACAATTAGCCGGGTGTGGTGACAGGCACCTGTAATCCCAGCTACTAGGGGGGCTGAGGCAGGAGAATTGTTTGAACCCGGGAGGCGGAGGTTACAGTGAGCCGAGATCGCACCACTGCACCCCAGCCTGGGCGACAACAGGGAAACTCAGTCTAAATAAAATAAAATAAAATAAAATAAAATAAATGAATAAAATGATGTGAGTTTTCTTTTCTATGGGCACCTGGCAGCTTTTATCCTTTTTTATCCATTTTGTCCAATTCGTTCCACGTGCCCAGCACAGAGCCGGCATCTGGTGGCCACCAGTGAGCGCAGAGAGGGTCGGGGGGCGGTTTTAAGGATGAGGAGACGCATGAGTGGAAGGACAGATGGGTAGATGGTGGCTGAAAGGGTGAGGGAGTGGATGAGTGAATGAAGCCATGAGTGACGTGTGTGGAAAGACGGATGGATGTGTCTGTGGACAGAGGGGCAGAGGATGTCTACCTTTTCCTGTGGAGCCTCCTGCGTGTAGGCTGAAGGTGAAGACTCCAGATCTAAGCACACTTCTTCAAAGAAAGCCGCTAGGGAGGGAGACCAGAGGGGCAGCCAGAGTGGAAATGCTTCTCCCACACCGCCCAGCTTCAGCCACACCGTCCCTGCTAGCCGGAGTCCCCGTCTCTGGCGTTCTCCTTCAGGATCTCCCACCCTAGGTCCAAATCCCGCTCACAGCCCACTCCCCTGGGTCACCTCCAACACACAGAGTGAGCTCAAGTCCTGCTATGGGCTTCTAAAGCCACCCATGCACCACACCAGCCTGTGGCTGCTCCCCCACTAGGCCGTGGGCTCCTTGAGGCAGGGCCAGGGCAGGATTCACCCCGGGCACCCAGGATGGCCCAGCGCAGGCCTGGGCACCGTATGTTTCCCGAATGAACTAAGCATCAGGGCCAGGCCTGGGCCTCACCTTGGGTCAGGTACTCCATGTCATCCTCCAAGATCTCGTCTGGCAGCAGTTTCCCTGGGGAGCTGAAAAGGCTAGGGCTGAGCCCGAGGATCTCACTTGGGTGGCCTGTTCCACTCCAGACATCAATCTGGGGAGGCCCCAGGAACAGTGGGCTCCCTGGAAAGGGAACAGCAGACTCAGGGGTGTGGCCAGAGATCACCCTCTGCCCTAGCACAGCAGCTGGCATTGAGGAGATAGTGCCTGATGCTACGGAAAGCGAATCTCAGTTTCTCATTTTGAATTCTTGATCACAGAAATGAAGAGGCAGCCGGCTGCGATGGCTCACGCCTGTAACCCAGCACTTTGGGAGGCCAAGGTGGGCGGATCATTTGAGATCAGGAGTTCAAGACCAGCCTGGCTAACATGGTGAAACCCCGTCTCTACTAAAAAATACAAAACTTAGCTGGGGGTAGTGGCACGTGCCTGTAATCTCAGTTACTCAGGAGGCTGAGGAAGGAGAATCGCTTGAACCCAGGAGCAGAGGTTGCAGTGAGCCGAGATCGTGCCACTGCACTCCAGCCTGGGTGACAGAGTGAGACCCTGTCTCAAAATTTAAAAAAAAAAGAAGAAGAAATGAAGCAAAATGATGTTTGGCATTATGTCAGGGATGGCCAAAAAAAAAGAAAAATCAATATCATAATGTGCAAAGTCCCATAGGCTGATTATAACTACCTGCAGCTCTGCAACAAGAAAGATTCTGAGGTCAGATGCGGGGGCTCACGCCTATAATCCCAGCGCTTTGGGAGGCCGAGGCAGGTGGATCACCTGAGGTCAGGAGTTCGAGACCAGCCTGGCCAACACGGTGAAACCCTGTCTCTACTAAAAATATAAAAATTTGCTAGGCGTGGTGGTGCACACCTGTAATCCCAGCTACTCAGAGGCTGACACAGAATCACCTGATCCTGGGAGGCAGAAGTTGCAGTGAACTGAGATAGTGCCACTGCACTCTAGCCTGGGAGACAAGAGTGAAACTCCGTCTCAAAAAAAAAAAATGGATTCTGAGGTCGGGAGCAGGGGCACGTGCCTGTAATCCCAGCACTTTGAGAAGCTGAGGCAGGACGATCCCTTGAGTCCAGGAATTGGAGGCCTCAGTGAGCTGTGATTGCGCCACTGCACTCCAGCCTCAGGGCGAGAACTTGTCTCAAAAGAAAAAACAAAACAAAAACACAAAAAGAGTTCGGAGGGGTGGTTCATGCCTGTAATCCCAACACTTTGGGAGGCTGAGGCGGGCAGATCACCGTAGGTCAGGAGTTTGAGACCAGCCTGGCCAACATGGTGAAACCCCATCTCTACTAAAAATACAGAAATTAGCTGGGCATGGTGGTGGGCACCTGTAATCCCAGCTACTCGGGAGGCTGAGGCAGGAGAATCACTTGAACCCAGCAGACAGAGGTTGAAGTGAGCTGAGACTGCGCCACTGTACTCCAGCTTGGACGACAGAGTGAAACCCTATCTCAAAAAAGAAAACAAACAAACCAAAAAGACCCAGAATGATTCTGAGGCCATGTCTGGGCTCAAGGAAAGAGTGGTGATTGATTGTCAAGCCTCCGTGGCAGCGGTGGCGGAGAGCTGGCAGGTGCACTGTGTGTTTGCCTTCCCTGTGCTTAGGGGATCTCCATTCCCTTTCCCGCCTCCTCTCTTCCATAGACATCCTCAGACTGAAAGTATGGGAAGGCCCACACCAGCCTACAAGGAGGAGAGACAGAGTTGCAGTCACCTTGGGGGCTGTTCTCTGGGGTCCAGGCAGGGAGCCAAGGGTCAGCGTCTAGGGACCCTTTGTCCACATCCTCGCTGGAATCATAGAACACCAGCTTCTGCCTGCAAGAGGTGGAGTTTCAGAGTCAGACTCACAGACTCTGGGCTAGAAACTGCTATGGGGCCCCTTTGGCACTCTGCACTGGCCCCTGGGGGAGTGCTGGGGGTGTAAAGCTCAGTCAGTCGAGGCTCCCATCCTCAGGGAGCTTACAGTCTCATGAGGATAGCCCAGCCCGTAAGCAGTGCTGTGACCGAGGGCGCTGGAGGATGATGAGCCAGTGGAGAGCAGTGGGCTCAGCCTGAGGGATGGGCAGTTTTCCAGGGGCACAGGGAAGCAGGCTATCCAGGAAGAAGTACTGGAATGTGAGAAGCTCAGAGGGGCTGGCGCAGGGCTTCTGGGGAATGGCAAATGTGTGGCAGTGTGAAGTATAAGAGTCATGGGTGAAGGGCAGGAGAGAGGGCTGACGAGGTGAGTTGGGGGCCACTGAAGGTCTCAAAGGCCAGGTGAAATATCCGGGCCGGGTGCAGTGGCCCATACCTATAATCCCAGCACTCTGGGAGGCTGAGGTGGGAGGATTGCTTGAGCCTACGAGTTCAAGACCAGCCTAGGCAACATAGGGGGACCTCATTTCTACAAAAAATAAACATAAAAAAATTAGCTGGGTGTGGTGGTGTGCACCTGTGGTCCCAGCTACTCAGGAAGCTGAGGCAGGAGGACTGCTTGAGCCCTGAAGGTTGAGGCGGCAGTGACCTATGATTGTGCCACTGCTCTCTGGCCTGGGCGACAGAGTGAGACCCTGTCTCAAACAAACAAACAAACAAAAATATTGGACTCTATGCTGCAGGCCTGAGGAAGGGCTTTAAGCCACAAACTCCGTGGTCAACGTCTCTGTGTTGGAAAAGCCATGTGGTCACATGAGGATGGGATGGAGGGGCAACAGGTGAGGCAAAGAGACTGGTGAGGAAGCTGTGACCATGTCTGGGAAATGGGAAGTCAGGCTTTCCTGCGAGCTCACAATGGCAGACACAAAGCTGGGCCTCCATTGGTGCTCAAGGGGCACCCGCAGAGGACGTGACTTGGCCTGTCTTCCCACTACCCCTCACCCACGCCAGACCAAACCCCTCAGCACCACTCACTCAGTGCCCTGGGGACGCCCTTACCTGGGATGGGGCTGGGTCTTGTTGAGAAAATGGATCCTCGCCACATCTTCCTGAGCCAGGAGCGCAGGGAAAGGTGCGTCATCCTGGACACTGCCCTGGCACCAGCAGCCTAAGGGGCAGATCAGGATGACCATGCCTGGGGACTGGACCAAATTCCAGGAAGCCCAGAAGCAGGGGACAAAGGGGTGCCAGCTTCTGCCACACACCCTCTCACTCCCCAATCCTAGCCCAAACCTCAGGATGCAGGGTGTCACGTTGGTGTGAGGCTGAGGGGTGCCCCAAATCACCCCTGGGTTTTTTGAATCCCACATCCCTATCAGAAGCTGTAATGGGGGCTGGGCACCGTGGCTCATACCTGTAACCCCTGCACTTTGGGAGGCTGAGGCGGTGGATCACGAGGTCAGGAGTTCAAGACCAGCCTGGCCAACACGGTGAAACCCCGTCTCTACTAAAAATACAAAAATTAGCCGGGCATGGGTGCGGGCGCCTGTCCCAGCTACTCAGGAGGCTGAGGCAGAGAATTGTTTGAACCTGGGAGGTAGAGGTTGCAGTAGCCGAGAGTGCACCACTGCACTCCAGCATGGGCGACAGAGCAAGACTTTGTCTCAAAACAAACAAAAAACTCTAATGGGCCCGGCACAGTGCCTCACACCTGTAATCCCAGCACTTTGGGAGGCCAAGGTGGGCGATCACCTGAGATCAGGAGTTCAAGACCAGCCTGGTCAATATGGCAAAACCCTGTTTGTACTAAAAATACAAAAATTAGCTGGGCGTGGTGGTGCGCGCCTGTAATCCCAGCTACTCGTGAGACTGAGGCAGGAGAGTCGCTTGAATCCAGGAGGCAGAGGTTGCAGTGAGCCGAGATTGTACCACTGCACTCCAGCCTGGGCGACAGAGCAAGACTCCATCTCAAAAAAAAAAAAAAAAAGAAAAGGCTGAATGAACAAATAGAGGAACGAGATGACTTGAGGCCTCAAAGCCTCGAGCTCCGACCTCCCTCCCTCTGGCCTAGCTCTCTGCTTGAAAGCATCACCACACGTTTTCCAAACCAGTGCAGTGACTGGGGCATGGGAGAGCCAAGTGAGGCCTGAGGCGGAGGCCCTGCCCTCCTCCCTGGTTCTGTGATGGGAAGCCCACACAAGACAATGACGCTGATCTCATCCCCCCATTACAGCCACGACACAGCCTGAGATGAAGACCACCAGAGCAAGGCCACAAGCTTGAGAAGTAAGAGGCGGTGTTTCCTATTCACTGCTGCAGCCCCCACTACGGGTACTGTGTCTGGGACACAGCAGGTGCCCCCAGAGTGGCATCTTACTGAAAGACTAAGTTCAGAGTGAGGAAAGAGACCCACTTGAGATGTCACAGTGGATGGTGTCCTCGGCCAGATCCAACAGCGTCAGCTGGGACTGTCCTCCTTTTCTGTCACCTGGAGGTGAGGATGATGCAGGCCTCGGGTGACCGCAGGAGTCAGGGCACCTTGGAGGGGTAGTGGTCCCCCCTGTGCCACTTCCTTTCTGGTCTGGGGATGGGGCCACCAGCTTCTCAGGCTTGTTCAGGGCCAGAGAGCGGCGAGGCTTCGGGGTCCGAGTCTGGCTTTCTGGGGGAGCAGAGGTTCAGGTGTCAGAGGGGCCTGGGAGTCACCTGCCTGTCACCAGAATAGGGTTCAGGTGGGAAACATCCTTGTCAGTGTCAAAGCTATGCCTGGCCTGGTATGGGAATGCCCAGATCCTCAATCACAGGCCTCTTTGTTCAACCCCTGTCCACCTGTCAGAATCATCTTGCGACCTTTAAAAAACACTGGCCAGGCGCAGTGGCTCATGCTTGTAATCCCAGCGCTTTGGGAGGCCGAGGCAGGCAGATTACTTGAGGTCAGGAGTTCAAGACCAGCCTGGCCAACATGGCGAAACCCTGTCTCTACTAAAAATACAAAAATTAGCTGAGCATGGTGGCACATGCCTGTAATCCCAGCTACTCATGAGGCTGAGGCAGGAGAATCGTTTCAACCTGGGAGGCAGAGGTGGCAGTGAGCTGTGTCACTGTACTCCAGCCTGGTGGACAGAGTGAGAGTCTCTCTCAAAAAAAAAATACTGATGCCCAGGTTCTGCCATAGACCAGTGAACCCCAAGTTTCCGGGTGTGAGGCCTCAGTGCTAATACAAGGAGGAGCTGGGAGTTGAACCCCGGCACAGGGTGCTGAGAAGGCCCCCAGAGTAAGGACATCCCTGGAGAAGGAGCCCTGCTCCTGGGTGACCTGGGCTTCTAGTTCTGCCTCCAGTGACAGCTTGTACCTGATGCCTGGGTCAGCTTCTTCTTCCGAGGCTTCTGGCACGCCCCCTGGAGACAGGACTTCTGAGAGCTTGGGGAGCTGGAGGGGGTAGAGTGTCTCCTCCGCCTGGCTGGGCCCCAGGCTGGTTTCTGACCCAGCCCTGCAGGGATGGAGAGGGAAACAGCTCAGATCCCCCACCCCATCTGCATCCAACTGCAGTTCCTGCCTTCCAGACAATGCTCCTCAGTCCCGGGTCAGGGTGGGCCCCCAGGCTGACTTTACAGTGTGGAAACTGAGGGCTTATCCAAGGCCGCTCAGTCAGGACTGTGAAAGTAGAGGGCAAGAACTCAGGTTTCTTCAGGGCTGTTTTGGGCCTTGGCTCAGTGGGAGAATGGAATCAACACTTCCCCAGACTGGGCACCTTGAGGATGCTTCACCCTCTCCCCGCCCACACCAGTACCTCCTCCCGCCTTCCTCAACACAGTGAGGGTCTCCTAGCCGACCCCCTCAAGGTCACTGGGGCCTTTCCCTCTGGCCTCTCGATTCTTCCTCATTAACATCTTCTAGGTTTACTCACTTCTATCCACATTCTCATCTACAGCGCTAGCTTGGGCCTAATTGTCCCGTCTAGATCACTCCGAACAGTGTCTTTCCTCATCTCCCTGACTCCAGTCTCTCACTTCATGACCAGTCCTCAACACTACATGTCAGGGACAAAAATTAGCTGGGTGTGGTGGCGGGTGCCTGTAATCCCAGTTACTTGGGAGGCTGAGGCAGGAGAATCGCTTGAACCCAGGGGGTGGAGCTTGCAGTGATCCGAAATTTCGCCACTTCACTCCAGCCTGGGCGAAAAGAGCGAGACTCCGCCTCAGAAAAAAAAAAAAAAAAAAAGAAGAAGAAACTATCTGAGTAAGAGCTTGCAGGCATGAGAAGACACGCGCGGGGTGTCTGGGGACAGGCAAGTCATTGGGTGTGATTGGAGGTCTGCGTGGCATGGAGATGATGTGTGTGGGCTCTGAGCCAGGCCCTGACTCAGGCTCATCTCTGTGACCTTAACCTCTCTGGGCTTCAGTTCCATCACCTGCAAAACAGGACCACATTAGCTTTTCCCTTCGGTATTTGTCCTGACGATTAAATGTGAGTTAATACATAGAAACAAGTCAGGCTTGGTGGCCCACTCCTATAATCCCAGCACTTTGGGAGGCCAAGGCGGGAGAATTGCTTAAGCCCAGGGGTTTAAGACCAGCTTGGGCAACACAGTGAGACTCTGTCTCTACAAAAAAACAAACAAAAATATTAGCCAGAGCCAGGCACGATGGCTCACATCTGTCATCCCAGCACTTTAGGAGGCTGAGATGGGTGGATCACTTGAGGTGATACCAGCTTGGCGACCACGGCAAAATCCTGTCTCTACTAAAAATATAAAAATTAGCTGGGTGTGGTGGCGGGCGCCTGTAGTCCCAGCTACTTGGGAGGCTGAGGCAGGAGAATGGCTTGAACCTGGGAGGCAGAGCTTGCAGTGAGCTGAGATCACGCCACTGCACTCTAGTCTGGGCGACAGAGAGAAACTCCATCTCAAAAAAAAGAAAATTATCTGGATATTGGTGGCACGTGCCTGTAGTACAAGCTGCTTAGAAGTCTGCGGCAGGAGGATTGCTTGACCCCTGGAGTTTTGAGTCCTGGGATTTTGAGGTTACAGTGAGCCATGATCATGCCACTGCATTCCAGCCTGGGTGACAGAGTGAGACCTTGTCTCAAAAAAAAAAAAAAAAAAAAACGGCTAGGAGCAGGGGCTCACAGCTGTAATCCCAGCACTTTGGGAGGCCAAGGTGGGTGGATCACCTGAGGTCAGGAGTTTGAGACCAGCCTGGCCAATATGGTGAAACACCGTCTCTACTAAAAATACAAAAAAATTAGCTGGGTGTGGTGGTGAGTGCCTGTAATCCTACCTACTCGGGAGGCTGAGGCAGGAGAATCACTTGAACTTGGAAGGCAGAGGTTGCGGTGAGCCAAGATCACGCCACTGCACTCCAGCCTGCGCAACAAGAGCTAAACTCTGCCTCAAAAAAAAAAAAAGAAAGAAAGAAACATACCACAGCACCTGGAACATAGCAGTCCCCTAAGGCTAGATGTGCTGGGTGCTGTCGCTGTTACTGTAGTGTAAAATATACTGGCAGAGGCCCGGGAGGCAGAGGTCGCAGTGAGCAGAGATCACGCCACTGCACTCCAGCCTGGGTGACAGAGTGATACTCCGTCTCAAAAAACACACAAAAAACAAAAAACAAAACAAAACAAAAAGCACAAATAAATAAATAAAATACGCTGGCAGAATGGTAGGAGATGAGGCTGGGGAGGTTTGGCAGGGACTAGGAAGGCAGGGATGAGATCCCAAATGGTTTCCAGCACCTGGCTATGGAGGGAAGTGAAGAAGATGAAAATTACTGAGGGATTTTATGCCAGGGGAAGGTCATGATCAGATTTATTTTATTTTATGTATATATTATTATTATTATTATTATTATTATTATTATTATTATTTGAGACACAGTCTTGCTCTGTTGCCCAGGCTAGGGTGCAGTGGCGTGATCTCGGCTCACAGCAACCTCCGCCTCCCAGGTTCAAGTGATTCTCCTGCCTCAACCTCCCAAGTAGCTGGGATTACAGGCGCCAGCCACCACACCAGCTAATTTTTGTATTTTTAGTAGAGACGGGGTTTTGCCATGTTGGCCAGGCTGGTCTCGAACTCCTGACCTCAAGCGATCCGCCCGCCTCGGCCTCCCAAAGTGCCGGGAGTACAGGCATCAGCCACTGTGCCCGGCCTGTTTCTTCTGCCTGGCTGGGCTTCCCTGCATCTCCTACAGTCCTGAAGGCCCAGCTCCAAGGCCCCTCTTCTCTGAGGCATCTTGCATATCTCTCTTTGTCCCCTATACCAGGCCTTGACAGAAGGGTCACTCAGTATCCCTGATGGCTGGAACAACACTTGGAACATCACAGGCACCAGGAAACACTGGCTGAACTACTTACCCGCAAGTCCACCTTCCCCAGTGGTGATGTGGCATTTGAACAAGGCCTTGGCGGCATCGATGTTTCTCTGGAGGTACTGAATGTACTGCAGGACATGCACCAGAATCTCCTTCTGCCTCAAAAGAAAGACAGGGTTGGCCAGGCTCACGCCTGTAATCACAGCACTTTGAGAAGCCGAGGTGGGCGGATCATGAGGTCAGGAGTTCGAGACCAGCCTGGCCAGCATGGTGAAACCCCGTCTCTACTAAAAATACAAAAAATTAGCTGGGTGTGGTGGCACATGCCTGTAATGCCAGCTACTTGAGAGGCTGAGGCAGGAGAATTGCTTGAACCCGTGAGGCGGAGGTTGCAGTGAGCCAAGATCACGCCGTTGCACTCCAGCCTGGGCAACATAGCGAGACTCTGTCTCAAAAAAAAAAAAAAAAAGAAAAAGAAAAAGAAAGAAAGAAAGACAGGGTTGAGCACAACAGCCAGGGCTCAAGACAATGTGGGGCTGCTGGGGACCAGAGACACAGCCTGAAGCAAAGGTTGCAGTGAGCTGAGATCATGCCACTGCACTCCAGCCTGTAGCTGTAGCCCCTGTCTCACTGGTCTGCAGTGAGGGCTAGATAGCAGAACAAGAAGGTCTCTGCCGACTGAAGAATTGTTGGGGTGGGTGGGGAATGGGGTCCTTCCTGGAGCCTCTGTGTCTCTGGTCCCCAGCAGCCCCACGTTGTCTTGAGCCCTGGCTGTTGTGCTCAACCCTGTCTTTCTTTCTTTTTCTTTTTCTTTTTTTTTTTTTTTGAGACAGAGTCTTGCTATGTTGCCCAGGCTGGAGTGCAATGGCACGATCTCAGCTCACTGCAACTTCTGCCTGCCAGGTTCAAGCAATTCTCCTGCCTCAGCCTCCTGAGTAGCTGGGACTAGAGGTGCGTGCCACCAGGCCCAGCTAATGTTTTGTATTTTTAGTAGAGACGGGGTTTCACCATGCTGGCTAGGCTGGTCACGAACTCCTGACCTTGTGATCTGCCCGCCTTGGTCTCCCAAAGTTCTGGGATTCCAGGTGTGAGCCACCACGCCCGGCCAATAGTCTTTTTTTGTTTTTTTTTTTTGCGCTTTTTTTTTTTTTTTTTTTTGAGACAGAATCTTGTTCTGTCGCCCAGGATGGAGTGCAGTGGCGCAATCTTGGCTCACTGCAAGCTCCGCCTCCCGGGTTCATGCCATTCTCCTGCCTCAGCGAGTAGCTGGGACTACAGGCGCCCTCCACCACGCCTCGCTAATTTTTTTGTATTTTTTAGTAGAGACGGGGTTTCACCATGTTAGCCAGAATGGTCTCAATCTCCTGACTTCATGATCCGCCCACCTCAGCCTCCCAAAATGCTGGGATTACAGGCGTGAGCCACTGCGCTCGGCCTTTTTTTTTTTTTTTTTTTTGAGACAGGGTCTCTTGCTCTGTTGGCCAGGCTGGAGTTTAGTGGTACCATCTCAGCTCACTTCAACCTCCACCTCCTAGGCTCGAGCAATCCTCCTGTCTCAGCCCCACAAGTAGCTGGGACTACAGGCGCATGCCACCATGCCCAGCTAATTTTTTGTATTTTTTATCGAGATGAGGTTTCGCCATGTTGTTCAGGCTGGTCTCAAACTCCTGGGCTCAAGTGATCCACCCGCCTTGGCCTCCCAAAGTGCTGGGATTACAGGCATGAGCCACCACACCTGGCCTCAGTCTTTTTTTTTTTTTTGAGAGGGAGTCTCGGTCTGTTGCCCAGTCTGAAGTGCAGTGGTACGATCTCAGCTCACTGCAGCCTCTGACTCCCAGGTTCAAGCGATTCTCCCACCTCAACCTCCTGAGTAGCAGGGGCTACAGGAATGTGCCACCACGCTTGGCTAATTTTTGTATTTTTAGTAGAGACAAGGTTTCACCATGTTGGCCAGGTTGGTCTCGAACTACCGACCTCAAGTGATCCACCCACCTCGGCCTCCCAAAGTGCTGGGATTACATGTGTGAGCCACTGCACCCAGCCAGCCTCAGTCTTTTTAAGCTTATTATCTCTAATACCAGGCTTGGAGCATATGGTTGGCACTCGCTAAGAAAAAGTCCTTATAAACCATGAAGTAATATATAAATGTTACTTATTATTACTAGTATAAAGGTTGTATGTAGAAAGCAATTGGGCATCATCCCAGATTTCAAGACAGATGCCTCAGTAATTGAAACTTCAGGAAGGTTAGCTTGGGGGCTACACCAGAGTCTGGACTCTCAAAGACCTTCTGAAGGTAAGATCAACAGGTCCTGTAACTGTCCCAACAAAGGGAGCTCATTCAGTCATTCAACAAACATCTATTGAACCTTGAGTGACAGAATGGTTGAAGGCAAGAGCCTTTGGAGTGAGATACATCTGACTCTATTTCTTTTAAGATGGGGTCTCATGGCCAGGCGCGGTGGCTCACGCCTGTAATCCCAGCACTTTCAGAGCCCGAGGCGGGTGGATCACGAAGTCAGGAGATCGAGGTCATCCTGGCTAACACGGTGAAACCCTGTCTTTACTAAAAATACAAAAACTAATTGGCCGGGCGTGGTGGCGGGCACCTGTAGTCCCAGCCACTCAGGAGGCTGAGGCAGGAGAATGGCGTGAACCCAGGAGGCAGAGCTTGCAGTGAGCCGAGATGGTGCCACTGCACTCCAGCCTGGGGTACAGAGCGGGACTCCGTCTCAAAAAAAAAAAAAAGACAGGGTCTTACTCTGTTGCTCAGGCTGGAGTGCAGTGGTATGATCTCGACTCATTGCAACCTCCACTTCCCAGGCTCAAGCTATCCTCCTGCTTCAGCCTCCTGGGTAGCGGGGACCATGGCTGGCTAATTTTTGTATTTTTTGTAGAGATGGACTTTCGTCACATTGCCCAGGCTGGTCTCGAACTCCTAATCTCAAGCAATCTGCCTGCTTCAGCCTCCCAAAGTGCTGGTATTACAGGTGTGAGCCACTGTGCCTGGCCACATCTGAATCCCTCCCTCTCTCTTTCTCTCTGTCTCTCTTTCTATCTCAACTCTGTGCCTGTGGGCGATGTGACCATTCTCTGCACTTCAGTTTCCTCAGACCAAAGAATGAGCATAGCCATACATCTCTCACAAGCCTTGTGGGAGAGTTAAATGAGAAAAATGTATCTAAGACACTTAGCACTCAAGGTCTGACACCTGGAACGCTCAGTAAGTTGGGAACGGTTGTTACTGCTGTCTGCTGTCTGCTCTCTGCTCTTGCTAGGCCCTGTGGGCAAGGCGGACAGAGATGTCTCCTTTATGGCTCTGGCAGAACTCCACCTGAAGGAGGTCGGAAACAAGGAAGTAATTGCAGTGATACGCTGGGGGTGTTCATGGTCAGAGGGAGAACCTACATGATCAGACGGGGCAGGGGGCAATTCACCAGCCAGAGTGGTGAGGAAGGACACTCTGAATCAAAGCTGCACCCCAAGTCTCTAACACAGGAGAGGCAATTCTCACAGCTCCTGCTATGGCGCGGAGCACTGGACTGAGCATGTCCCACGGCCCCGGGATGCGGGTTGTCTGTGGAGCAGGACCCCATGATGCAGCTGAGGGAAGGATGAAGAGGTGGGAGAAGAGGGGTTCTGAAGACAGCAGAGGACACATGGTAAATAAGTAGGCTGAGGCCTGGGGAGAATTCCAAGAGATGTGGCCATCCGGTCATTTATGAAACGTTGCCAGTCCCCTGACAAGACTGCCATTCCTCGAGGGGAGGGACTGTGTCATAGTCATCTCTGGCTCCCCAAGGGCTATTCCAGCACCTATGCATGCCAAAAACTCACATTCCTCAAATATTTTTAGCACCATCGTGGACTGTATAATGCATCCCCCCAAAGTTCCAAAGATGTCCATGTCCTAGTCCCCAGAACCTATGAATATGTTGCCTTGTATGGCAGAAAGAAAGGACTTTGCAGATATGATTGAGTTAAGGATCTTTTTTTTTTTTTTTCTTTTGAGACAGAGTCTTGCTCTGTTGCCTAGGCTGGGGTGCAATGGCGCGATCTCGGATCACTGCAACCTCTGCCTCCCAGGTTCAAGCAAATCTCCCGCCTCAGCCTCCTGAGTAGCTGGGATTATAGGCACGCGCCACCACTCCTGGCTAATTGGTTGTATTTTTAGTAGAGACGGGGTTTCACCATGTTGGCCAGGCTGGTCTCAAACTCCTGACCTCAGGTGATCCACCCACCTCGGCCTCCCAAACTACTGAGCCCGCTGTGTTAAGGATCTTGAGATGGCCTGATTATTCCTGTTTATCTGGGTGGGCCCAGTGTAATCACATATAATCTTACAGAGGTAGGAATGTCAAAGGCAGGGAAGGCAATGTGACAACAGAAGCGGTAGGACAGGAAAGACATTTGAAGATGCTTCCATGCTGGCTTTGAGGGACCATGATGGGTCAAGGAATGCAGGCAGCCCCCAGAAGTTGGCAAAAAGAAAGGAAACAAACTCTCTAGAGCTTCTAAGAGGAACCAACCCTGCTGACAACTTGACTTTAAACCAGTGAGACTGGCTGGGTGCAGTGGCTTATGCCTGTAATCCCCGAACTTTGGGAGGCCAAGGTGGGAGGATCACTTGAGGTCAGGAGTTTGAGACTAGCCTGGGCAACATGGTAAAACCTCGTCTCTACCAAAACTACAAAAAATTAGCCAGGTGTGGCATGAGCCTGTAGTCTCAGCTACTCGGGAGGCTGAGGTGGGAGGATTGCTTGAGCCTGGGAAGCAGAGGCTGCAGTGAGCTGAGGTCGAGCCACTACACTGTAGCCTGGGTGAGACAGTGAGATCCTGTCTCAAAAACAAAACAAAACAAAACAAAACCTAAAAACCCCAAAACAACCAAACAAGTGAAAAAGCCACTGAGACTGATATTGGACTTCTGAACTCCAGAACCATAAGAGAATAAATTTGGCTGGCCACAGTGGCTAACGCCTGTAATCCCAGCACTTTCGGAGGCCAAGGCGGATGGATCGCCTGAGGTCAGGAATTTGAGACCGGCCTGACCAATATGGTGAAACCCTGTCTCTACTAAAAATACAAAAAAACTATTAGCCGGGTGTGGTGGCCTGTGCCTGTAGTCCCAGCTACTCAGGACTCTCAAAAACAAAAAAGAACAAAGAAAAAAAGAAAGTCTGGGTAGCCTGAGAAACTGCCCAGAGTTCTGTAGCTGTGAAGCTAGAGGGCTCAAACCCATGGCTATTTGATTCCTGGAACAATGATCTTTGTGCTATCTCTATTTCCCCAGCCCGGTTTCTCCTCTCTCCTTTGCAAAAAAGGATCCTCCAGGCACCTAGTTATGGGATCACAGACTCCCGGAAATTCCCGTTCAGAGTAGCACCATTCCCATTTGAATGCTGCCACTGAAAGGATCTGTCCAGGTTTCCCAGGAGAGGGTGACCCATTTGCTGCTATTTAAAGACCTGCGTCCCAAATCTGGCCCCTCTCCTCTAGTCCCTGTACCTTTGTGAGCTTCTTGGTCCCCGTCTTCAGGGCTATGGGCAGCAGCAGTGCCAACTCTTGCAGCTTGCTAGTGTGGTTTTTCCTCTGCTTCTTGTTTGGGGACAGGAGCTTGTTTTGGTTCCTCTGATTCCTGTTTGGGGACAGGAGCTGGTTTTGGTTAGGACATCCAAAACGAATTCCACATCCAACCCGCAAACCTCCTGTCTGTGTTACTCATTTTAGGGCTGCCCGCACCCCACCCTGGACACCGAGGACAGAATCCCAGGCATCACCCGTACTTGTTACTTTCCCTTAGCCCTTAATCAGTCAGTCACCAAATCTTACCCACTCCTCTTCCATGACCTTCTCTTCAACCCCACAGCCCTGCCCTAGTCCATGTGTTAACATCCTGATAGTTCACTCAACCCTGCCATTTGGCCTCTTCCATCCCTACTGTCTGCTAGAGTCAGGGTGACCTTTCTGAAACACAAATCTGACCACGTCACTCTCTTGCTTCAAACCTCTCCATGACATCCCATTGTTAAGGATCAAGTTTAAGGTCCTAATGTGGGGTGGGTGCAGTGGCTGATGCCTGTCATCCCAGCACTTTGGGAGGCTGAGGCAGGAGAATCCCTTGAACCCGGGAGGTGGAAGTTGCAGTGAGCCAAGATTGCATCACTGCACTCCAGCCTGGGAGACAAAGTAAGACTCCGTCTCAAAATAAATAAATAAATAAATAATAAAAATACAAAAATTAGCCAGGCGTGGTGGTAGGCGCCTGTAATCCCAGCTACTGGGGAGGCTGAGGCAGGAGAAAAACAAAACAAAACAAAACAAAACAAACTCCGTCTCAAAAACAAAACAAAACAAAACAAAAAAAAGATGCTGAGAGCAGAGCATCAAACCAAGCATTGGACCATCCTAAGCACAGGGCCCTATGTGACTGCCCAGGTCATATGTCTATGAAGCTAGCCGTGATAAAGAAAAAAGTGTTGCTTGGTGTTATGGAAACTTGTAAAAGGAGGCCGGGCATGGTGGCTCACACCTGTCATCCCAGCACTTTGGGAGGCTGAGGTGGGCTGATCACTTGAGGTCAGGAGTTCAAGACCAGCCTGGCCAACATGGCAAAAACCCATCTCTACTAAAAATACAAAAATTAGCTGGACATGATGCCTATAATCCCAGCTACTCAGGAGGCTGAGGCACGAGAATTGCTTGAACCTGAGAGGCGGAAGCTGCAGTGAGCTGAGATTGTGGGTGACAGAGCCAGACTGTCTCAAAAAAAAAAAAAAAGTAAAAATAAGAAGCTTGTAAAAGGAAATTGATCTAAATGCTAAGTGGCAAGTGTGGTGTCACCAATACATGAAGAGGCCATGCTTTGCTTTTGACTGAGTGTGGTGGCTCACATCTGTAATCCCAGCACTTTGGGAGGTCAGGGTGGGAGGATCACTTGAGCCCAGGAGTTCAAGACCAGCCTGAGCAAAAAAGTGAGACCTCGCCTTTATGAAAAAATAAAAAGTTGGCTGGGCATGGTGGCTCACACCTGTAATCCCAGCACTTTGGGAAGCTGAAGTGGGCAGATGACTTGGGCCCAGGAGTTCAAGGCCAGCCTGGCCAACATGGCGAAACCCTGTTCCTACTAAAAATACAAAAATCAGCCAGGTGTGGTGGCACGTGCCTGTAATCCCAGCTACTCGGGAGGCTGAGGCAGGAGAATTGCTTGAGCCTAGGAGGCACAGGTTGCAGTGAGCCAAGATCGCACCACTGCACTCCAACCTGGGCAACAGAACAAAACTCTGTCTCAAAAAAAGAAAAAAAATCACTGATGAGTCCCCAAGTTACCTCCTGGTAGAAACGATAACTTTGAGCCAAGGGGGTGTTGGGGTTCTATCCTTCGAGATAAATTGAGTAGGCTGAGCTTAAACTCCTGTCTAGCCCTGATAAATAAATAAATATATATATATCACATTATTTCCCATGTGTTCTAGAGGGGCCCTTGGCAGACCCGACAAGAAACAACTCAGGAAGCAAGGAAGAAAAAGTGTCCAGGTCTACTTATAAAGTTCAAGGTGTTATTTGACCGTCTCAGAGGGTTTCATATAAACCATAGTCCCTGGGTGTTTATTCTGGGTTTTACAAAGCACAGGGTGAACCTTCTGGGTAAACACAGAGGTTAGAAAGGGAGCAACTGAGTGGATGGGAATCCCAATGTCTTGGCATCCCCAGTGTCTGGGCAGTAGTCCTGAAGAAGTACAACCTGGGCTCCGCTCTCAGGGCCCTCCAGAAGCCATGTACCACCTCCCAGAGCTGCCTCTTTTCTTTGCTGGATGGTTCGGGTTTTAGCCAATTTCTTCCCTCACAGTCTGTATATTTGCATCCACTAATCCCAGCTGTGCCCTCTGGGTTTTCAGGGAACAGGTCAGCTCCAGTCACATAGGTTTTCTTTCTGTTTCTCTCAACTGCCAATTTTATTTCTGCCTTCTCTGTTTGGAATGTTCTGTTGCCCTGGTTGTTGTTGTTGTTGTTTTGTTTTGTTTGTTTGTTTTGAGACAGAGTCTTGCTCTGTCACCCAGGCTGGAGTGCAGTGGCGCGATCTCAGCTTCTGCAAACTCCGCCTCCCGGGATTACGCCTCCTCAGCCTCACCCTCACGTTCTCCTGCCTCAGTCTCCCAAGTAGCTGGGACTACAGGTGCCTGACACCACGCCTGGCTAATTTTTTGTATTTTTAGTGGAGACGGGGTTTCATCGTGTTAGCCAGGATGGTCTCAATCTCCTGACCTCATGATCTGTCCGCCTTGGCCTCCCAAAGTGCTAGGATTACAGGCGTGAGCCACCGCGCCTGGCCTGCTTGTTTGTTTTTAAAGAGACAACGAGTTGCTCTGTCACCCAAGCTCATATGTAATAGCACAATCATAGCTCACTGTAACCTCAAACTCCTGGGCTCCAGCAATCCTTCTGCTTCAGTCTCCCGAGTAGCTGGGACTTTAGGCATGCACCACCATGCCAGGCTATTTTTAAAATTTTTTTGTAGAGACAAGGCTGGGTGCAGTGGCTCACACCTGTAATCCCAGCACTTCAGAGGCCAAGGCAGGATGGTCCCTTGAGCCCAGGAGTTTGAGTCCAGCCTGGGCAACATAGTGAGACCCTGCATCTACAAAAAACTTTTAAGCTGGGCGTGGTGGCTCACGCCTGTAATCCCAGCACTTTGGGAGGCCAAGGCAGGTGGATCACCTGAGGTCAGGAGTTCAAGACCAGCCTGATCAACATGGTGAAATCTTGTCTCTACTAAAAATACAAAAATTAGCCAGGTGTGGTGGCAGGTGCCTGTAATCTCAGCTACTTGGGAGGCTGAGGCAGGAGAATCACTTGAACCCAGGAGGTGGAGGTTGCAGTGAGCAACCGAGATCGTGCCATTGCACTCCAGCCTGGGCAACAAGAGCAAAAGCTCCGTCTCAAAAAATAAATAAATAAATAATAAATAAAATAAAATAAACTTTAAAATAAATTTTTTTTTGGAGACGCGGTCTCTCTATATTGTACAGGCTGTGAAATCTTATTTCTTTCATTAATTTATTAATTATAAATATGAACTCCATGAGGGCAAGAATTGGTTGGTTGGTTGGTTGGTTTCTGAGGCAGAGTTTTGCTCTGTTGCCCAGGCTGGAGTGCAGTGGCAGGCTCTTGGCTCACCGCAACCTCCACCTCCTGGGCTAGAGTGATTCTCCTACCTCAGCCTCCCAAGTAGCTGGGATTACAGGCACACGCCACAGGGCAAGAATTTTTGTCTTATTTATTGCTATATCCCAGGCTGATTTATCCATAAAATGCAGAAAGCACAGTGCTTGGAACCCATGATACTTTTAGGGGCTCATGAAAATATTCTAATTCCTTTTAAATTAGAACAAAAAATAAATATCACCCCATCTGTAGTATACTTGTCTTCATATCAATACTATCATAAACCACAATTGTTAATATTTTTCTTTTTTTTTTCCCCCGAGACAGAGTCTCGCTCTTGTCCAGGCTGGAGTACAGTGGTGCGATCTCAGCTCACTGAAATCTCCGCCTCCCAGATTCAAGCGATTCTTCTGCATCAGCAACCCAAGTAGCTGGGATTGCAGGTGCCCGCCACCATGCCTCCCAATTTTTGTATTTTTAGTAGAGACGGGGTTTCACCATGTTGGCCAGACTGGTCTCGAACTCCTGACCTCGTGATCTGCCCGCCTTGGCCTCCTAAAGTGCTGGGATTACAGGCGTGAGCCACCGCACCCAGCGTTAATATTTTTCTATGGAAGAAGGGGATCAAGAAGGTAAAATTGTATAGGGCCCACAGAAGCCATAATGCTGCGCTGGTTATATCCCTTAAGTCCTGGAATAATGCCTAACACTTAGTGGGTGCTCAATAAAGAATTATTGAATTAATGAATACTGAAAGGTCTTGGGATAGCTGCTCAGACTTCTAAAGTGGCATATGAACCTAATTCTCAAGTTTCCTTTTCCCTGAGCTAATCAACCTGAACATACCCTAGTTACTTTATTATCATTGTTATTATTATTATTATTATTATTATTATTATTATTATTATTATTATTGAGATGGAGTCTCGCCTTGTTGCCCAGGCTGGAGTACAGTGGCACGATCTCGGCTCACTGCAACCTCCGTCTCCTGGGTTCAAGCGATTCTCCTGCCTCAGCCTCCTGAGTAGCTGAGATTACAGGCATGTGCCACCACACCTGGCTAATTTTTTGTATTTTTAGTAGAGACGGGGTTTCACCATGTTGGCCAGGATGGTCTCAATCTCCTGACCTCGTGATCTATCCGCCTTGGCCTCCCAAAGTTTTGGGATTACAGGCGTGAGCCTCCGTGCCCGGCCTTCATTTGTTTTAATAGTGTGTAGGGATGTAAGAGTAAGAGCTGCCCCAAAGTGGGACAAAGCAGGGGACAGTCCCAGGAGGTGGCATAAAGGTTGATATATAAGCTCCAGTTTTTGAAGCAGAAAGACTGGGATTCAAATCCTAGTTCCTCCGCTTGCTGTGTGACTTTGGGCAACTGCTTTCACTTCTCTGTGCCTGTTTCTTCCTCCTTTACAAAATGGAGGTGGCTAGGAAAACCTTGATCTTATCTGGAAGGTGTTTCGTATAGTGCCTGGTACATAGGGAGTGTTCATGAAATGTTAGTTCAAGAAAGCGTGTGGGGCTGGGTGCAGTGGCTCACGCCTGTATCCCAGCACCTTGGGAGGCCAAGGCAGGCAGATCACCTGAGGTCAGGAGTTCAAGACCAGCCTGACTAACATGGTGAAACCCTGTTTCTACTAAAAATACAAAAAATTAGCTGGCCGTGGTGGCACGTGCCTGTAATCCCAACTACTCGGGAGGTTGAGGCAGGAGAATCACTTAAACCCTAGAGGCAGAGGTTACAGTGAGCCGAGATTGCGCCACTGCACTCCAGCTTGGGCAACAAGAGCAAAGCTCTGTCTCAAAAAAAAAAAGGAAGAAAGAAAGCATGTGTGTACAGTCATTTGTCAGAATGATTTTAGGGGTAAGAGGTGTTGAACAATGGGCTATGTTTTTGCTTGGCCAACATCCAATCCCCCCTTTTCTGTTAACAGTACCTCAGTTTTCCTTTGAGCAACCATTTCTCCTCCATTCTCAGTCCATGTGGTTCGGAGGGGTTGACCTTATCTTCCCCTTCCACTAGGGAGCACAAAACCAAGGTCCTGCCAAGAATAGTCACAGTGATTGGTTCAGGGTTGGAGTGGTAATCCTAGGTTTGGCCAATCAGAGTCAATCAATCTTAGAAAGATGTTTTCTCTTCTGGGTATATGGAGTTGGCAAGATATAGACCTGGAACTGCTGGGAACCATCTTGCCCTTCCAAAGGGACAACCTGCAGCTGAGCACAATGACTCACGCCTGTAATCCCAGCACTTTGGGAGGTTGAGGCAGGCAGATCATTTGAGGTCAGGAGTTCGAGACCAGCCTGACCAACATGGTGAAACCCCGTTTTCACTAAAACTATGAGAAAATTAGCCAGGCCTGGTAGCACATGTCTGTAATCTCAGCTACTCGGGAGGCTGAGGCAGGAGAATCCCTTGAACCCAGGAGGCGGAGGTTGCGCTGAGCTATCATGCCACTGCACTCCAGTCTGGGTGACAGAGCAAGACTCCATCTCAAACAAACAAACAATAAGATAAAATATATAAATAAAGCAAAGGGAGAACCTGCTTGAGACAGAAGCCAACACAGACAATACCAGAGCCAAGAGACGCAGATTCCCGGCAACATCATTTAACCTCCATCCTGGAACCAGCCAAGGCCGACATCCCTGAATTTTTTGTTTAAATGATCCAATAAATCCCTTTTTATGCTTAAGCCAGTTTTTGCTAGGTTTCTGTTCTTCGCAACTAACAGTCTTTATCAATACAAGGACCCCCACATCTAGAAAGGGGGATGAAAGTATGAATTGTGGCAACTCTAAAATTCCAGGAGGAATGGGCAGCAGGATAGGCATTCTTCATTTTCTTCATGGTGCTTCTTCTGAGCATAGTATCTAGGTAGAGAACCTAAACAAAGCACACAGTCCTCGTCTTACAACAGTCGGACTTAACATTTTTCGACTTTACAATGGTGTGAAAGCCATACAAATTCAGTAGAAGCCATACTTCTCTTACTGTGCTGGGCAGCAACACTGGGCCACAGCTCCCAATCAGCTATGCTTTTTTTTCTTTTTTTAGACTGAGTCTTGCTCTGTTGCTGGAGCGCAGCGGCGCGATCTTGGCTCACTGCAACCTCCGCCTCCCAGGTTCAAGTGATTCTCCTGCTTCAGCCACCTGAGTAGCTTGGGATTACCGGCACACACCACCATGCCTGGCTAAATTTTGTATCTTTAGTAGAGATGGGGTTTTGCCCTGTTGGCCAGGCTGGTCTCAAACTCCTGACTTCAAGTGATCAGCCCACCTTGGCTTCGCCAAGTGTTGGGATTACAGGCCTGAGCCATCAACCATGCATTTTTGACATACAATATTTTCAGTTTATGATGGGTTTATCAGGACATAACCCCGTAGATGCTTAATTTTGGAGTTAATGAAGAGATAGTTGGATGGAAAGTCACTGGGGGAGATGGTAGGGGTTAATATGAACTTTGGCCTTATTTTTTCTTTATCCAGACTTTGGAGGGAGGGAGAAATCTGATCCAACCTCCAATCTGCTGTGAAAATTCCCTCTATAAGATTCATTACACTTGGTAAGTGCTTGATGGATGAATGAATGCGTGAATAAAAGAAAGGAAGTAAAGACATGGTGGCTCACGCCTGTAATCCCAGCACTTTTGGAGGCTGAGGCAGGAAGATCACTTGAGCCTAGGAGTTTCAGACCAGTGTAGGCAGCATGGTGAGACCCTGTCCACAATTTTTTTTTTTTTTTTGAGACAGAGTTTCACTCGTTGCCCAGGCTGGAGTGCAATGGCGCGATCTCGGCTCACTGCAACCTCTGCCTCCTGGGTTCAAGCGATTCTCCTGTCTCAGCCTCCCAAGTAGCTGGGATTATATCATGCCCAGCTAATTTTTGTATTTTTAGTAGAGATGGAGTTTCACCATGTTGGCCAGGCTGGACTCAAACTCCTGACCTCAAGTGATCAACCCACCTTGGCCTCCCAAAGTGCTGAGATTATAGGTGTGAGCCACCACACCTGGCCAATTTTTTTTTTTTTTAATTAGTTGGGCATAGTGGCGTGTGCCTGTGGTCCTGCATACTTGGGAGGCTGATGTGGGAGGACTGCTTCAGTCTGGGAGGTCAAAGCTGCAGTAAACTGTGATCGTGTCACTGCACTCCAGCCTGGGGAACAGAGCAAGACCCTGTCTAAAAAGAAAGAGCCAGGCGTGGTGGCTCATGCCTGTAACCCCAGCACTTTGGGAGGCTGGGTGGATCACTGGATCCCAGGAGTTTGAGACCAGCCTCGGCAACATGGCAAAAACCCATTTCTACGAAAAATACAAAAATTAGCCAGGCGTGGTGGTGCACGCCTATGGTCCCAGCTACTCAGGGGGCTGAGATGGGAAGATTGTTTGAGCCCAGAAGGTCGAGGCTGCAGTCAGCTGGGATTGCACCACTGCATTCCACATTCCAGCCTAGGTGACAGAGCAAGACCTTGTTTCAAAAAAAAAAAAAAAGGAAAGAAGCCAGGCTTGCTGACTCACACCTGTAATCCTAGCACTTTGGGAGGCCGAGGCGGGTGAATCACCTGAGATCAGGAGTTCGAGACCAGCCTGAACAACATGGTGAAACCCTATGTCTACTAAAAATACAAAAATTTGCTGGGCGTGGTGGCATGCGCCTGTAGTCTCAGCTACTCGGGAGGCTGAGGCAGGAGAATCGCTTGAACCCGGGAGGCGGAGGTTGCAGAGAGCCGAGTTCATGCCATTGCAGTCCAGCCTGGGCAGCAAGAGTGAAACTCCATCTCAAAAAAAAAAAAAAAGGCTGGGCGCAGTGGCTCACGCCTGTAATCCCAGCACTTTGGGAGGCTGAGGTGGGCGGATCACGAGGTCAGGAGATCGAGACCATCCTGGCTAACATGGTGAAACCCCATCTCTACTAAAAAAAATATAAAAAATTAGCCAGGCATGGTGGTGGGCGCCTGTAGTCCCAGCTACTCAGGAGGCTGAGGCAGGAGAATAGCGTGAATCCGGGAGGTTGAGCTTGCAGTGAGCCCAGATGACGCCACTGCACTCCAGCGGGCGGATCGCGAGGTCAGGAGTCCAAGACCAGCCTGGCCAACACAGTGAGACCCTGTCTCTACTAAAAATACACACAAAAAAATTAGCTGAGCATAGTGGTGGGCACCTGTAATCCCAGCTACTTGGGAGGCTGAGGCAGGAGAATCGCTTGAGCCTGGGAGGCAGAGGTTGCAGTGAACCAAGATCGCGCCACTGCACTCTACAGCCTGGGCATCAGAGTTAGACTCTGTCTTAAAAAAAAAGGAAAGAAAGAAAGACACTCAGAATGTCAGTTGGGCGTGGTGGCTTAGTAATTCCAGCACTTTGGGAAGATAAGACAGGAGGATCACTTGAGGCCAGAAGTTCAAGACAGGCCTGTGCAACATAGCAAGACCCTGTCACTACAACAAATAGAAAAACTGGCTGGGTGTGGTGGCATGTGCCTGTAATCTTAGCTGTTCGGAAGGCTGAAGCAGGAGGATCAAGCCCAGGCTCAAACCCAGGAGTCCGAGGCTATAGTGAGCTATGATGCCACCACTGCACTCTAACGTGGGCAACAGAGTGATACCCTAACTCTGAAAACAAACAAACTCAGAATGTCACAGGCTGCAAGGACCTTAGAAGTTATCTTTGCCCTAAAAATAAAAAAAGAAATGGGCTGGGCATGGTGGCTTACACCTGTAATCCCAGCACTTTGGGAGGCTGAGACAGGCAGATCACTTGAAGCCAGGAGTTGAAGACTAGCCTGGGGAAAATGGCAAAACCCTATCTTTACAAAAAATACAAAAATTAGCCAGGCATGGAGGCATGAGCCTGTAGTCCCAGCTACTGGGGAGGCTGAGGCAGGAGAATCACTTGAGTTCAGGAGGCGGAGGTTGCAGTGAGCTGGGATCGCAACACTGCACTCCAGCCTGGGCAACAGGAGTGAAACCCTGTCTCAAAAATAAATAAATAAATAAATAAGCAATGATCTTTGCCGATCACCTCAGAGTACTCTCATCTGGAAAATGGTAGGCATCTTTGTACACAACTTCCTCATGAGATTGTTGTATGGATTAACAGTTATCATACAAACAAAATGTTTGGCAAAGAGTCTAGCAAACGGTAAATGCTCAGCAAATGTTTTTGTTATTATTATTCAATGAGAGTGGCTGGGGCTATAAGGGAGATGGGGCAAGCCCTTACCTGTCACTGGGACCCAGTGAATTAGCTCTGGGCTGTTCAGAGGAACCCAAGTATCTGCTGGAACCAAACATCTGCAAAGAGGGAAAAAGAATGATTAGTGACCTCTGGGATTGCAGGAAGGATGGGCAGGAACCCTGATGGGCACCCTTCATCTTCCCTATGATGCTCCTTTGAGCACCCAGAGATCCCAAAATAAGAGTCCCTAGCCCCAACAAATTATGGGCCCAAAGACCCAAATTAAACAGCTAAACCTTGGCCAGAAGTGGTAGCTCACACCTGTAATCCCAGCATTCTGGGAGGCCGAGGCAGGCAAATCACTCGAGGTCAGGAGTTTGAGACCAGCCTGGCCAACATGGTGAAACCCCATCTCTACTAAAAATACAAAAATTAGCCGGGCGTGGTGGTGCACGACTGTAATCCCAGCTACTTGGGAGGCTGAGGCAGGAGAATCACTTGAACCTGGGAGGCGGAGGTTGCACTGAGCCAGGATTAAGCCACTGCACTCCAGCCTGGACAACAGAGTGAGACTGTGTCTCAAAAAACAAAAACAAAAACAAACCCCTAAACCTCTAAAAAGGCACTAAAACTAATACTTTAGAGTCCCAAAATGAGGACCTAAATCCTCACTTTGGAGCCCTCCCAAAGCCAGGTACAGTGGCTCACGCCTGTAATCCTAGCACTTTGGGAGGCCAAGGCAGGAGGATTGCTTGATCTCAGGAGTTTGAGACCAGCCTGGCAATATGACAAAACTCCACCTCTACAAAAAAAAAAAAAAAATTACCTGGGCATAGTGGCACATGCTTGTAGTCCCAGCTACTTGGGAGCCTGAGGTGGGGGGATGGTTTGAGCCCAGGAGGTCAAGGCTGCAGTGAGCTAAAATCGCACTACTGCACTCCAGCCTGGATGACAAAGTGAGACCTTGTCTCAAAAACAAAAAAAAAGGAGCCCTCCCAAACCTACAAACCCTAAATTCTAATACTGAGATACCCCAGACCCTCAAACTGTCAACTTCTGATCTTCAAATATGATCCTAATACTAAGATTACAGACTGCAAGCTGTAACACTATGAACCTATATCCTAAGATAAGAAATCCAGGCCCCTATGAAACAAATCTCACTTCTCCAGATTGACCTCTTAGACGTCCAAACTGTCCCTCAAATTGTGGCCCCAACCCTAAAACTGAGATCTCGAATGTGGGTCCTACTCTGAAACCCCAGACCCTAAAACTGGAGCTCCCATACTCAATGTGGGCACTCCAGGCCCTAAAACGTGCTTCTAAAGACTCAAACTGCGACTCCAGATCCTAAAGCTTCATACTCTACATTGGGATTTAGGCCCTAAATCTATACTGAGGCTTCAGTTGCCCCAAATCAGGCTCCAGACTCTCAAAATGTTACATCATAACTCAGAACTAAGACTTCCAGATCCCCAAATTGGGATCTCTGGATTCCAAGGAGAAAGCTTCCAGTCACAAAACTCAAGCTCTTCAGATTCCAGAACTAGTCACCCCTAGACACAAATCCCGAGATCCCAGATCAGAACTCGAGAGCCCGGATTCCCAACACAAACAGAGTCTTCCGTTCCTCAAACTCGAACCTGGACCCCCGGCTTCAAACCCAAACTCCGTCGCCCGTGGCCCTGCACCCAGAGCATGTTCTATTCCCCTGAGCCCCCCACCGAGGGAAGCTCCTGTGGGGATCCCGGGTTCCCCTAAGCCCAGCTAGTGCTGGGGGAGGCCCCCTGCCCCGCGCCCCATTCCCCTTGGCCTCCAGCACCCGCCTCAGGGCGTGCAAAATGGCGTGAGGCTGCCCCCGCCGTTCTGGTTTCTCCGGGCCCCACTCTAGGGAGCCCGATCAGACAGCGTCTCGCGCGGGTCCCGGGAAGCCGGCCGTGCGCGCGGGGATCCCAGACGGTCTCGGACACCACGTTCCCAACCGGGCTTGGGGTTGGGTGCGAATCCTCCCGGCGCGAGGATCCTGCGCGAGGCGTGAGGAGCAGAGCAAGAGTGCGTTCCTGAGGCCAGGCCACGCCCCTACCAGTTCCAGCCAAGATGTGCTGGGCACGAGACGACGGGGTTGAAAGGGCAGGGTGCAAGTGGCCGTGCGCACGCGCGCCTCGGGAAGGGCCCTGTCGTCTTGCACAGCGTGAGCTCGGCCTCGAGCCTTCTGACAAGGCCTTGGTCGGCGTGAGCCGCTAGGTGACCAATCAGCGCCCGCTCAGCCACCCGCCTTTTTAAGCGGTCACGCCCCTGCACGACCCGCGTGGTCCAGGGCCGTTGCATCCCAAGTAGGCTGGGTTTCCTCAACTGCCAACTCTCAGGAAGAGAGAGAGAGCGAGCTCGCCTGTGTCCCTTCTGGCCCTATGATGTCCCATTTCCACCTTTTCCCTTCAGTTCGTGATTCATGAGGGCCTCCTGTGTGCCAAGCACCAGGCTAGATGGTGGGAACTTAGCCACTGTCTTCCCAGTACAATCGAGAAGACCGTGAGAACCTCCGAGACCATGAGAATCCGGTGAGACGGGAACTCGGTTAATGCAGAGAACAATACGTTGGGAAAGGATTCAAAGAGGAGGGCCATTTGAATTGGGCCTTCTTGGGAGGACGAGGCGGGCGGATCACTTGAGGTCAGGAGTTCCAGACCAGCCTGGCCAACAATGGTGAAACCCCGTCTCGGCTAAAAATACAAAAATTAGCCGGGCATGGTGGGGCGCGCCTGTAGTCCCAACTACTCCAGAGGCTGAGGCAGGAGAATCATTTGAACCTGGGAGGTGGAGGTTGAATGAGCTGGTATCGCCACTGCACTCCAGCCTGGGCGACAGAGCAAGACTCTGTCTCAAAAAAAAAAAAAAAAAAAAAAAGGAAAAAAAAGAAAGAAAAAGAATAAAAGATTTGGGCTTTTTTTTTTTTTTTTTTTGGTAGAGACGAGGGTCTCACTTTGCTGCCTAGTTTGGTCTTAAACTCCTGGACTAAAGCCAGTCTCCCGGCTGAGATTATAAGCATGAGCCACCGCACCCAGCCTGGAAAATACGTCTTAAGGGGAGATGATCTAACGACCTAGTCAAGAGTAGAAACCCTGAAATCCAATACATTTCAGTTCAAATCGTTTTCTTGGCTGTGTTGCCAGCGACAAGAGGCTTAATCTCTTTCTGCCTTATAAATTTGGGATTGTAATTCCTACCAGGGTTGTCTGTAGGGTGTCTGGCATATAGTTCCGATGCAATAAATATTTACTGAACACATGTTTACGCTGTTCTAGGTGCTTGAACAAGGTACACAAAGATCTCTGCCCTCCTGGAGCTTCTTCTTCTTCTTCTTCTTTTTTTTTTTTTTGAGACGGAATCTCGCTCTGTCCCCCAGGCTGGAGTGCAGTGGCGCGATCTCGGCTCACTGCAAGCTCCGCCTCCTGGGTTCACGCCATTCTCTTGCCTTAGCCTCCCGAGTAGCTGGGACTACAGGCACCCGCCACCCAGCCCGGCTAATTTTTTGTATTTTTAGTAGAGATGGGGTTTCAGTGTGTTAGCCAGGATGGTCTTGATCTCCTGACCTTGTGATCAGCCCGCCTCGGCCTCCCAAAGTGCTGTGACTACAGGCGTGAGCCACCGCGCCCGGCCTTCTTTTATTTTAAGAGGCAGCAGGGTCTCATTCTGTCGCCCAGGCTGAACTGCATGGAGGGCGGTGGTGTAACACTAGCTCACTGCCTCGAACTCCTGGGCTCGAGCGATGTGGAGCTGCTATTCTATGATGTGGACTAACTCCTAATGTATGGGACTTTCCTTCCTCCTAAGGCTTAATTTTCTCATTTGTAAATCAGGAGGTAAGAAAGGAGGGGACGGGCCGGGCGCGGTGGCTCACGCCTGTAATCCCAGCACTTTGGGAGGCCGAGGCGGGTGGATCATGAGGTCAGGAGTTCAAGACCAGCCTGACCAACATGGTGAAACTCCGTTTTTACTAAAAATACAAAAACTAGCCGGGCGTGGTGGCGGGCTCCTGTAATCCCAGCTACTCAGGAGGCTCAGGCAGGAGAATCGCTTGAACCCAGGAGGCGGAGGTTGCAGTGAGCCGAAATTGCGCCACTGCACTCCAGCCTGGGTGACAGAGCAAGACTCCGTCTCAAAAAAAAAAAAAAAAAGAAGGGGATGGATGGGAAGGAGTTTGGAAAAGCACAAGGAGCTGTTAGCTATTGTGTTGATCGGCACAAATGAATCAATAAATTTGCTCTTCCCCAACTCTCCACCCCTCACCAACACCCTATTGCAATATTCTCAATTCCCTTCCCAAGGGCCTCGGGCAAAAATGGAGCCCTCCTGGCTAGACTCCATCTCCCAGCGCGCCCAGCGGGGAAGCACCCTGCGCTTGCGCTGCCAAGTCCTCCCCGGCTTTGTCTCCCGGGAGTTCGAGTCGTTCTTTTCCTCCGCCCGCCTAATTTGCTTCCTACCCCACCTCCAAGCTTGACCGTGCTGCCTTCTGGGGGATGTAGTCCGTGGCTGCCCGGACTTCAATTCCCAGCGGGCTTCGGGACGAGAACCCGGAAGGGGAGGCTGGAGAGGAGCGAGTGGGGGAAACCCGCGTAGCCGAGGGAGATGCAGCGCGCGGCGATGGTGAGAGCCCAGGCGCGGGCCGGGGGCGCTGGAGAGTCGGGACGGGGGTTCGGGACCGGGTGACGAGGGGGAAGAGGCAGGGGCGAAAGAAGGGGCTGGGTGAGGGGAGATTGCCTGGGGGAGAGGACTGGGAGGAATGGGAGCCGGAGGTAGTAGTAGAAGAATGGTGGCTTGGGGAGGGGTCTTGGAGGTGGGGTGGGAGTGGAGCTTTGGAATTGATTGTAAAGGGGCTCAGAGCTGGGGAAGTGGGCCCCGAGTTGGAGACTGGGCTGGACATCCAGGTAGAGGCCCTGAAGGGGTCGATTTCGATGGGGGCTTAACCTGCGGCGAGGGTATGAGGATCAGGGTTAGGATGAGTGAGGGGGTCTGGAAGCTCCAAGGGACAGGCGAACGGTGGACGCAATGGGTTGGGGCCTCTGGATCGGATTGGGGGCAGGAAGGCAAGTTGAGGAGGTAGGAGGGAGAAATCAGTGGTAGGATAGAGTGTGGGTTTAGGCTCCAGGACTGAGGGTGGGGTAAGGAGCGTGAAATTAGGGGCCTGGATGTAGTGATAATTTCCCTAGTCCCGCCAGAGACTCCCGGTAAGCTGGACAGGCACAGAACTGTAGGATAATACGGCCAGAAAGGGCCATCGAGACAGGCTTTCGCACCCTCACTTCCCCGGTGGAATTTAGAAGAGTGTAATGGTTTATCCCTATGAGAAGTACAGCATTCATATCCCCTATTCTTCCACCCCTTTGTGCCATGGACAAATCTGTGAGCCTCAGTGCCCTTATCTGTAGTATGGGAACAGCAAGCATGCCTCTGAGAACAGGGTTAAAGGGAGTCATTAAAATCGTTACTATTAGTGGGAGAGCTGGGCTGTGAAGTTTCAGTCTCAGAGCTGTTGGTGGGAAGTTCTCCGCCCCCGGAATGTGACTGGGTTACAGGTGCTAATGGATTTCCTCCTTTCCAGTCCAGTCCCAGAGGCGTTTTCTCAAAAGCTGGCACTGATCTGGGCACACACCCCAGCTCAGAAGCATGTAGGGGCTCCCCACTGTGGATTACAGCTAACGCTTATTGTTTTACAAAATGCCTGGCCCTGTCCTTAGCTGTTTGTACACATTAACTCATTTAATTCTGATAACACCCCTGAGGGGTAGGTGCTGTTATTTTCTCCATTTTACAGAAAGGAAGCAGAAGTACAGAGAAATTAAGCAACTTTCCCAAGGCTATCCAGCATTAATTGCTAGACTCAGGATTCCGATCTTGGCAGCCTGGCTCAGAATCTGTGCTTTCAGCACTATAATTTAGTCCTCTCTCCATACTGAAATATACAATGTGATGAGTAGAGACAGCGAACAAAGCAGTCTAGAATATTAGTTCTGCCATTTACTTGCTATATGACCTTAGGCAAGTCTTTTATTTATTTTTATTTATTTATTTAGAGACAGTCTCCCTCTGTCACCCAGGCTGGAGTGCAGTGGTATGGCTAACTGTAGCCTCTGCCTCCCGGGTTCAAGCGATTCTCCTGCCTCAGCCTCCTGAGTAGTTGGGATTACAAGCATGTGCCACCACGCCCTGGCTAATTTTTGTAGTTTTAGTAGAGACAGGGTTTCTGCATGTTGGTCAGGCTGGTCTTGAACTCCTGGCCTCAGGTGATCCACCCGCCTCGGCCTCCCAAAGTGCTGGGATTAACAGGCGTGAGCCATTGCGCCTGGCCCTATATTTATTTTTATGGTTTTTTGTTTAGTTTTGTTTTGTTTTTGAGGCGGAGTTTCGCTCTTGTTGCCCAGGCGGAGTGCAATCTTGGCTCACCGCAACCTCCGCCTCCCGGGTTCAAGCAATTCTCCGCCTCAGCCTCCCGAGTAGCTGAGATTGCAGGCATGCGCCACCACGTCTGGTTAATTTTGTATTTTTAGTAGAGACAGGTCTTGAACTCCCGACCTCAGGTGATCTGCCCGCCCCAGCGTCCCAAAGTGCTGGGATGACAGGCGTGAGCCACTGCGCGCAGCCTTTTTATTTTTTTAAAGACAGGGTCTCGCTCTGTTGCCCAGACAGGCTGGAATGCAGTGGCGCAATCATGACTCACTGCAGCCTCAACCTCCTGGGCTCAGGCGATCCTCCCACCTCAGCCTCCCAAGTAGCTGGGACTAATTTTTTATTACACACGGCTAATTTTTTATTTTTATTTTTGTAGAGACGCGGGTCTTACTTTGTTGCCCAGGCTGGTCTCAAATTCCTAGGCTTAAGGGGTCTTCCTGCTTCAACCTCCAAAAGTGTTGGGATTGCAGGCGTGAGCCACCACGCCTGGCCCTGGGCAAGGGTTCTTCTTTTGGGTTCTTCTCACCTATAAAATGGGATCAGTAACCCTAGGAAGGTGAGAAGTTTCGGGAAGATAATGCAGTATAGTGGAACTTACTTTATGAGCCCTTACTCCAATACTTATGGAAGGGCTCAGTACGTGTGAGTTGTTGTTTTTGAATGTCAGTGGGAAAGAGAAGGCAGTAGAGAGGAACCAAGAGGGAAGATGTCAGGCTGTCTCCTTTCTCTCTCATGTTGTCACCATGTCCCTGCCCTCCACCTCTGGGCTCCTAAATCCAATTACGACTTCTGGAGAGTGTGCTTACAAACTCAATCTGTGGGCTGGGCATGGTGGCTCATGCCTGTAATCCCAACACTTTGGGAGGCCATTGCGGGCAGATTGCCCGAGGCCAAGAGTTTGATCAAGACCAGCCTGGCCAACATGGCAAAACCCCATCTCTATTAGCTGGGCGTGGTGGCGGGCGCCTGTAGTCCCAGCTACTCAGGAGCCTGAGGCAGGAGAATCTCTTGAACCCAGGAGGTGGAGGTTGCAGTGAGCCAAGATTGTGCCACTGCACTCCAGCCTGGGCGACAGAGTGAGACTGTCTCAAAAAAAAAGAACAAGGAAACTCAGTGTGTCCCCATTCCCATTCCTGTCCCCGCCAAATACCCAGTCTGGCCTTACTCCAGGTGTTTCAGTGAAGAGAAAATATTTCTAACTAGGTTTTTCTTGTTGTTGTTGTTGTTAGTTTGCTTTTGTTCGTTTAACTTTTGGGTCATTAAGGCCTCATTGGGCAGTTTGACAACTTTGTAAATTCACCTTGAAACAGTTTGGTTTATTGTGAGCTTTCTGGGCTTAATTCATTGGCTGTGATAGTAAGCTTATGGTTGAAAACACTGGCTTCAGAGAGGCGCAGGGTCAAAACCCTGCTTCTGTTGCTGTGTGACCTTGGCCAAGCTGCATTCCCACTCTGGGCCTCAGTTTTCTTTTCCCTTTTTTTTTTTTTTTGAGACAGAGTCTCACTGTTGTCCAGGCTGGAGGCCAGTGGTGTGATCTTGGCTCACTGCAATCTCCGCCTCCCGGGTTCAAATGATGTCTTCTGCCTCAGCCTCCTGCGTAGCTGAGATTACAGGCTTGTGTCACCACGCCCAGCTAATTTTTGTATTTTTAGTAGAGATGAGGTTTCACCATCTTGGCCAGGCTGGTCTCGAACTCCTGACCTCAGGTGATGCACCCTCCTTGACTTCCCTAAGTGTTGGGATTACAGGCGTGAGCCACTGCTCCGACCTCTTTTTTTTTTTCTTTTTTTTTGTTTTGAACCAGGGTCTCACTTTGTTGCCCTGGCTGGCATGCAGGGGCATCATCTTGGCTCACTGCAACTTCCACCTCCCAGGATCAAGGGATCCTCCCACCTCAGCCTCCTGAGTAGCTGGGACTACAAGCGTGTGTCACCACACCTGCCTAATTTTTGTAGAGTCAGCGTTTCACCACGTTGCCCAGGCTGATCTTGAACTCCTGACCTCAAGTGATCCACCCGCCTAGGCCTCCCAAAGTGCTGGGGTTACAGGCATGAGCCCCAGTGCCCAGCCAGCCTCAGTATTCTCATGTAAAAATGGGACCACATTTAAACTCTGAGCTTCTCGTAAGGAGTTGACGTGGTAACTGATGAGGTGGCATATATAAAATGCCTGGGGTGTATTATGCTCTCAATAAGTGTGAGGTCTTTCTATGATTTTTATTCTTTCAAGAAAAGGTACTGAGGCTGGGCAAGGTGGCTCATGCTTATAATCTTGGCACTTTGGGAGGCCAAGGTGGGAGGCTGGGATTAACAGGGTGGCAGGATCAGTGGAACTCAGGAGTTTGAAATCAGCTTGGGCAACACAGGGAAAATTCATCTCTACAAACAATTTTTTTTTTTTTAGACAGTCTCGTTTTGTTGCCCAGGCTGGAGTGCAGTGGCATGATCTTGGCTCACTGCAACGTCCGCCTCTTGGGTTCAAGCAATTCTCCTGCCTCAGCCTCCCAAGTAGCTGGGATTACAGGTGTACACCTCTATGCCCTGCTAATTTTTATATTTTTAGTAGAGACGAGATTTCGTTGTGTTGGCCAGGATGGTGCCAAACTCCTGGCCTCAAGTGATCCACCCGCCTCAACCTTCCAAAGTGCTAGAATTACAGGTGTGAGCCACCGTGCCCAGCCATTTTTTTTGTTGTTGTTGTTAGATGGAGTCTTGCTCTGTCTCCTAGGCTGGAGTGCGGTGGTGCGATCTCAGCTCACTGCAGCCTCAACTTCCCGGGCTCAAGTGATCCTCTCACCTCAGCCTCCTGAGTATAGCTGGGACTACAGTTGCATGCCACTACACACAGCTAATTTTTGTATCTTTTTTGTAGAGACGGGTTCTCACTATGTTGCCCAGGCTGGTCTTGAACTCCTATGCTCAAATGATCCGCCCGTCTTGGCCTTCCAAAGTGTTGAAATTACAGGCATGAGCCACTGCACCCAGCCTCAAATAAATTTTTTAAAAAATTAGTCAGGCTTGGTGGCATGAGCCTATAGTCCCAGCACCTCTGGAGGTTGAGGCGGGAGGATCACTTGGGCCCAGGAGGTGGAAGGTGCAGTGAGCTCTGATTGCCCCATTGCACTATAGCCTGGGTGATAGAGCGAGACCATCTCAAACAAACAAACAAAAAAATCAAAGCAACAACAAAACAAAAAGAAAACAGGGAGAAAAATGCACTCTGGAGTCAGAGTGCCCAACTTTGAATCTGGAAAATGGGGTTCATTCCTTAAGTAGTCCATGTGTTTATTTATTCATTTTTATTTAAGTTTTTGAGACAAAGTC